>NC_000023.11:19713245-20016275 GCF_000001405.40 Homo sapiens
TCATCTGATTTTTTTCTTAAAAACTTTTTTTTTTTGAGACAGGGTCTCACTCTGTTGCCCAGGCTGGAGTACAGTGGTGTGATCTTGGCTCACTGCAGCCTTGACCTCCCAGGCTCAAGTGATCCTCCCACCTCAGCCTCCTGGGTAGCTGGGACTACCGATGTGAGCTACCACACTGGCTAATTTTTGTATTTTTTGTAAAGATGGGGTCTCGCTATGTTGCTTAGGCTGGTCTCGAACTCCTGGGCTCAAGTGATCCTCCTGCCTCAGCCTCCCAAAGTGCTGGGATTACAAGAGTGAGTCATCACACCTAGCCAAAAAAAAAAAATTCTTATTCATATATAATAGTTGTACATTTTTAGGGGGTACATGTGATATTTTGTTCCATGCATAGAATGTGTAGTGAACAAGGCAGGGTATTTGAGTGTCCATCACCTTGAGCATTTATCATTTCTGTGTATTTGGAGCATTTCAATTCCTCTTTTCTAGCTATTTTGAAATATACGACACATTGTTGTCAACTATAGTCACCCTACTCTGCTACTGAATACTAGAACTTATTCTTTCAATCTAACTGTATGTTTGTATCCAGTAACCAACCTCTCTACTCTCTACCTCCACGAGATCAACCTTTTTAGCTCTTCATGTTTACCTCAGCACTATTCACAGTAGCAAAGATATGCAATCAACTTAAGTGTCCATCAACAGAAAAGTGGATAAGGAAACTGTGGTACATATACCCAATGGAATGCTACTCAGCCATAGAAAGAATGAGATCCTGTCATCTGCAACAACATGGATGGAACTGGAGATCATTATGTTAAGTGAAATAAGCCAGGCACCGAAAGACAAACATCGCACGTTCTCACTTTGTAAGATCTAAAACTCCAAACAATTGAACCCAATGGACATAGAGAATAGAAGGATGGTTATCAGAGGCTAGGAAGGGTAGTGGGAGCAGGTCGGGGGTGAGATGGGGATGGTTAATGGGTACAAAAAACATAGTTAGAAAGAATGAATAAGACCTACTATTTGATAGCACAACAGGATGATATAGTCAATAACAACTTAATCATACATTTTCAAATTACTAAAAGACTATAATTGGATTGTTAGTAACACAAAGGATAAATGCTTGAGGGGATGGATACCCCATTCTCCATGATGTGATTATTACACACTGCATTCCCGTATCAAAATATCTCATGTATCCCATAAATATATACACCTATGTACCTACAAAAATTAAAAATAAAATTTATTTAAAAAAAAGAAAATAAAATGTGGTATAGATACCTAATAGACTACTACTCAGCCATAAAAAAGAACGAGATCCTGTCTTTGGCAGCAACATGGATGGAACTGGAGGTCATTATGTTAAGTGAAATAAGCTAGGCACAGAAATATTTTTTTCTTAAGTCAATATCACAAAAGATATTTAAAAGGCTAGAGAATTATTCTAGATTTAAAAAGAGTAAAGACATATGACAACTAAATATAATGTATGATCTCTAATTGAATTCTGCATTTTTAAAAGGCTATAAAAACATTGAGAAAACTGGGGAAATTTGAATATGAACTAATTCTAGATAATAGCATGTTAATGTTACATTTCCGGAGTTGTTAATTCTATCGCAGTTACCTAGCAGAATGTCCTCATACTTAGGAGATACATTCTGAAGTATTTAGGGATGAAGTGTCCTGATGTTTGTAATTTATTTTCAAACCGTTTAAGGAAAAAAATCAGGCCAGGCTCAGTGACTCACACCTGTAATCCCAGCACTTTGGGAGGCCAAGGCAGGAAGATCACTTGAGCCCAGGAGTTCAAGACCAGCCTGGGCAACATGGCAAAACTTCGTCTCTATAAAAAATGAAAAATTAGCTTGGCATGGCAGCATGTGCTTGTGGTCCCAGCTAGTACAGAGGCCAAGGTGGGAGGATTGTCCGAGCTTGGGGAGGTCAAGTCTGCAGTGAGCTGTGATCACACCACTGCACTCCAGCCTGGGCGACAGAGTGAGACCTTGTCTCCAAAAAAAAAAAAAAAACGCCAAAAATCCCAATGATTAAAAAAAGTAATCAAAAAGAGTATGTGTGGAGATTGGATAGAGGATAGAGATAGAAAGCAAATGTGACAAAATGCTAATAATTGGTAAATCTAGGTGGGTGTTCACTGTACTATTGTTTCAAATTTTCTGTGCATTAAAATATTTTCTGATTAAAAATTTTAAGGGGAAATACCAATGCCTGGACCCACCTCTAGAGATTCAAATGTCAATATTGGTCTGAGGTGCAGCCTGGGCATCTGGATTTTAAAAGATCCCCATGTGATTCTAATGTGCAGCCAAGGTCCAGAGACACCTAGTCAGATCTGTTGCCCAAAGAAGAGCATCAGGCCAAAAACGAATGGGACTCTTCCAGGATCAGGTTATTTTAGGTCCTACATTCGGTGTCTTTTCCCACAAGGGAGAGAACTCAGACTTCTAAATATCTGACAATAGTATTTAATACATAGCACAGGTGAATGCTGCTGTGCTGTGATGTTTATTTCACAGACCTTTGGAACAGTTGCAGTAAGTAGTTTCTAGCTCTGGAAATGTGTTCCTGGGTTGGGGCAGGAGAGTGGAGAAGATGGACGTCTCTGCTATGATTCATTAACAAACACTGCTAGGTGCCAGGGGCTCAGGGGGTGGGGGGAAGGCAGCAACTCCCCAGTTACTGAGCAGCATGCCAGCTTCTTTAAAGGCTGTTCTTGAGTTGGAAACTTCAATTTATGCAAGAAGCCATGTTTTCTATCTCAGGATGGAGAAAACAATACAAACTTAACTAAATGTATAGATTCACACATTTTTTACTTGGGACGTCCAGTAGATTCCGAGTACAAGGGAAGAGAAGGTAGATTTACCGATCTTGCAGAACCCCTGCATCATACTCTTTACTGGAAACATTTCCACTCGTCATCCTGTTTCAACATAATGCAACTCACAGGAAGAGGAGGACACTTCAGAAGCCAATGGCACTCCAAATAAAAGGACCCTGTGGGTGTTTCTTTACAAACCCCTCTTGGCTGTACCTGGACTGTTGCAGTGGAAATGTATAATATTTAATTAACCAGCATTGTGTGGTCCCTGGAGATGAGCCTGCTTGATTTTCACAGGGATGTGTATAATCAACATCTCTGCACCGCAGAACACAGGAAATCCATTTGCCTGCTACTTCAAAGGCAGAGGGCATCTGACAAGTGGGTATAGCTATGCCAGTGCTCATTTTCTCCCAAGTCTTGGCAGGATATAAGAGAAAATGTAGAACTAGTAGGGAACCATTTATTAGAGCCTTTGAGCCATGGAGGGTAGGAAGGGAGGCAGATAACATCAAAAGTCACAGAAGAAAAATCACCTTCATCTTGGAAAAGAAAGAAATGAACATTGAGTGCCTGCTACATGCCAGGAACCACGCTTGGCATGTAACTGGCCTTCCCTCATGTCCTGAGGCCAACTCTAGGAGGTTCAGCATGCTGGCCCCATCTTTATGATGAGCACAGGAAGCCTCAATAACTTGTCCAGGGTACATGGGTTAAATAAGTTGTGGTCTTCAGCCCTCTTCTTCCACCAACGCAAGATGATACCAGGAAGGCAGATTGGGAGTGAGTTTCTAGTGGACTCTGGATGCCAAGCTAAAGATGAGGACTTTATTTTGTGGGCAATAAGAAACCAGAGGAGGCTTCTGGATAGAGAAGCGTAGAACAAGATGTGATGAGGACAGGGATCCAGGGAGAAGGGCTCGGTGTCAGGGATATGCAGAATGGCAATGGGGAGGGGTCCCAGAAGCAGGAGATGGCCCAGCAGAAGAATGAAAGACACAGCTGGAAAAACACAGTGGAAAGAATTACACACCCAGAGAAGGAGAGGCCACAAAGCAGACATGGACACAGACATACGCCAAACAATTGTCAGCTGACATGCCTGTTGCCTCCTTTGGGGGCCAATGACCTTCTCTTACTTGTCCTTCATACCTGCACCTAGCTCAGTGTCTGTTTGAGTAGACACTCAATCCATTCTCGACAAATGAATGAACTAATGAATTCCACATCCTGAAAGGTGGAGGGAAAGGGAGTTAAAGCTTCAACATGGTATTAAACAGGGCAGCAAGACCCAGTCTCTACACAAAATTAAAAAATTAGCCAGGCATGGTGGCACACACCTGCAGTGCCAGTTACTTGAAAGGTTGAGGCAGGAAGACTGCTTGAGCCCAGGAGGTCAAGGCTGCAGTGAGCCATGATTGTGCCACTGCACTTCAGCCTGGGCAACGGAGTGAGACTCTGTCTCAAAACAAAAATATATATATACCAAACAAACAAAAGTCAATGCCATCTGGAATTGTTGATGCTATAGGGATGGAAAGATGGTAGACCCTGCAGTCTTGTTGGTGTGTCGAAGTTGGTCAATTAATTGACCAACTCATTCTCCATCAACTTTGTAGTCTGAAGCATCTGTAATACTAAATAATGCTAATCTATGCCTCTAACTGCTTTCCTCTTACAAACGTATGGCCCCCTGTGAATTAACTTTACTAAACCGTAGAGCAGGGCTATATATGAACAAGAAATGACGTATGTTTGATTTTATATTCGGTCCCCTTAAAAGACAGAAAACATTTGGTTTAAGTAGGCAAAGATATATGTATAAGAAGGTTCAGGGCAGCATTGTTTCTAATAGCAAATGCATATATGCACAGAGATCTACATGTGAAACCTGGATGTCTACTGGGAGGGGAAGGTATATCCAGCAGCCATTAAATATAACAAGTAGCTCTACGTGTATCAGTGTGAAAAGGTGTCCATAGTACACTAAAAGACTAAATCACGTAATATGTATACTATGATCCCAATTTTATAAATACACACACACACACACACACACACACACACACACACACACTCATAACTCTAAGCAGCATGTAGCATTTTAGTTACTCCTGATAACTCGGAACCTAGCACAGAGTATACATTCAACAAATGTTCATTAATAAATAAATGAATCCATTCAACATTCAACTAATTTATGAAGGTCTAATACAATTAAATGAATGAGGGCAACAGAGTAAGAGACTGTCTCAAAAAAAGATACAAATGAATGAGAGAAAGGGGGTATATGTACACGGACACACTTGTGTAAGCACAGAAAATGGTATGGAAGGCTATACCCCAAAGTAACAGTGATACTTCAGGGGAGGCAGATTGGGGGAAGGGTAGAAACTCATTTAAATGCTTCTACAATATCAATTTGTCTTCACAAAGAGCACGTAATATACTGTAATCACTTTTTAAAAACATCACAGTCACCTATTAAAATAATTACCTTGCATTATGAAACTTACCTTTCTGATCACACTTTGATTACATTAATGGTAAAGTGAGTTGGTGTTTTGAAAGAAATAAATATCAATTCAATCAGCAAGAAAGGTGCTTTTCATGGGGCTGAATGACAAGGGGCCTCGGACCTCCCAATGACAACTGGTTGTGGCTGGTCTACGAACACAGCAGGAGGTGTGAGCTCAGAGACAGGGCTCCACATCTGTAGCCCACATTAGTCATTATTCTGATCAGATGCTGTTACAGAACCCTGAGGAGGCCCATACTATTCCATCAGTGACCAAGCCAAGGTTATCTTCCCTGGCCAGACACCACCAGCCTACACAGCCCAGACAGCCATCTCTCACTAGGTGGAGGGGCCCTGTGGTGTCCATCTTCCGAGCTCGCCCCTCACTCATGGGAACACATACATACACACACACATACATACTCATTCATTCAGCCGTGGGGGCCCCTTCTCTGGGTTCTCCTAACAACCATTGCTTTTCTCTAGCACTGTCCTCCTTCCATTGTGTTTTTGTTATCTGTGAGTGTCGGTTGCTGTCTGTCTCCATCTTTTCAACCCTGACACCTCTCAGCTCTTTCACGCACATCTGTATCAACCAATTCGACTCACTCACATCTGCCTCATGATGGTTAGGGCGATGCCACTGCACCACTCTAGATCCCTATGTGGACCCCAGGTGCCATATATCTAGAAAATCCCCGATCCAGGCCCTCCTCAGCCCTATGAACTTCAGAGTCTAATGCCTCATTTAAAGAAGTCACTGAAAACTGTCTTAAATTTGGGCAATTAACATCTGACCCCCCCAAATCAAGTTTCTACTTCCAACGTAATAGTCAAAGGGGCCATCCATTGAATAAACTGAGTTTCTGCAAAGAGGAGCTGTATATGTATATTTTAACATTAACATTGTCATCTGATATTTCTTTAGAAGCCACATCTGTAATTTTGGTGCCATGAGCATGAAGAACTCAACATCCTCCACCTCAACTATATCTTATAAAAATGATATGTGAATTAGCCATGTGAAAGGGTGCAGGGGCTCTGATTTCACTGCTCATGGATACGTGGTCTTCACTTAAAGCATTAAAGCACATAAAAGAGAACCCTGGGGCCAGGCATGGTGGCTCACACCTGTAATCCTAGCACTTTGGGAGGCTGAGGCAGGAGGATCACTTGAGCCCAGGAGTTCAAGACCAGCTTGGGCAACATAGTGAGACCCCACCTCTAACTAATAATAATAATAATAATAATAATAATAACAATAATAATAATAATAATAGAGAACCCTGAGTTAACAATACAGAAGAGACAAACGGCCCAACTCACCCAGCATTGCAACCCCTGCGTGGCTCTCTGCCTCGGTTTTCTCACGTATAAAATTGGGATGATGGAGACAGACCTACTTTCCAAGGGGCTTACTTCCACCTGACTCTCTCCCTTTTTTCCATTTGGCTTTACATTCAGGAATCTGTTAAAAGACAGCTCTGTTAATGTTTTTTTCACCAGCCTTCCCTTCCAATCAGAGTGAGATAAAGGAATCACGTCATAACATAAAATCAGTGACGTCTCTAAACGTCCCTCTGCTTTTCATCTTTCTTCAGGCTGGTCCCAGGCATTGGTTTTGGCCTTTCAGCACAACCCTCAATCCAAATAACCCAACCTCAGCAGGCCATACCAGGGACACTTCCCTAATGTGTCCCTGGCTTGACTTTCCCCCAGCCCTGGCAGCTAGCTCTCCAGAGGAGAGGGAGTCTGGATTTTCAGAGGAGAAAATCCAATACGTAAAGCACACTGCTTTTCCCTGCAAGGCTAATTTTGGCAAAATGCCCAAAAGAACTCAACATATTTATAGGGTTTTGTTTGATCTACTTTTAAACGCTCCATGCAGAGTCATTCAAGTGAAATGAGAATACAGAATTTCAAAGGAAAAATTGAAGGAAGGTTCTAAATGTAAGTTATTTATTGAGCATAAACAAGATTTCTCCTTTCTATCCAACATACTCCCTCTAACATATCTATTTTTAAAGGCATTCTCAAACTTTGCTGCTGACAAATGAATATATCAGACACCTAACTTTTACAGTTAAAGGTAGAATGGGCAGGGAGGGGGAAAAGATGAGGGAATGAGGGGTAGGAGAGGAGAAAAAAAGACACAAACATTTGAAGAACTGTAACAAAGGTCTAGAAAATCCTAAAGACCTTCATCTGGGATACTTCTGTCTTGCCTAATCTTAGAGAATTACTGGGAGGTATGTGTGTGTGGGTTGTGGGGGTGGGAGATACACACCATAAACAAATCTAGGGTTTCCCAGTTTTTAAAATCAGTACCAAAAATGGCCACTGTGCTCGGAGATTTAGAAAGTGTCAAAGAATTCCACATGTACCCTCTCTTTTGGGGGTAGGGGGAGATCTTCATTGCAGGTAGTCATAATATTTTTAAATTTTGACTCATTTTTAATATAGTTTCCCTTCTCATCCCCATCAGAATAAAGAGGGGAGGAAGCCTAGGTATTTCTGAATTTTCTTGATGCAAATGGGAGTTTATATCCCTGCAATTCATTCCTCATAATCTGAAAGGCTAAACCCCTTAAGCAGAGGTCCTTAACTGGGGTGTGTGGATAGAATTCAGGGGGTCTAAACTTACATGGGAAGAAAAATACATCTTTTACTATCTTCTGAAATTTGGCCTTTATTCTCACCGTGAATCTAAGCAACAAACCACAATGGTACTAGCAGCATCTATGAAATTTATTTATTTCCCACTACATGAATAGATATTTTCATTTCATTTCACAGTTGCAGTTATCTTGAACTATCATTTACACTCACCCCTGCTTCAAAATTATGATCACCTCCTGACCCACTGCTGGATGTTGCTATAATAAAGCATATGTCTTGCTTGTATTTTTGTACTATTTTGACAACTATTTTAACATAATTGGTTTCCTTTGTAATTCTTTGGTTCCCTTTTTATTCATTTACCAACATTATTCTGAAAAGGGGTCCACAGGCTTCACCAGACTGGCAAACAGGTTCCATGGAAATTTTTTAAATAAAAAGAACCCCCAATCCCTGCTTTCAAGATTGTAATTTCCAGGCTGGGTGCAGCGGCTCACACCTATAATTCCAGCACTATGGGAGGTCAAGGTGGAAGGATCCCTTGAGGGCAGAATTTCAAGGCCTGAGCAACGTGGCGAGAACCTGTCTCTACAAAAAATAAAAATAAAAAAATTTAACAGAGCATGGTGATGTGTGCCTGTAGTCTCAGCTACCCGGGAAGCTGAGATGGGAGGACCACTTGAGCCCATGAGTTCTAGGTTGCAGTGAGCCATGACTGCACCACTGCACTCCAGCCTGGGCAACAGAGCAAGAACCTATCTTTAAAAAAATTACAGTTTCCAAGGAAACCCAAAGGTACAAGGGTAAACTATTTATATTTAACAAAGCAGTAAACATAACATTTGGACTCTGTTCATTGGAATGCTTCATAAGCTTTGGAGTAACACATCATAACAAAAGAGCCACTTTGGGCAACTTCGCAAGTCCTGAACCACAAATGGCCACGTGGCACGGTGCTCATGAAGCTGCTTGCCAAGTGCCCTCTTATTACTTGGGTCAGTGGCTGGCGAGAGCCCCACTCTGTCATCTGGTGCCCTGGCTTGGCTGAGCTCAATGCCCATGATTTCTTCCAGGGAGGCCAGCACAGCTAATTTGCAGGCTGACACCTGCCACAGCCTCATTACCCTCCCCCAACTCAGCCCTACTTTTCTCTCCCTTTTCTGACTACTTAAATTCTGGAAAGCACTACAAGTTTCCCCCTATCCTTCGGGTATAAAGAGGTCACTAGGGCTTCCATGTACCCACACGGCTTCATACACACCCCTTGCTCCCAGCCCTACTCAGCTGCACTGGTGTGTGTGTGTGTGTGTGTGTGTGCGCGTGCGCACTGGTGTGTGTGTGTGTGTGTGTGTGTGTGTGTGTGTGTGTGTGTGTGTCCGTCCCCAGTGCCTGCCGGGCTGCAAGCACAGAAATATTCCATAGAAGGAGGGAAGTTGATGCTAATGTTTATAATTGCACAGGATCTGCCTGGAGGGATTGCCTGACTTCCACTGAGGTCCATTTCTGTGGTATCACTAGAGGATGAAGGACCCTATGGTCAGCATGGCCAGCTGGGACCAGAGGCATCTGACCAGTTCTTCAAAAAAAAAAAAGAAGTCTAAAAAAAATGTCTCAACCAGGCATGCTGGCTCATGCCTGTAATCCCAGCACTTTGGGAGGCCAAGGCAGGCAGATCTCTTGAGCTCAGGAGTTCGAGACTAGCCTGGGCAACATGGCAAAACCCCATCTCCACAAAAAACAAAACAAAACAAAACAAAATTAGCCAGGCGTAGTGACACACGCCTGTAATCCCAGTTACCTGGGAGGCTGAGGTGGATTACCTGAGCTTGGGAAGTTGAGGCTGCAGTGAGCCAAGATCACGCCACTGCACTTCAGCCTGAGTGACAGAATGAGACTCCGTCTCAAAAAAAAAAAAAAAAAAAAAAGTGTTAAAAGTAAAAGAGTCAAGAAAACACCAATTCCACTTTCAGGAAGTTATACTCCAGATAACTCACATGAAATGTACAAAGATATATGCATAATGTCCACTGCTACATTAGTCAGAATAGTGAAAAACCAGAATTATCCTAAACGTCCTTCAATCAGGGAACTGGTTAATTAAGCCATAGGTGTATCTCCACACAAACTAGCAAAGAGAAGCATAGCTCTAAATGAACTGATACGGCAAGATTTCCAAGATTCTCGTCAACTTAATACAAAAATTGCAATATAGCCTGAACAGTATGATCCCATCTGTGTTTTTAAAAAATGCCAAGATGTATGTACCACTATGTGTTTGAAATTGACATCTTTATGATCAAATGACTATCTGCATCTGCTTATGGTTCCTCCTAATATCTACACAGAGATCTGTAGGGATGACCATGAACCAAGTCTCTTCCAGGAAGTATGACTCAGGGAAGGGATTTGATGTGACTCTTTACACCATGACTTGACTCTGTTAATTTTTTACACTAAACATGTATTATTTTTATAGTAAGTCTAAGAAAAGTTAGGATGAGTCTAAAAGAAAAGGTCAAACTAGAAAATGTTTTAAAAGAGCAGAGAGGTGTAAACAACCCAATAGCACAAAAGCTGCCCTACTGAGCAGATGATTGTGTGGGGATCAGAAAAACAACAAATCAGTCCCCTCTTGGTGGGGTGGGGAATAAGCATCATCCAGAAAAGGGCAGATTATTAAGCAGATGTCCCCCGCCGACCCCACCAAACAAACAGGTTAGTAATGCACGTCCTATCTATTTATTCGAAGCAGATAAAGACTTTTCTCTTTATTTAAACAAATCCCACTTTCCTTGTAAATACAGGAAAGGTGCAAAGGTGTATTTTTTTAAAAGAGGGGGTTATATCTCACCCAGACTTCATTTTCCAAACTGATCCATACCTTTCCTCCCCCTCTCAGAGGGCAGAAAGTGAGTGTCATGAAAAGTGTAAACTTAGAAGTTATAAATCTAGAAAGTGTCAGTCTAAAAATCCTGAGGCGAAAAAAAATGAATGAAGATTCATTTGCAGAATAGAGAAAGAGCAGAGAAAAATAGAGAAAGTAGGGAAAAATAAATCCACATTAATCTCCCCAACAATAATTTTTGTCAGCATTTAAATATTGTATTCAGCACTTAATTGTCTTTACCTCAAAGGGCTTTATTATAAAATTTTCTATATATTACGTATATCTCTTTTTGCAAGACGAAACTTCCCGGCAGGCAGGAATTCGGTTTTTCTAATGGTCTGCCGCAGAGATCAGCAAACTATTACTGTAAAGGGCCAGAGAGTCAATGTTTCAGGCTTTGTGAGCCATATGGCCTCTGTAGCAACTACTCAACTCTGCCATTGTAGTGGTGAAAACAACCATAGACCACACATAAATGAATGGGTGTGCCTGTGTGCCAATAAAACTTGACTTACAAAAACAGCCAGTGCCAGGTTTGGCCCATGGGCCATCGTTTGCTGACTTCTGGTTTATAGGAAGAAGTGTTAAGAGTCCAAATCAGAAACCAGGGAATATTTTTTTAAAAAGGAAGAACAAGAGACATGGCTAAGGTTGAATCATCAGCTTACATGTGACCCCCTCCCAGACACCTTCCCTGACTGCTTTTGAGGCAGGGTTATGGTCCCCTGCAACCACCACCACCAATAACAACCATGAGAGAGCACAGCACCCAGTGTATAATGTTCTCTTTACCCTGCCCACGCTGCCTGGGGATTGTTTGATTCTCAAATCCTAGACTCTGTGAACAGGAACTCAGCTGGCCTCCTTGGGGATTACTACAGGCTAGCCCAGAACAGACCTTTAACAACCATCTCATAAACAAAGTTAGAACAAAACATGTAAGTAAATAAGGGGATGAAGAAGAAAGAAGAATTAAAAATGACCCCAAAGTGTCGATGGGAGGAAGTGAAGGTTGGTAATGCCACCAACTAAAATGCAGAACACAGCTGAGCACGGTGGCTTACACCTGTAATCCCAGCACTTTGGGAGGTTGAGGCAGGCAGATTGCTTGAGACCAGGAGTTTGAACCCAGCCTGGGCAACATAGCAAGACCCTGTCTCTACTCTAAAAAAAAAAAAAAAAAAAATAGATAAATTAGCCAGGTATGGTGGCACACACCTGTAGTCCCAGCTACTCGGGTAGGCTGAGGTAGAAGGATTGCTTGAGCCCTGGAGGTGGAGGCTGCAGTGAGCCATGATTCCGCTACTGCACTCCAACCTCAGTGACAGAGTGAGACCCTGTCTCAAAAAAATAAATAAAAACAAATAAAATGCAGAATACAGAAGCAACAGGAGTCTGACAGGAGAGAGAATCTGCTGCTCAACCACATAGGGACAGTTGGGGACACAGTGACTGTCTCCCATCTGCCACTCCACCACAGACCACCAGACGTGGGTCAGCTCCCACCAGAAATAGGTTCAGGGATGGGCAGGCAGTCCTAGGTCAGGGTGGTACAGTGAGAGACAAAGGTGGGTCTGCCCAGAGCATCTAAATGAAGAGAGGTCCCCTGCACTTCCCCACTGGATGTAAACTGGGAAGTCCACTGTTGCTCCACTTGCTGGTCACAGCACAAAGCCAACTCCAGGAGAGGCAGGGCACAGAAAAGAAACCTGGGCCCTGACAAGCCTGCCCTGTGTGTGTACAACTTCCTGTTACACAAGACAGGTATTTCCTCATGACCTACGCCAGATGGAACCACGTTGCCTATGACTTGCAGCCCAGAAACCAGTAGCCAGCACAGAGTGTCTGAGAGTGGACATGAAGGCAGCAAGGAGGGAGGGCCAGCCTAGAGGTTGGGCTTAGGGAATCGTATGCTTCATGGCATTAGCTGAACCCAGGAAGATGCCAAAGACAGGACTATAGAAACAGCTTACACTTCAGAAGTTGGAGAAGAGGACTCAATCAAATATAATAGAGAAAGGAGTAGAGCGGGAGTGGGAGGGGCAAATAGAAGCACAAAAGGCAAAACAGAATGTTTCCATAGGTGGTAATCCAAGGTGCTGCATGGAGTTTGGCAGAGGCGGCATGGAGGAAGGCGTCTGACAGACCCAGGTTCAAACCCAAACTACACCACTCACTAACAGTGTGGCCTTGGATAGGTCTTATAACCTCTCTGAGCCTTGCTTTTTCCAACTGCAAAATGAGGCCAATGCCACCTACTTCTCAGGGTTGTTTAAAGGACTGCATAGATGTCTCCACTACAACATTTGCATAGGTAACTAGGGCGTACTGATTGCATTAAGGTCCTAATTCTTTTTTTTTTTAACTTTTATTTTAGGTTCAGGGGTACATTGTGCAGGTTATATAGGTAAACTCATGTCATAGGGGTTTGTTGTACACATAATGCAAGCAAGATACACAGAGCAGCTTAATGTTGTATGCTGCTGGGGTTTTGTAGTAATTTGTTATGCAGCAATATTGTAGCAATAGATAACTGATACGACAACACTTGACACAGCGCAAGTCCTCAAAAAAACGTTTAACACAACATTCAGGGAGGAAGGAGGTTGCAAATATTTTATCTTATTCTTCCATCCTGGTGAGTTAAGTGTTCTCTCTCTTTTCTCCACATTCATCAGAGCCCAAAGGGTAAACAGAAGTTTCTAGAAACATTGCTTTTTAGAGTTAGGAACACTAATTTTAAAGGACAGAGAAAGGTTATTAATTTTTTACTTATTGTACTATGTTTATCTTTAACTAACAAATAAAAATGAAAAGAAAACAGGAGAAGGAATGCTCTCTTGACCCAGAATTCTCTTACCCAAGTCATCCATCACGCTTCTCAAGAAACACACACAATGCAACTGAGACAAGGTAACATACATGACAGATCAACTGTAATTGCTAATTGATAGAATTTCTTAGCTGGTAGTGGGTAGAAGGGTGTTGGGTATTTGTCATGTTATTCTTGATCCTTTTTTATTGTGGTAAAGCATTCATAACATAAAATTTACCATCTTAACCATTTTAAGTGTACAGTTCAGTGGCATTAAGTACACTCACATTGTTGTGCAACTATCGCCAACATCCATCTCCAGAAGTCTTTTCATTTTGCAAAACTGAAATTATATACCTATGAAACAATAACTGCCCATTATCCCTCCCTCAGCCCCTGCAAACCACCATCCTACTTTCTGTCTCTATACATTTGACTACTCTAGGTACCTCACATAAGTGGAATCATATAGTATTTGTCTGTTTGTGTCTGGTTTATTTCACTTAGCATAATGTCCTCAAAGTTCATCCATGTTACAGCATGTGTCATAATTTCTTTCCTTTTTAAGGCTGGATAATATTTGTTTATCAATTCATCCTCAATGAACACTTGGGTTGCTTCCACCTTTTGCCTATTGCGAATAATGCTGCTCTGAATGTGGGTGTGCAAATATTTGTTCAAGTCCCTTGTTGATCCCTTTCTATGTGTCTCTGTTAAAACCTCATTTTGAAATATTAAACATGCTTTAAAAAATATCACTTAGGCCGGGCGTGGTGGCTCATGCCTGTAATCCCAGCATTTTGGGAGGCCGAGGCAGGCAGATCACAAGGTCAAGAGATTGAGACTATCTTGGCCAACATGGTGAAACCCAGTATCTACTAAAAATACAAAAACGTGCTGGGCGCGGTGGAACGTGACTGTAAGTCCCAGCTACTCAGGAGGCTGAAGCAGGAGAATCACTTGAACCCGGTTGCAGTGAGCCGAGATCACACCACTGCACTCCAGCCTGGAAACAGAGCGAGACACCATCTCAAATAAAAAAGTATCACTTAGCTAGCAATCTTTAGCTATCATCTAACAGGTTGAGGAGAAGGAACTGGCAGCTAGAATTTGTGATTCTATCCCACACCCACTGAAATAAATATGGAGATGATATGCAAAAGCCTTTGGAAGAGGCAGTTCAGGTTGAATATCCCTCATCAGAAAAGCTTGGGACCAGAAGTGTCTTGGATTTCAGATTTTTTTTTCATGTTTTGGAATATTTGCATTATACTTGCCAGTTGAGTATCTGTAATCTGATATCCAAAATGCTCCAATGAGCATTTTCTTTAAACGTCACGTCAGCACATAAAAAGTTTCAGATTTTGGAGCATTTCAGATTTTGGATTTTCACATTTGGGATGCTAAACCTGTATTCTGAAGCATGCTGAGCTGAAGGCAAAGTGAATACACATCTCACCACCTGCCCAACCTTGTGCAATCAAGCTGAGTAAAGACTGGCAGAAACCCATGCTGCCATGCAGTAGGTGAGAATGGGTGGTTTACCAAAGACAGAAACATTATTTTAACTTCATTACTCAACAAAATCACCATGGGGCATTCTCAGCAAAGAATTCTTTGAAGCTCTCCAGAGGCTTCTGACTGGTCATGTGGGAACTTGATTTGTTCAACAAATGTTTGTCAGCTGTAGGAGCTAGAATGGGCTGATGGTACACAGACTGGACCCCAATATTTCTTCCTGGGAACGTTGGGGAGGGTTTGCAAAGAGAGAAGTGGGATGCTTAAGCTTTTCAACATTTCCAAAAGCTTAATAACCAAATGAGGGCTCACAGGTTAAAATGCTTTGAGGACTCTATATAAACAGTACCATGACCCTGAACTGGAGAACTAGTTATGTTCTGATGAAGATAGGAACAAAAGCTTTTAGAAACCATGCCCAGCTGAAGACATACTAGAAACTTCTCAACCTTTCAACTTGCAGATGAAGAAATCGATGCTTAAAAAGGTGAAATAACCTTCCCAACATTGATAATGGCTGATAGAGCTGAGAATTATTCAGATGAAGATAATTCCAGTGAGGGTGTCTGAATCATCCTGGGCAGAAGTCATGGGGAGATAAAGGCACAGAAATGCTTTTCCAGCCTCAAGGAGATAACAGTCTGATTCCAAGCCACTGAAAACAGGCAGGATATTTGTAAACTGTTACTAAGTCTTGCTGGTTACCCCCAGGCCCACTTGCCTCTGGCCACAGAATCTTAGGGTTGAAGGGGAGGCCGTCCAGGCCTGTGTGGTTTCGTTTTCTTTGTTTCAGTACAAAGCTGACACTCATCAGCTCTAATAAATGATCACTTTCCATTTTCCACTTCAACTTGGGCTTTTGGCAGAATGAGTTCATACATCAATGTGAATGGATCGATACAGTTCATAATTTATGAACATGTGGAAGGAGAGAGACTGATCCTACAAAATCCCCAGCTGATGCTTACCTCTCTTCCTTCTTGCTGCCTAGGTTTGGTCATTTTTAAATTTATGATCACCTCCACCTGAGAGGATCAGCAGGAAGTGAGAAAAGTGAAATCACATCCTATATAAGCCTTTCTAATAAAAAGGTTTAGAGTTAAACTGCAAAAGCATTTCTGTGGGTCATTCCTGGATTTCAATGGTCCATTTTATTCCCATCAACTCTGTGAAAAGGTAACTAAGAGCTAATGACACACACTTAAATATACCCACACCCTAAGGGCCCACTCCAGAATGGGATGGTCCTTAGAAAGTATGGAAGAGAAGGATGGAGAGAGAGTCAGAGGAAGAAAGGAACAGAGGAAAGAAGGAAGAAGGGAGAGAAGGAGGGAGGAAAGGAGTCTCTTCAACATTAATGTGAATTGCACATGAGTTCTGTGCAAGAAGGGCAAGAGCTACAGGGCCAAAGCTTAGGAGGGAACATGTAAAGTTTTTAAAGTATATGTATACGTATGAAATAGAAACAGGATTTTCATTTCTAGTGTATGCTGGTTTTCCCATCCCTAACCACACAGTGCCAGACCCATCAGTAACTGAGCGATTTTTTTTTTCCTTTTTGTACATAGTTTCAACTGCCTTACCTTTTATCTCAATGATGTAGTCAAAAGTAAATTACAAAGGAAGCTAATTTCTTCAAAAAGAAATAAACTACTTCTAGTGATATTATCAAAGAGCTGCTTTAAAGCTTTTTTTTAAAAAAGGTCAAATATAAAACAACTGGTATCATTTTTTCCCTAAACAATATTTAAAAAAAATAACTATTAAGCACTTTGAGCAGCCAAGTTGGGAGAATCACTAGAGGCTAGGAGTTTAAGACCAGCCTGGGCAACATAGCAGAACTCTATTTCCATAAAAGAAATAACTATTAAGCAGCACGCTGTGTTCATTTGTTTGCTTTAATCTCTCAAATAATGTGGGCTAGCAAAGGGGTAAAATAATTAAAGGGAAAACTCAGTGGCAAACTATCTGGGAATTTTTATTTTCCTTTGTAAGGAATGACAATACCAAAGAATCCATCCAAGTGGGCCCTAGGGAGAAAAGAAGGGGGCAGAGAGGAAAAAGAAGCAAGAAGAGACTAAGGGTGGGAGGGGAGAAAAGAGCTTCTCAGGCCACCCCCACAGGGATTGTCACCTCCCTGCTCTAGTGTTACAGAATCTTCAACAAGCAAGCTGCAGGTGGTTAGAGAGATAAATTTTACCTAAATTGAAATCTTAGAACAATACTAATCATTAATCATTCATAATACTAGGTTCCTGACAGGCAAAACTGATGCATAATCACATAGTCCAAAATTAACTTTCCCTCCCTGGTCCTGATGAAAGTGATGAGGAATCAAATATCAGAGAAGGAAAAGCCCAGAAATGAAGGAAAAGCTAGGTCTGGCCCATGTACTCCAACAAAAAGGGAAGAGTACACATCTATATAGAAAATAAACTGAACTCTATACACTTTCATTTATTTTATTTTATTTTATTTATTTGTTTATTTTTTTGGTGAGACGGAGATTTACTCTGGTTGCCCAGGCTGGAGTGCAATGGCGCAATCTCAGCTCACTGCACCCTCCGCCTCCCAGGTTCAAGCGATTCTCCTGCCTCAGCCTCCCGAGTAGCTGGGATTACAGGCATGTGTCACCACGCCCGGCTAATTTTGTATTTCTAGTAGAGACGGGGTTTCACCATGTTGCCCAGGCTGATCTCGAACTCCTGACCTCAGGTAATCCGCCCGCCTCGGCCTCCCAAAGTGCTGGGATTACAGGCGTGAGCCACTGCGCCCGGCCTACACTTTCATTTATAAAACCTTGGGCAAAAGGGTAAAATCAAATATAGATTAAAATGTTCACATGAAATTGAAACCTTCCCTTGTCTTGTATACATTCTCGCACTCGCCATCGCATGTTACACAAGTGAATGTGAAAATTTTAGGACCCTTCTCTTTGAGCACAGTGTTACCCTTCTAACTTAGCTCCACCTTCAATCTCATTACTCAAGATCTAGTTGCAATTTCCTCCTCTGAAACTATTTCACCTTCTCTCTCTCTAGTAAACTGCCTGTGGTCAGGCCAAGACCTAGGTTTAGTACTTATTCTAGGATCCACTCTTAAAACAGATGTTTAATAAGTCTCCTCTCTCCCTCGGTACTCAGAAACCAAAGACAATTTCTCTGAATCACAGAATTTCAACAGCTTCCCCTTAACCATGTAACTTAATAAGTTAGTTCTCCCTCTGGTAGTTTGCCTTGAAGTAACTTGTTTTTCAAAAGGATTAGGGTATATGAGTACAAGCATATACTTCATTCAACAATTAAAGTGAGCTCCAAGATGAATAAGATGTGGTTTCTTTCCTTCAAGCGCCTTATAATCTAGTAAAGAAAATAAAAACCTAAACATGCACAACACTTGCGGAAGAATAAAAATGCATTAATAGAATGAAATGCAGCCCCAAATATATAAAAAAATTCATTTAAGATCAGATCACTAAGATCAGATTACAAATCATTAAGATCAGATGACTAAGGTTTTCCTTTTTTCATTTAATATACTGTCATAGTTGAAAAACCAAACAAAAACAGTTGTTTTCATAATATGAACTAATGAAAGTTAGCTTTTGATTTTTTTTGAGGTTTGCACATGTCCACTTTTTTAAGTTTTCTTTTCAATTGACGCATAATAATTGTACATATTTATGGGGTAGAGTGTGATGTTATGATCCATGTATACATTGTATAATGATCATGTAAGGGTATTTAGCTTATCCATCGCCTCAAATATTTATCATTTCTTTGTAGTGAAAACTTCAAAATCTTCTGTTTATTTTGAAATATACAATATAACACTGTTAACAGCTGCATATATATACATATATAATCATCCCTCAGTATTCCCGGCAGATTGGTTCCAGGACCCTTAGCGCATCCCAAAATCCACACATCCTTAAGTCTCGCAATTGGCTCTGTGGAACTCAAGCACGGGAAAAATCGGCCCTCTGTATACACAGGTTTGGCATCCCACAAATGCTGTATTATCTATCTGCATTTGGCTGAAAAAAATCTACATATAAGTGGACCTGTGCAGTTCAAAGCTGTGTTGTTCAAGGGTCAACTGTATATATAAAATTCCTTAATTTGGATAAAAATCCCTACACACACACACACACACACACACACACACACACACACACAGCGTTCTATCCAAGCCAAGGAATTTTTGTTTCTAAAATATCATTTGTTCAAATACAGCATTTTATAATTTCCACTTATCCACCTTCTGAAAACTAGTGACTGATAGGTACTAATAATTTTCTAAATATAAAAGAGGAACTTTTTTTAATTAGCAAGAGTGTTCCACAAGGGCTATTGTAAAGAAATCTTCAAAAGTTAAATTCCTCTACGTACCAGCAATACAAAAAATATGAGGGGAAAGATCCTATTTACAAAAGCCAACAATAACCACTATCTATCTGGGAATAACGTCATCAACAAGCAAGACTGCACAAATAAAACTGTAACACTTGACTCAACAGAGTGACATCCCATGTCACTGGCTGACTAGAATAAGCTGTTTAGAATTCAGAAGGGGATAGATGTTTTAATTTACAAGAATTAGCCTACTGTGATGTTTGGGGAGGAGAGGTGGGGGAGAAAAGGTTTTCACTTATATACTTGTATATAAAGTTGGTTTATGCAACAATGCAAAGCTTTAAACAAAAATGTTAGAAAAATGTTAATTCTTCTAAAAGTGACTTATAATTTGAATGAAATTAAAATTTTAACTTGATGACATGATTTTAAAATAAATGAGAGTAACTAAATCCTTTTTGAAAATGAAGGGTGATAGGAAGGCTGAAAGCTTGCCATACAATATATTAAAATATATTATAAAGCCATAATAGTTAACCATATTAAGAATGGTAAAACAAATTAATGGTATAGAATTGAAAGCCCAAAGACTTTCATATATATAATAATATTATATGATAAATGAGGTATCATACAATCACTGGAAAGGGCTATTCAATAAATGGTCCTGGAAAAGTGGCTATTTCAAAATAAAAATCAATTTGTATACTAACCTCATACTACACATCAAAATTCTATACAGATTAAAATTTTGAAGTAAAAAATGAAGCCAGTATAAAAAAAGGAGATAAGCTAGGTGATAATTTATTCAGAGAAATCACAAAAGAAAGCATCAATATACCAATCTACATAAAAATTTACTATTTCTGTGCATCAAAATCAATCGTAAACAAAATGAAAAGCAAACAAATTGGGAAGCAAAATTTGCCATGAATGACAAAGGAATAGTACACCAACCAGTAAAAAAAAAAATAAGGACCTCAATATAAAGTGCAAAGATTATTAACAAATGACGGAAGAAAAAATGTTCAAGCACTCGATTAATCTGAGAAATTCAAGCTTAGAACACTAAGCAGCACTCTCCCCACTTCAGTAGTGAGACAGATCAGTGCAAGCTTTCAGGAAGTCAATTTGATAATGAATCCAAGTACCATAAAATATACACACACTTTTGTCCAGTAATTCCACATCTGAGAAATCTTTCCTAAAGAAATCATCAGAGCTGTGGATAAAGATTTATGAGCAAAAATAGCCAACGCAGTTACTGACAACGGCAAGAAAAACTGGAAACATAAATGGATTCTTTCCTTTCTAGCAGAGGCTCTTTCTACGAAGCACAGAATTTAGAATATAAGAGGTTTGGCTTTTGATTTACAGAGAATCTCATTTTTTTCTCAAGAAATGAACAATAGGATGCCACAGCCAGTTCTCTACCCTTCTCAAATCGATTATCTAATATTTGGGTCACCCTTAGCAAAACAGTGTCTTTTTGATCCCTCAGACCTACTATCTCCTAGGCAACTGATTGAATAAAGAAAAATATAAAGCTTTGCTGAGAAATATATAATTTTAAAGACTTGAATAAATGGAATGACACATCTTGTCCCTCAGCTGTGGGAAGGAGGTTAGTGGTAGGGGACATAAAAGAGAAAGAGGCAGACAGACAGACATAGCATTTTAACCCCAATTTGTGTTGTATTTTTTAATAGCTTTATTGAGATATAATTTACATACCATAAAATTTACCCATTTCAAGTGTACAATTAAATGGATTTATGTATCTGCAGGATTGTACAGCCATGACAGCAGTGTAATTTTAGAACATTTCTATCACCCCAAAAAGAAACTTCACGCCCACCAAAAATCACTTTCCATTCCCACCTTCAGCTTTAGGCAAACACTAATCTACTTTCTATCTCTAGGGATTTGCTTATTCCGCACGTTCATATCAATGGAATCATACAATATGCGGTCTTTTGTGACTGGCTTCTTTCACTTAGCATAATGTTTTCAAGGTTCATCCATATATGAGGACTTCATTCCTTCTTACGATACTCCATTTTGTGTATAGACCACATTTTGTTCAGCCATTCATCCACTGGTGGACATTTGGGTTGTTGCCACTGTTTGGCTATTATGAATAATGCTGCTATGAACATTCATGTACAGTTATGTGTGGACATATATGTTTTCATTTTTCTAGAGTCTGGAATACTGGGTCATATGGGTGACTGTTCTCCAAAGTGGCTGTACCATTTTACATTTCCACCAGCAGTGGGTGAGTTGTTCATACTATTCCCTTACAATCCTTTTAATTTCTCTTAAGATTGGTAGTGATGTTCGCGCTTTAACTCCTCATATAGTAACTGAAATCTTCTCTCCTTTTTTCTTGATCAGTGTAGATAAGGTTTATCAAGTTTGTTGATCATTTCTAAGGATCAACTATTTGTTTCATTGATTTTCTATAGTTTTTCGATTCTCTATTTCATTTATTTCCACTGTAACCTTTATCATTTCCTTCTTTCTGCTTGCTTTGAGTTTAGCTTGCTTTTCTTTTCTAGTTTCTTAAAGTAGAAAGTAGAAAGGCTATTAATTTGAGATCTGTCTTCTTTTTGTACATAGGCATTTGCAGCTGTCAGTTTCACTTGAAACACTGCTTTAGCCACAGGCAGTACATTTTTGTATGTCATGTTTTCATTTTCATTAATTTCAAAGTATTTTAAAATTTCCCTTGTGAATTCTTCTTTGGCTCATTGGTTATTTAGGAGCATACTGCTTAATTTCTATGTAATTGTGAATTTCCCCAATTTCCTTCTATTGTTGATTTCTAATTTAATTCCATTGTGATTGGAGAATATACTTCGTATGATTTTAATCCTTCTAAATTTACTGAGACTCCTTTTTTTTGGCGGGGGGGGGGGGTGGGGGGGACGGATTCTTGCTCAGTTGCCCAGGCTGGAGTGCAGCGGCGCGATCTCGGCTCACTGCAAGCTCCGCCTCCCGGGTTCACGCCATTCTCCTGCCTCAGACTTTCAAGTAGCTGGGACTACGGGAGCCCGCCACCATGACCGGCTAATTTTTTTGTGTTTTTAATAAAGACGGGGTTTCACTGTGTTAGCCAGGATGGTCTCAATCTCCTGACCTTGTGATCCACCCGCCTCGGCCTCCCAAAGTGCTGGAATTATAGGCGTGAGCCACCGCACCTGGCCACTGAGACTTCTTTTACAGCCTAGCATATGGTCCATCCTGGAGAAGGTGCCATGTGCATGTGATCACAGGTTGTTTCATGAAAACACGTTTTATTATTTTCCATAAATCTCTAATTCCTTCCCAATGCTCTGGGGTCTTACTAGCAGTTTACTACTTTTAATAGCAATTACTACTGTATTCAGTGAGTGACACCCTACCCCACTTCACTCTATTGCCTCCCTATCCCAAAACCTATTTTCTTTACTCATTTTTAATCTTCACAATTGCCCTGAAGGAATTAACAAGAGCATTTCCTTGTTTTACAAATGGGAAACCTGGAAACACAGGGGGAATCTGCAACTTGTCTAAAGTGCTGCAGAAGCTGTGGAGGTGCAGCAGGAGTGGTCTGGGTCCTCCCAACAGCCATCCTCCCTGCAATAAGGTCCTGCTGCCACTGAACCTATTCAGGTCTCCAGAGAAACACAAATGCGACAAGCAGGCTAGTCCTCCTCAAATGCTCTTTTTCATGCACAGGCACATGCAGAGGAAGCTTCTGGCTGGTCTCTCTTTCCCTTCCTGGTTGAAACAATGAGGGCAGCCCACCTGGCACTGCAGCTGGGCCCGCTGTTGGCCTAATCATGAGTTAGGGAGGTGGGCCATGAAATGTCCTCATTGTTTGGGTACAACAGTCTTAAGGCTTCAGAAGCACAAAAAGCCAAGAATCCAAAGACTAAGCTGAGGCTGCACATGGCATCAGAGAGACCAGGCTGTGATGACAGATCAACAGATATAATTAGAAGAAAATGCCCCTTTTCCAGAGCTTACTGCAAGTGAATATAGCTGCTGTCCCCATATAATGCAACAAATGCAACCAGCACCTAAATATCATCTACCTCTAATTACTTTTTTTTTTTTTTTTTTGAGACGGGTTCTCGCTCTGTCACCCAGGCTGGAGTGCAGTGGTGCGATTTCAGCTCACTGCAACCTTCACTTCCGAGGCTCAGACAATCCTCCCACCTCAGCCTCCCAAGTGGCTGGGACTACATGCACACGCTGCCATGCCCGGCTAATTTTTGTATTTTTTATAGAGACTATAAAACATCTCACCATGTTGCCCCGGCTGGTCTTGAACTCCTGGGCTTAAGAGATCCTCCAGCTTTGCCCTCCCAAAGTGTTGGGATTACAGGTGTAAGTCATCACACCTGGCCTGATTACCTTTCATTAATCTAGCAGTTCCCTACCCAGAAAAACTTCCCTTTGGAAAGGAGGCTCCCACGTGGGGCTTAGCCAAGGCCAGAGCCAAGGAGTGTCCTTTTCAATTCCCTGGGCAGAGGCTCCATGTTCGTTCGCCTGGGATGTCAATAAGTGGGTCCCTCTGTAACCTCTGTAACTCTGTGATTCCAGAATTCTAAAAAGGCAGGCTATGTGGTTTTTCCTCACAACCCCACATGTGGATTTATTACTTGAACTCAAATGCCAGCCTGTTTCACTAGTAGGGAGAGAAGAAGGCTCTTCTTTATAAACGTTCAGTGTTTTAATGGCATCGGGAAAAGCTAAGACTTCTGTCTTTCAGTCAAAGCAAGTAGAGAAGGCAATGAGACTATGTTGACTATGTAGAGACTGTCATCATAATAAAAACCACCTCTGGAATCGCAGGTTCCATCGTGATCCAAGTCCCAGGTAGACCTGAACACCCTGGCCTCACCAGTTGCTAGGTTGGGTCCCCTCAGCCTGCTTTTCATGCCAAAGCCCAGACTAGGACTTCCACTCATGTGTCTAAGCCTCATTCTTAGATACAAGGACCCAAGAAATGATCAGAGGGAAAATTCCCTTTCAGCTTGTCACTTGAAAAACTACCAAGAGGACTGGCTTTCAAGTTTCAGATTCAAAGAATGTTCTCCTAGCATCATCTAACTCATGTTTTTTGACAGCGCAGGCTTAAGAAGCCTCGCCAGTCATTTCTCTGAGTGCCAGCACCACCATCTCCACTCACTTACTCAAACATTTCCCATGAGAGGTGGAACCTGAAGATTATCTTGGGGATGCTTACAGAGCTCCTTGTCCTGTATCTTAAAGCCCAACATATCCCAAAGTGGAGTCTTAACTAGTATCCAATAACATGCAGTTCCATGATCAAAGATAAGCAGGTCTCCTTACCATAGGCCATCTGAGAGCCTGTACTATGCTAATGTGCTTGTCAGTCTCCAAGATGGTGTTAGTGCTGCAGCTGAAATTTGACGAGAGAGGCAATTTTCTCTCCCCGCTTGTCTGCCTGTCTCTCCCCGCATCCCTCCTTTGTGGAATAGTCAGAAGGGCTATAATTCCATACAACACACACTGAGAAATGCTGGGCTGGTTTCTATCTGAGCATGTCACGCTTGGTGCAAGGTCTCGTCACTAGTAGATGGAAATATACAATAGGACCCACTTTCACGACATGCCTCATACAAACGTGGGCACACTAAGATCCAACTCAGGCCTTGTGAAAATAAGCACCATATACAATGGTGCAATGTGATTGAACCCAAAGCTATCCTCAGAGCCTAGTGTACTGTGTGGAGCTTGCACAGTTCCAGCATTCTATACTGTGTGAATTATAAACTCCTCTGCAACATGAGCAAACTTCAGTGGGCACCGATTATACGGACTCTGACTTTTACAAAGGTACTTAAGGATTCATGTCAGCAATGCAAAAAAAAAAAAAAAAAAAAAAGAAGTCAGACTTGGCCAGGCACAGTGGCTCACGCCTGTAATCCCAGCACTTTGGGAGGCCGAGGCTGGGGGATGACTTGAGGTCAGGAGTTCAAGACCAGCCTGACCAACATGGCGAAATCCCGTCTCTACTAAAAATACAAAAATTGGCCGGGCATGGTGGCAGGTGCCTGTAGTCCCAGCTACTCAGGAGGCTGAGGCAGGAGAATGGCTTGAACCCGGGAGGCGAAAGTTGCAGTGAGCCGAGATCATGCCACTGTACTCCAGCCTAGGGGATAGAGCGAGACTCTGCCTCCAAGAAAAAAAAAAAAAAAAAAAAAAAAAGACTTATATGTGCCTTATGCAGAGAGTTTGGAACTCTGAATGCATTATTCCCATAGAAGCAAAGTTATAAATGGTGATTAAGTTCCCAGACTGACCCACAATGCAGCTAAAATAAGTCATATCTGCAATATTATCAACAACTAAAAACTGAAAAATAATGAGAATAAAAGACATTTTTATTTATCAAAAATACTTATGCTCAGTGACATACCAAGCGGGGGCAGTCTGTGCCCAGGCAAGAAGGGGGCTGCCTGTAGAGAATTCACAAACAATAATGAAACAACAATGAAGCCAAAAAGTTAGTTGGCTTTTTACTTTCGCCACCTGCTGACAATTGAAAACAACATTGGTAATAAAATATTGCTCCTTTGAGGAAAAATGGGTTCAACAAAAAGTGAAGAAGAAGTAGATAAGGGTACTTGGAGCTATTAGGCAGGAGATTTTGGCATACATACCTACAGGGATTTCAGTGTGATTCTTTATTTTGTCCAAATTAATATCTATATCTAGAGTCATGCCTATGGGAGTCCTTTTTTTTTTTTAATCCTCATTAACAATAATCCTGGTCCATAGGGGTATCACAGATAGAACAAGGATCAGGACACAGATTATATGAGTTCAAAGAGCAATTCTTAGGCGAAAAAGCAAAAGGGCTAAAAAAATCCATAAGTAATGTGAGAAGCCGTGGGTCTGGGATGGAACTGCACAAATAGTGAACACTGAGTCAGAGGAATCAAAGGCATCCTCCATCAAGATTCTCCCAAGGAGAAGGAAAAGGTGGGCAGAAAGAGGAGTTTCCTAGGAGAGCCACCAGGTGGAGCCACCACCACAAACCCACTTCATGGCTTGTCCTCTGGGTGGATTTGGGCGGACACCAGCAGGAGTATGGCGGGAGTCTTAAACCCATGACTAACCCATGGGAGACTCATTAGTGTTAATGCCTTGAAATCAGAAGACACAGAGATAGAAAGGAGATTAAACATAACAGAAAAAAAAATCTAAAAACCGATTTTATCAATGACCCACACATAATCGCAACATGATGGCTATACCCTCCTATGTAGTTCTTACCATGCATTTCACCACCCCTCACTCTAGGCTCAATAGGTTCAGAAAATAACATGAAAAAGGGTAACACACACTCCAACATCAATTGCTGGTGCTAACAACGCAGTGTCCCAATAAAACTTGCCAGAAATGCAGTCAGGGATCAGTTAGTTTAAAAGACTTCTTTAAAGGCTCTTGACTCCAGAGCTTTTGAGAATGAAGGCCCACTGGAAAATAAGACTATAGATGCGTATACAGATACATTCACACAGACGTATATATTACTGAATGACTATGTATCATATCTATCCCCATTCACTGCCAGATCGCCAGATTTTCATTTCCCCTGGGAAAGACCAGCTCAGGTGATAGCCAAGAGCTTCTACACAACAGTAATGTCTTCTGTTAACTCTTATTCTATCTGTCCATAAACACCAGCTCCTTAAGTCAAATAAACAGGCAATCTTGAAACTCAAAGAAAAGTCTGACCCCAAATGGCACATTTTCAGATTCCCAGTTAACTGGCAAGAATTCACATTTATTTCTCCAATAGAAAATTTGAAAGAAACAAAGTCTCATCTCTACAAACAAACCCCCAGATCTCACATTTACCTTAAACAACAAACCACTGGCAAACCAAAGAGGTTGACATTTTCTTTACTAAGGACATACTTCTTTCCATCCTTTGTTAACAGTTTCATTTCTGCCAAAGAGCTCACGGCCTATCAAGATCCACGCCACCGCCTTGGCGCCATGAGAAGCATTCCAGGCCCTCACACTAAAAGCTAGAAAAAACGTTTCCCCTTCAGGGGAAGTGGGGAAAGGACGGGCAGTCACTTAGATCTGTTTAGGGCTTGGAATGACCAGTGCTGAAACTATGAGAAGAAAGGTAAACATTAAGCAACATTCTTCTGACAGCTACAGGTAGCAGACCAAACTGGAGAGCCCTTCCATGTGGCAAACACGAGGTCCATATTAATGTGGAAGAACTTCTGCACTAACTTTTAAAGCAACAGTGTGTCACCAGAGGAAGAGCAGCCGTTGATCCCTCTGTTAAGGAAAACTTTTGAATGGAACCCGTCTGAAGGATTAAACACACCAGAAATGAACCCACAGAGCAATGTTCTACAATCAGTCATACCCACATATCAATTCAGAGAGCAACCCTCCCCCATCTTAACTTGAATCTCATGAGACAGACGATCTCACCTCGTAGCATCAGAGCTAGACCTGTTACAAATAACATCTTTTAAACCGTCAGATCTTTCAGCATTAATCTCTGGAAGGGGCAGTAAAATGCAAATGCATAAAAAACCTTAAATAAAGATGGTAAAAGCAGTTTATCTTTGGGAAGGCAGATGCCAAAGTAGCAGAGCGACTTAAAAAGGTAACTATAAAATACATTTTGTATCAGGAGAGCATAATAATATAGCAAAAAATAGTAAATGTGCAAAATACAATAGAGACTTACCAAACACTGAATTCATGATAAACTGGAAATAGAAACAAGGACATATAAAGCCAACCAGAAACCCACGGAGTGGCTTCACATTCAGAATGACAGAAGTAAATACAAGACACATCCCCACCTTGCCATCAAAATGATATAAGAAACGTGCAGCACTTTCTCAACGTTTCCCAAGGGATACAACAGACTGAGTTACTTGCAGGCAGGACTGGCTGGTGTTTTTCCAGTCTTTATCTGCCCCATCACCAAGCACAAGGGCAGATGCATAGTGGGCATGCACTAAACATGTACTATTGAATGTTCATGGGTGTCTACCAAAAAGTGAGGAAGGAACAATGTCCAAAATTCCAGGCAACAGGAGAGGTTCAGAGAGAGGCAGAGATACATCTTCTCTGCATGCACTGTTAACAGTGCAAACGAGAACCCTGAGATGGAACCTGGTCCTCACACGGGCCAGCAGGGTATTGATGACAGCCTGGATACTTAACTGATCACATGAATAAAGTTAGCCAGGAAATCCTTCTAAGGATCAAATAATTTTTTCTTTTTTTTGTTTTTTGTTTTGAGATAGGGTCTCACTCTGGCACCCAGGCTGGAGTGCAGTGGCGCTATCACAGCTCACTGCAGCCCCGACCTTCTGGGCTTAAGTGATTCTCCCACCTCAGCCTCTTGAGTAGCTAAGACTACAGGTGCATGCCACCACACCCAGCTAATTGTTTTATTTTTTTTAGAGATGGGGTCTTGCTATGTTGCCCAGGCTGGTCTTGAGCTCCTGGACTCAAGCAATCCTCTCACCTCAGCCTTCCAGAGTGCTGGGATTACAGGAATGAGTCACTGTGTCCAGCTTGATTTTTTTATTTCATTTTTAATTCAAGTAGGTAAGAGTCTATATTCAAATGGACAAAAATCCACTGTTCATTTTCAAGAACCTATTTAGGATATATGCTAACTGTTCAAACTTCCGTTTTATTCAATTTTTCTTCTAAACTCAACATTTGAATGCGTTTTTTTTGTTTGTTTGTTTGTTTGTTTTTTGAGATGGAGTTTCACTCTTGTTGCCCAGGCTGGAGTGGCACAATCTCGGCATTTGAATGCTTTTTTAAAAAAGTCTCTATATATCAATGCTCCAATTTAGGAGGGCCCATCATTCTCTTTTATGGGTTTAATGATAGAAGAAACAAAAGAATCAATCATTCTTTGAAGAAAACATACAACTCTTTTCTGTCTGGTTCATCAAGAGAATGACATTTGGCTCCAAGTAAAGTTTTCACATTTTCTGGCTTAACTCATCGATATACTGGAGTCTGGGATAACTTCAGAACATACAACATCCATGCTGCAAGTTTAAATGAAAAACGACTTCTTATTCCTCAGGAAAGGCTTGTTTTAAACAGGAAGCTCTTTCACTGTGACTCAGGTAAGGACCACAGAAATGGCCAGAAGTGAGTGCAGACACAAGTGCCCCTAAGGTTCTAATGCCAGAATGTGTAGCCAGTGGCTGCCAAGTCAGCTGGGAGGATGTACTTTCTCTCTCTCAATTCCAGTCACATCATCTTCTCAAATGAAAAGCCAGCCAGTCACAGTGGCTTATACCTGTAATCCCAGTGCTCTGGGAGGCTGGGGTAGGAGGCTTGCTTGAGCCCAGGCGTTCAAGACTAGCTAGGCAACATGGCAAAACCCCAGCTCTACGAAAAATCAGTAAATTAGCCAGGTGTGGTAGCTCGTACCTTGTAGTCCCAGCTACTCAGGAGGCTGAGGTGGGAGGATCACCTGAGCCTGGGGAGGTCGAGGCTGCAGTGAGCCATGATCGCGCCACTGCACTCCAGCCTGGATGTCAGAGTGAGAGCCTGGGTGTCAGAGTGAGACCCTGTTTCCAAAAAATAAAAAAGAAAGAAAGAAAGAAAGAAAAAAAAAGCCCATGGAGTCATTCCAGTACCCCCTAAATCAACTCTGCAGACGTTTACAAACGTTAAAGCTGAAAAGTGAAACTAATCAGTCCCCAAACTAAGGTTTCCATAGCCCTGGCTTTTTCTCAAGGCTATGAATAGCTTCCTTCAAACCCAAGATGTCTTCTGACCTTATGCAGGTGTCTGGGGAGGGTGAGCTCATCCCACAACGTGAGGGACTACTACCTGTTTGCAGTTGCTGCAAAGTGAGGCATGTCACAAGACGCAAAAACAGCTGGACACAATTGGGCAAACTTCTTCAGCTAGGACTATCTCAAGTTCAGGACCCAATGAAGTGGTTCAGTTTCAGACTCATGATAGAAATAGATGTCAATCTTTCATTATTAATCCAACTTCAAGCATGTATCAAATGATAAGGTCCATATACAGAAAACAGTCATCTCATCTTTGATCAAGTTCAAGGAAGAGAACTTGTGTTCATTCTATTAAATTCTTACAAGGGTCCAAGACTGAATCACAAGGTGGACTCAACTCATATCCTCTAAGATCCCATGTTAGCCAATCAAAGCAGGCTGTTAATAAATCCTGAAAGCAACTTCCTTCCCTAATAGCCACAACAACAGTAATAGACCAAAACATCCGAAAGGTTGCTGGAGACAAAGCTCGATGATGGAAACAAAGGGGAAGGAGGCCCCTTCAGTCACTTATGGTAACTCATAAAACTTTAAAAATTAGTTGGACCGAAGTGTTTACAAGTAACTAGAATCATCCCACAGATTTAGCCTCTGATCCTTGTTTTAAGGGGGGAAAAAAGTGTTTTTTTCATTGATTTTGGGTGGGAAAAAAATGTAGCTTTTGAGCTCAGTACAATGAACTATTTATCTGGCCTGACAAGGCCAATCAATCTACCCCCGCTGTTTATTATAAGGGGTAGCAGAATACTGGTAGTCTTGACTGGTGGGGGAGGGCCAGAGGCAGCCCTGGGCCTGGTACACAATGCTTCCCTTCAGCTGGAAATTTATGTTACGCCCAGGTGACCCAGGAGGTCAGGGTGAAGCCTCGGACAGAATGAAGATGATTTGTTATAGACTTCATATTTACAGAATGCCTCCATGTACTCAGGTCCCACAACCACCGGCAGATTCCACATATAAAATGCCTCAGAATGAAAGGTTGGCCATAACCAGGCTGCAGGTCCAAGGCAGAAAGCTTTCAAAATGGAATGTAAGGCAGTAAGCCATCCCTCTGCATTCCAATTTTTGGTGAATGAAAAATTCCATAGGGGAACTCAGAGGCCAGATTTTCAGTGGTGAAGAGATAATCATCTGAAAAATTCTATTCCTTCGTTGATTTAAAGTTCTCAGGTAATTTTACTAAACTCATCCAAATAGTTACCTCAATTCCTTACCTTAATTAATTCCTTATCTTGTTAAATTAATTAATTACTTTAAATCTCTTACTGACTTGACAAAAACCATGGCTGGCCAAAGAGGCCTTGCCGCTGGTCAACATGCGTGCAATTGCCGTGCCCGCGGACCCAAGAGGCAGGTGGAGGAATGGGAGGGCTCCTTCTCATTGGTTTGAAAGTGCAGAAAGAACACACACTGAACTCTACCTCACCAAATCCAATGAATGCAGGTCTCAGGAGTTTGAGAGCTTACTTGCAAGAATGCAGGAGGCACTTTTGGGCAAGACTGTAGTTTTACAGCAAAGGGCACTTAATTCTTAAAATGGGAAATCCCCTGCTTTGGTAGGATGAATTTAACAAAACGAGAAAAGAAAGAAAATCCTATAGCTGCTAACCAACATGGGCCTCCAGCCAATATTTGATCTGAATAATTCAAAAAGGGAAATGTAACCCAGGGCAGCTGGAGGCAGTAGAGGAAGAGACAGAAAGGAAGAGAGGCACAAAGCTATGATCAATGGGCAGTTTACTGGACAAATTCTTATCCTGTCTAAATTTTATGAAAGATTAGCTGTTCTTCCTCCCCATGGTTATATAAACTTGCCTTCTTTTTTTCTGGTTAATGGAACCCTTTGCTAATCTAGTTCCTGTGCCTGCTTTCAAACAGCTCTCTATTTCTCTTTAAGGAAGTAATAAGCCCACTAAAAGCTGGCAGCCAAGCGCTAACCTACAGGCATGCTCAGCATGTGCCCTGGCTGGTCCAAGGTCAGGAAAAACGGAGGGACCCTAGTGTGCTCACAGTATAAAATTGAGTGGGGTCGTCTCTGCAGTCTTCTATTCTCTCTCACATTATTTCAAACAATTATCACCAAGAGGGGATGGGAGAAAAAACAAAACTCCAACAAGCTGATACCTGAAAATCTGCCTTGAGGTCTCAAAAGAGAGAAAACAAGATTGTTAAAGGTCTTCTGGTCAGACAGATGTGTTAGCTATATCTTTGCACATTCTGCCTCACAAACTCAGAGAGGCAGGGTCTGCGCTAGGGAGCCTAGCAGTTGGAGAGAGAAATAACTTGATAAGGTTTGCCTTAAATTAAAGGGAGAGTGCGGTCAGACACACGGCTCAGGCCTGCACCACAGCATTCTCTAAATTCACCTTTCATCCATAAAAATAGATATGAAAGTGAAATCTACAGCTCCAGAAAAATCATCATTTACAAATGTAGTCTACTTTCCCACTGTCAAAAAATATTTTTATTAGTTCCCTTTATTACAGTTACTATACATATAGTCACTTGCCAAGTATGTATGTGTGTATCCAAAATATATACCAAAAACCAAAAGGACAAACTCTATTCAATTTTTCAGCAATATAAAGTTTGACACAGTTCACCAGAAGTTTCCAGCTTTTGTTTGTGTGCAGGGAGGGAACCTCTTTTTCCTTTTCCATACCTCTCTTATTGGTTCTTAAAATCGTTTCAGAAGACAGCAAAGAGTTTCCACTGGGCACTTCGTGCAGGGGCTTTTCTGGAGCTTTGTTGGTGAGAGGGTCTTTCTTCATCTCTTTCTTTATTTCCTGTGAGGACAGATAAAAGGAAAACAAGATTATAGTTTGAAACTTTAGAATGCCTCTTGGACTATCTTAAGCTCCATCTTTCTGGAAATGAACTATAGCAATGCCAACTTAGCATAACATCATGTTTTAAAAACACCATTTTCTGTATCTTTGTAGTTTTCTTACATTTATTAGAAAAGCACCTGGTCCTATAAAGTGGAATAAGCCCCAGTATGGTGAGGCGACCTTATGTAACTATGGCCATTCCATGTGACTATAAAGAGAATGAGTGAAACATAAAAGCCACCATACAGCTCTAAGTGACAGCCTGTTCTTGTTAAACAATGACAAGCTTTGGCCAAGCAGACTCACCCCCTTAAAAAGCCTTCTGATTTATCTTCTTCTCAACAGAGATTTAAAGAAGCATATTCCCAAATTACCATTGTGCTCACAAGGATACTAAACCCAAAAGAAGATGATTCTAATGCATTTACAGTCATCAAGTTCCTCTGGCTTTTCAACTCTTGACAAAGAAAAAAAATAAGGATGGCTTATCACTCTAGATCAGGGGTCAGCAAATGAAAGCTCACCACTCACTTTTGTAAAGAAAGTCTCATTAGAACACAACTATACTCATGCATTTAAGTATTTTGTACAGCTGCTTTCATGCTACACCAGCGGAACTGAGTAGCTGCAACAGAGATCAAAGTCTAAAATATCTGGCCCTTTACAGAAAAAGTTCGCTGACCCCTGCTCTAGGTAGACTCTTAATCAAAGCTCCATTAAGATCTAGATTTCTGAAATCTGATGGCTAATATAATTATTTCAAATTGCTTTAATAATTTACATAATTGTTTTAAAAAGCATTATTAGACCAAGATAATAGTGACTCACAAAGTATAAGTCTGTATACAGGAATTCCCCCCAAAGGAGTAAGGATTTTCTAGGCTTGTCTGAATCCATAATCACAGTAACTTGGGGAAAAGTGAAAGCTTAGGGGCTGACCCAAAGCATGGCTGAATGGCAGGAAGAGCTCAAAGATGAGGAATGCGCTCCTTAAAAAGAGCCCATGAGGTAAGAAATGGGGATGGGCTCCCCGCTGGAAGGAACAGAGATGCTAAATTGGGTAGAGGGCCATGACTAGGCCCGAGCAGAGGGCAGAGGCAGAAAGAAAGCAACAAAAGTTTGTCAAAACAATGCCACTCCCCGCAGCTTCCTGCACACTCAAGAGTGTGTTAGTTACCATATCCAATTCCCCAGTTGCTGCCTCTGTTCACAGCAGCCTCACCCTCTCTTCCTCCCTCACCAGGGCCCCACCGGAAACCAACAACTGGGGCTGGCGCTTTGCTAGGTTGAGTGTTTCAACTGGCGTCCCAGAGGCCTAACTAGGCGAAGCTCAGCCCTAGCCCAACACCGGTACCTCTGCACACCACACAAAGCTGTGTGTGCTTGAATATATGTACACGGACACCTACCTCAGCAGCCCCAGCACCTGCTAGAGCAGCAGTTGCTGGGGGTTCCTGTAGCCTCACAGGCAGATGGCATCAGGGGACAATCTGCAAACATTGCCCGCCTGAGCCACATGACAGGATGCTAACTTGGTGATGGCTGCCAGCCTGCTCTGGCTCTGAAAGTAAAGACAACAAGCCACCAAGTGGGCTCATTTCCTCACCGGTTGCTTCTTTGGGGGAAGAACAGTTGCTCAAACCTCATTTTCCATCGCAGTGTGGGTATGACTGTGCACGTGCAAATTCCCCACCTAGACACAACGTGATGCAGTAACACAACAGAGCACAACACCCAACTTTGCCAAGGAGTAACTCAGAGAAAGTCAGTGGGTTGAGGACGACATAGCAAGTGTCTACTTAGCAATAACTGCTAATGGCATGCAGCCGGGGAAGGGTGGGAGAAGCAGCGCCAGCATTGTGAGGCTGGGGTGGTCCCTGGAGAAAGCCTCAGAAGCCATGGTTCTCAAGAAGGCTCACCCCTACTCCCCAATGCTTCAGAGCAGCACGTGGGGAGCAGCTGGCTAGGAAGGACTGGGTCTGATCAAGAGCAGGTGCTGAAGGGCTGAGAAACTGGCACCAGGAGAGAGGCTGGCCCATAAATTCCAGACTCCATTGTTCCCCCAGTAATTGTTCACATTTGCCAAATAGAGAAGCTGAATGATGAGTGAATTGCTTAAGTTGCTTCTTTAGGTGGAAGCAGGGAGGAGACAAAACCTAAAATATGTCTTGCATTTTTTTCAGAGAAACCAATCGGACACATGGCCGTGGCAGTTAATTCTATAGGCTCCCCACCTGGATAACACCCAAGCTCAATGCAGCCCCACCCAAAGCCAATACCTTTTCTCCAACCTGCCCCTTCTCCCAGGAAAGGGCAGCCTGTCTTCTTTGGTACCCCATCATCCACCCAATTACCCAGAGTAGAAAATTCAGTATTATCCCCCTATCTAAGCAGTCGCCCAGTCTGGCTGCATCTACTTTCTCAATCTGTTTCTTTTTTGTCCTCCTGTAGTATCTTAAAAACATAAAGGGAAAAAAATATAAATGCCAAGCAAAGGACTTGAATAGACGTTTCTCCAAAGAAAACATACAAGTGGCTAATGAGCATGTGACACGATGTTCAACATCATTAGTCATTAGGGAAATGCAAATGAAAACCACAATGAAATACCCTTTCGTACCTACTAGGATGGCTAGAATTTTAAAAGAAAACAAGTGTTGATGAGGATGTGGAGAAACTGGAATCTTTGTATATTGCTAATGGGAATGTAAAATAGGGCAGCTCCTGTGGAAAACAGTATGGCAGCTCCTTAGAAAGTTAAATATAGAATTACCATCTGATCCAGCAATTCCACTTCTAGGTATATACTCAAAAGCATTGAAAGCAGGGACCCCAGCAGAATTGAAAGCTTTGCCCCCAAGGCAAACTTGTATGCCAGTGTTTACTGCAACTTTATACATAATAGCCAAAAGAAGGAAATAACCCAAGTGTCCATTAAGAGATGAATGGATAAACAAGATATGGTATATCCACAAAATGGAATATTATACAGCCTCGAAAAGGAATAAAGTTCTGATACATGCTACAACATGGATGAACCTGGAAAACATTATGCTAAGTGAAATAAAACACACAAAGGGATAAACATTGTATGAGTCCACCTATGTGAAATATCTAGAATAGGCAAATTCATAGAGATAGAAAGTAGATTAGAGGTTACCTGAAAGGTTGGGAGAGGCAGAATGGGAAGTTACTGTTTGATAGTTAAAGGGTTCTCTCAGGAGTAGTGAAAATGTTTTGGACATAGATAGTACGGATAGTTGCACAACATTCTAATGTAATTAATGCTACTGACTGTACACTTAAAATAACTAAAATGGTAAATTTTATGTTACATATATTACCACAATAAAATGAATAGAAGACTCCCACATGAATAGCAGCTAACATCTGAGTGCTTACCATGTGCCAAACCCCGCTCTAAGAGCTTCACCTGGACTGCAACTTTTAATCTACACTATGGCCCTACTCAGACACCCACACAAGACCCAGGGGGCTAAGCAAACTTGCTCAAGGTCAGACAAGTAGGAGCCAGGATTGGAACTCAACCTGTCTAGCTTCAGAGCTCATCTCTCTCATTTTTTTTTTCTTTTGAGACAGTCTCACTCTGTTGCCCAGGCTGGAGTACAATGGCGTGATCTCAGTTCACTGCAACCTCCACTTCCGGGTTCAGGCAATGGTCATGTCTCAGCCTCCCGAATAGCTGGGATTACAGGCACGTGCCACCTCACCCGGCTAATTTTTGTGTTTTTTAGTAGAGGCAGAGTTTCGCCATGTTGGCCAGACTGGTCTCAAGCTCCTGACCTCAAGTAATCCGCCCACCTTGGCCTCCCAAAATGCTGGGATTACAGGCGAGAGCTCATCTCTTAACCACTGTTTCCTGGAGTACTGCCTGGATTATAATCATGTCTTCCTGCCTACAATCTCTCCCCTCCCAGTTTAGCCTCTGCAAAATGGACACTCAAACGTCTGTTGTTCTTGTCAGTCCCTACAGAAATCTCCAGTTACTTCCAAAAGACCACAGGACAAGCTTTCATTCAAACACTTTTCAAATTGAACAGCAAACCACAAGTCTCTGTGTACTTGCTTCTGACTAAAAATATGTGACATGCATGCTGACCCCACAGAACCAATTACCATGCAAATATAAGTTGGGGGATGGTGCACTGCTTGGACAACACCTTATGTTCACAGAATCCTGACGTCATGGATTCCTATCCACAGGCTCTAAAAATAGGTGATGATGCTAGCAATGATACAACTGTACACTGGCAAAGGCTTATAAATTAAAGTGCTTTAGCAGCTATTTTTTCACTTGTTCCTAACAACAACACTGTCAGGAAAAAAAAAAACAACTGATTTTGCCAAACATATATTTTTATACATAAGAATAGTGAGACCCAGTCAGAGAAGATGCAAGATCAGATGAAGGCCACAAAGCTAGCAAGGGGCAGAGCTGGCCATGAAACCAAACTCTGAGCCTTCTAGGCAGAGCTCTCCTAGTACATCTCACCTCCTAAGAAGAACCAGTGGCATGACTATAGGAGGGAGACTCAAAACCACTCAGCCTGTGGCTCCAGTGGAAACCTTAGCTTCCCTCCACAGTTAAGTGATGTAACAGATCACCTTACCTATAAAGCCCAAGACTATTGAGGCCCAAATCTTTGAAGTCCCTTATTATCCATCCACATAGAAGAGCTCCTTCCTGCAGAGGAGGGTTGGCTTGGAACTAGAGCAACTCCTGCCTCTGTATATCTGCCAACAGCCAAGTACCTGGAGCTCTCCGAGGTTCTGATCCAGGTCATGGGACTCTGGATTTCCTGGGACTGGGGGTTCCTAGACCCCCGTCTTTAATTGCAACTTTCTGACCATCAGGCCCGTGTTTTTTTGCCATTTGTTAAGAACCTGGGTCCTATAATCTCAGTAGTAGAGGCCACACCCTGGACCAGAATTACAGGCCATGAGGGCTCATGGAAATGCATACATAACTGCCCACATATATAAATCAGCAATGATTTTGCTTGCTTAAAGACAATATAGAACAGACAGGGTATCAGCAAACCTCTTCAGAAAGCAAAGGAAACCCAGCTTCTCTTTATCTCAGATCTGATCTCTTTACAATGGAAACTCAGCATGTACAATAAAACCGAGGCCATCAATAAGGTATCAATGCTGCAAAGGACGCTTCAGCTGTGTCACAAGGACCACTTGAGAAAAGGAAGAGAACTCACACCATTCCCTTCCCAAAAGCACTGTACCAAACAGAGCCTGGGATGGCTCACCCACATTCAGAGACCAAAAAGCCAGAATAATGCCACTCTGGCAAAAATTCACGACACATTCAGCGGCCTGCAAACAGCAGCCTCACCGGGCAAACAGATGATGTGCATGCAACTGCGAGCTATGCTAGGATGGTCTGCTTTCTGATAAGCTGCGTTGCCTGGATCTGGCTGGCTGCTGAGCCAAGTTGGCTACCTCTTTTCTCTTCTCCCTCACCATCCGTTTCATACTTTACAGGTACTGGTGAGTTGGCTGGGTTCAGTGTTAACTCCTTTAAATTAACTGGTCAGTCTGTAACCAAAATACTACACAGTAAAATACCAAAATATGATCAGTTTGGGGGCCCCTCCCTCCTTTCATCCTTTACTTCTTTCACCATTCATAACACAGTTTAAGGCACAGGCTTCACGATGAATGGAGAATGATGCTGTGCATCAGAAAACCAGAACTAGTACTGACGTCATCATTTATCTGAGGTGTGACCTTGGGGGCAACACTTAAAGTCTCTATGCAGCCCTTCTGTCATCTGTAAAAGAGGTCTAACAACAAACACACCATCCGAGAGGTGTCTTCAGGATCAAAGAGTGAATTAGAGAGTAGTATACAAATTGATTATCTACTCTCATTATTAAATAGCAAATACTATTTTAAAAAGAACTATACATAACACAGATGAAATTCACAGTCATAATGTTGAATGACAGAAGCCAGACATAAAAGATGATGTACTGTATGATTCCAATTATGTGAAACCCAACAACAGGCAAAATTAATCATTGGTGAGAGATCTCAGAACAGCAGTTACACTTGGGGAGGTGTACCAGGGAGTCTCCTGGGAGGATGAAAATGTCCTATAACGAGGTCTGGGTGGTGGTTACACAGGTGTACATAGACCAAAATATTCATTGAACTGTACTTCTAAGACCTCTGCACTTCACTGCATGCAATTTCAATTTAAAAGAACAGCACAAATGCTTAAACTGAAAGAAGACAGATTCTTTTAAATTGAAATGTGCTGATATTTTCTCCTAGGAGGTCAGACATACACAAAGCTAGTGCTTGGGTATTTTAATGTTCATCTCAGGTGGTGAGATGTTTTCTGGGATCAACATCAATGGGGCAGGTGGTCGGAATGTGCCAGATGCACCCTATGGAGTAGGTGAGCCATGCGTGTCTCATCTCACCTACCCAATCAGATGAATGGATCTGTTCCCAAGAGGGCATCCTTGTTCTCCACCTCAGCTGTTTTCCCCCTATCTTGCCAGATTTCTCTCTCTCCTGTCACCAACAGTATTGGCACACAGAGCAGGCTGGTGCCACGGACACCAGGGAAAGCTGGGCACCACCCTGATCTGCCCAGAATGCTGGTCCTGGTACTTCTCTCTGCATTTGAAGAGCTGAGTGAGGTTGGGCAGAGCCCCCTTGGCTTAGGGTGGAAGCAGGGCAGGGGAAACAGACATCATTCATCAGCCTGCCCTCAGTCCTGCTCTATTGCTTTCTGCAGGAAAGGCTTCCTTTAGACCCAGACGTGGCTGCAGGATCACAGCTGTGCCCCCTGCACTAGTTCATAGAAAACCATTTTGCAAAATTACCACTGGCAGGAGATTTTTAAAAATCACTAAAAACAAACACTTTTACCAAGTCTACTGATCAAGACAGCTTTGAATAGACACAGAAACCTAGAATAGCACATTGTTCCCCAACATGCATATCTCTCCCCTGACCCCACCCCACCCCACGCAAAAGGCAAGTCTGAGGAACAGCTGCCCCGTGAGTATGTTCCCTTCGTGCAGAGACTGTGCCTTCCCAGTATTTGGCTCTCTTCACAAAAGGCTGGTCTGTCTCAGAACACCTGGGAAGACACAGCAAGTATTCTGAGAATATGGCAGACTACCAAGGGGAGCTTCAGCTGTAGCTTTAAGATTCTGTTTCTTTAAAAAATATATCTGATTACCACAATAAAAGAAAATACCCATGCTATCAAACCACCAAGTGCACCAACTTCATTAGAACTGTAAAGAAGAAAAAAAACATAAAGTAAATATGGCAAAATATGAGGATTTAATAAAGCAAGGGTGATGGGCACATAGGTATTTGTTATATGCTTTACATATTTCATAATTTGCCCTAAAATTACATAGCAGAACCACGTTGATGTCTCACACCACAATGGCTTTCTCATACTTACAAAATATGCTGATGCTCAGAAAAGTGCTTTGATATATACTCATAAATATTCTGATGGTATTTTCAGCTCAAAGCTAACAAGGAAATTTCAAGAAATGTAACAGGTCTATTACCATGTTCTATGTCAATCTTTAACTGCATATTTGCAATATCATATACTTGCAGTATTATCTCCCAAGAATCACTCATAACACGAATAAGAAAATAACAAGAACATGAGAACAAGGGCAAGAAGCTCTTGACCTTCAGGAAAGGGATGAACACTATAAAGACCACAACAAGTAACAGATACTGGACAAAAATGAGAACGACTACCTTTGTGTCCCAAAGAGATAATGTTGCTTCCCGATGTACAGTGTAATTACTTGCATGACAGTTGGTGCCTTTATGTTTGCCCACACCCCGCTAAACATCTAGATTATTACCACTGGATCAAAGGGTGTCAATATCAACCAGTTGTTTGGATACTTAAAAATATCTATCAGATGAATGACCAATTTAGTAGAGTGTTATGGGCAAGATGGCTGTCTACAGATGAAGTAGAGTATTTTCTTTCTTTTGGTGGGGCGTAGGGAGGAGTCTTGCTCTGTCATAACCTCTGCCTCTTGGGTTCAAGCGATTCTCCTGTCTCAGTCTGCCTAGTAGCTGGGATTACAGGCACCCACCACCAACATCCAGCTAATTTTTGTATTTTTAGTAAAGACCCAGTTTCACCATGTTGACCAGGCTGGTCTCGAATTCCTGACCTCAAGTGATCAGAGGCAGAATATTCTCAATTGAGCCCAAAGCTGCAACAACATGGAGATCTGTATCATCCCTATAAAGATACGGCTGGATCACCATCAACTTCTCACCTTAAAAGATGCAGATCAGGCTTAGGAGCAGAGGGGAGAAGATGATACAGTAAGAAAATTCATGTAGTCCCTAACTTTTTTAAAAAAACAAGTAATACTTATTTCTTTATTTAACTGGGAATATTAGACATTCAAAATGAATTTACTCATTTAAAAACTAAACCTTTAAAGCACTAGAAGAAAATAAAGAATGTTTCTACAATCTCAGAAAGGCAAAGATAATTTAACACTCTGACACAGAATTTAGAAGCTAGAAAAGAAAGGGTCAATAAATTACAGAATGGCAGGCACGGTGGCTCACGTCTGTAATCCCAGCACTTTGGGAGGCCAGGCAGGCGGATCACGAGGTCAGGAGTTTGAGACCAGCCTGGCCAACATGGTGAAACCCTGCCTCTACTAAAGATACAAAAAATTATCAGGGTGTGGTGGCGTGTGCCTGTAATCCCAGCTACTTAGGAGGCAGAGGCAGGAGCATCGCTTGAACCCAGGAGGCGGAGGTTGCAATGAGCCAAGATTGCGCCATCGGACTCCAGCCTGGGCGACAGGGCGAGACTCTGTCTCAAAATAAATAAATAAATAAAAATAAATTACAGAAAACTAAGAATATAACATAGCAAACAACAACAACGACAAAATTCATCAACGAAGACAAAAGACAAACTGGGGGAATGTTGCCTCTTCTATAAAGAGAGCTCCTTCTACAAAGTATCAGCAAAAGATCAATAACCCAACAAAAAAATAGCAAAGGACAGGTCACATAAAAAAGAAAAAAATGACTCAAACATGCAACAAGATGCTTAACTGCATTCACGATGAGAGAAGAGAGACAGAACGTCTCATATTGTTTTATACTGTTTTATACTCAGAAAAAGAAAGAGAAGCGAAACTAAAGGCAGGTAGCCTGGCGCCTAGGAACCAGACCTGAAACTAGGCCTGGGCCTGCCTGACCTAAGCCTGGTAGTTAAAGATCAACCCCTGACCTAACCGGTTATGTTATCTATAGATTCCAGACATTGTATAAAAAGGCATTGTAAAAATCCCTGTCCTGTTCTGTTTCGTTCTGATTACCGCTGCATGCAGTCCCCAGTCACGTACCCCCTGCTTGCTCAAATCGATCATGACCCTCTCACGCAGACCCCCTTAGAGTTGTGAGCCCTTAAAAGGGACAGAAATTGCTCACTCAGGGAGCTCGGCTCTTGAGACAGGAGTCTTGCCGATGCTCCTGGCCGAATAAACCACTTCCTTCTTTAACTCGGTGTCTGAGGAGTTTTGTCTGCGGCTTGTCCTGGTACAACAAGAGAAATGAAAATTACAGTGGTATTCCTGTACAACAGTGCCTGACAGTGCTCAGTACACAGAAGGACCCTGTATCATTCCGGCTATTTTCTCATACCTAGAATTGTAGCATTTACATACTATATTATACTATAGTATATATTACATACTATATTATAATAATGTTTACATGTGTCCTCGCACTAGAATCTGGCTCTCTCAGAATACTGTTTGTTTTCACAGCATGTGACGTAGTGCCTGGCACACAGCTGGTCCTCTCAAAGAATGGGGGCTATGAGGACCCCAAGAACAAATCTCTCCAGAATTTGACAGTTTAGGGAGGGATGTACCTAATTTTTAAATTACAATGAGATATTTTTATCTGTCAGATTGTCAACAATTAAAAAAATTGATAATGTCAGCAAGGGTGTAGGGAAAGAGAGCCTCACATACTTTCTAAGTAGAGTATAAATTGATAAATAAATTTGTACAGCCTCTGTGGGAAGCAACTTGACAACTGTCTATCAAAAATTTAAATGTCTGTGCCTTTTGACTCAGTATTTCTACTCCTAGGAATTTAAACTACAAATATACACGTGCAAAACAGCATATGTACAAGATTAATCGTTATGCCATTGCTTAAATTAGCAAAAGACTGAAAGAACATAAATGTGTATCAGTAGAGAGCAGCTGATGAATGGCCATAAATCAATCCCATGCAACTCTCTCCAAGACTGAAGTCAGTCTGTATGTACCAAGAAAGACAATCACCAAGACATGTTGCTAGGTTAAAAAAAAAAAAAAAAAGCCTAACGTATGCTAGCATTTGTGTACATTTGTATGTACGCCTCTGTGTGTAATACAGAAGCCACACACAATAAACTGATAACTGAGGCTGCCTCCAGGGAGGGGAACCAGGTGGCCGAGGGACAGAGAAAGCATATATTTTGTCCCTTTTAGCTGGCACCATATGCCTGTGTTAGCTATTCAAAATTTTAATTAACTTAAACATTGAGTAATTGAAATATGTTTACTATTTCCTGATCGTTAAATTATTGACTGCTTTTTTTTTTTTTTTTTTTTGCAAACAAGTGTGAACGGAAAATAAATCCTGGGGTCCCAAAATCACTAAGCTAAAGGAAAAAGTCAAGCTGGGAACTGGGTCACGCAAACCTGCCTCCCCTTTTGGTTCCTGAATACAATGGCTACAAGATGAAAAACTACATGCCTACCCCATATTTTACCCACAAGGAAATTCCTAGTGAGCTCCAAGGTCTTTACCCTAAGGTGTTTCTCTTAAGATTTCACCATGGCAATGTAAATTGATAGCTTATCTTTACAGGTGCAGTTGTCCCCTGCTCACCAGACACAAATGCATATCTGACTGTTCTCCTGCCCCATTTTGTCTATGTTATCTTATGTAAAAACACAGATTCCCTGCATTTTTCCTCTGCCCCATTTGTCTATATTATCTTATGTCAAAAAAAAAAAAAAAAGCAGATTCACCGAGCCAGACAAAGACATGAATAACTATTTTTCCCTACCCGCCTCTTATGTGAAAATTGTATACTTCTCAATATCCCACCCTTTCGCCTTTAAATTTGGAGCCCTCAAAATCATCTTCAGAGAAAGGCATAGCACCTGTCTCCCGGGCGTGCGTCCTTAACTTTGGCAAATAAACTTCCTAAAATGATTGAGACTTGTCTCATCATTTTTCTTGATTGACACAAGGAAGAAGTTGACACTGCCCCCCAATAAGAGTTTAGCTATATAATTTCCACTACTGATTTTAAAGATCCAACAGTGTATGCTAACATACACAAAAGATTTACAGAAAGCTCTCCAGTCCATACGTTTCATTAAGCAGGGGAGACAGGAAAGCTAAGATGTGGGGAAAATCAGGCAAAACCCAATAATCAATGTTTTTTTTTCAGTCATGTGATATAAAGTTCAAGATTCAAGGCCGGGGGCAGTGGCTCACACCTGTAATCCCAGCACTCTGAGAGGCCAAGGTGGGCGGATCACCTGAGGGCAGGAGTTCGAGACCAGCCTGGCCAACATGGTGAAACTCCGCCTCTACTAAAAATACAAAAAAAGTAGCCAGGTGTGGTGGCACGTGCCTGTAATCCCAGCTACTCGGGAGGCTGAGGCAGGAGAATCGCTTGAACCCTGGAAGCGGAGGTTGCAGTGAACTGATATCGCACCACTGAACTCCGGCCTGGGCCACAGAGTGAGACTTCGTTTCAAAAAAAAAAAAAAAAAAAAAAAAAGATTCTTGAAATGCAAGAATAACTAAGGGCATGACAATCAAGAAAAATAAAATGCATATAAAGAGGCAACATTAAATCTTATTGATGATAGTTTTATCATGGGTAGGATCCAGCTTTCTTTGGTGCCCAGAGTACAAGTAAAAAGAGCTAAACAGTTTGGCTAATTATGCTCCAAAAGGTTAATTACACGATCTCAAATTGAGTCCCCTGAGGGATGGGCATTTTTCCCATCAAAGTCTCCTCTGGAAAAATTTTAAAATGTTTCTCACTACATCATACCTAGTCCATGAAACAGTACCCCCAACACAGGAACTGTTAAATCACGTGCTAGATAAAAAGCTTGCTCTTGGAGGAGAAAAAAAGAGGAAGCAACATCCAAGGTCCAAGGGCCGTTTCTGCTGTCTTTTTAACAGCTTTGATGATGAGTAAGAGCCTGTCACACACCCCTGGGCTATAAGCATGGGTCCTTATGTCTAGCCCCAAGAGTCAGGAATAGGCCTCATTCAGTCTTTCACTCCCAGGCATTCAATGAATGTTAGCCATTATCATTAGTTCTATCATTCTTTTAACGGTGTGCCAACATAAATGAAAGCATTTATAGTCACAATTGCTTCCAAGACTAATAGTCTAACAGAAAAAAATTTAAGTGCACTAGGATATTTTAAATAGAAAAAGAAACAGAATTGCATCTTCATTTCCCTATGTCTTATGGAATTAGCTCGCCATTATGAAGAATATACCATGAACAAGGTACTTTTCTAAGGCTTTACATGGGATAACACATTTAATGCTCACAACCACATTAAGAGATAGGGGCCATTATTATTTGTATTTGACAGATAGGGGAAAGTAGGTCCCAAGAGGGGATGAAAACACAGGCAAGAAGGGGCTGGGTGAGGAATGACCCCGTGTGGTCCTATGGCCATGTCCCCATTCCTTCACTCCCTAAGACCGTTCTTGCTCTGAAAGGCCAGCCTCCAGAAACTGCCATTTAAAACAGGAGGGACAAGGAAAATGACTTTAGTATAAACTTTTGGCAGTGACCAGCACGAGGGCCAACGATTTCAAAGCCAAGCCCAAGTCAAGAAAATCTTGACTTTTTAACGAACAAAAAAGCACCTGTTTACTGGTTGTTGAAAGAATGTTTATACACATTTATATCCAGGATAACTCGATTGTCAAGAATAAATTATTCCAAGCCCGTGACAAAACAATGCCATTTCATGCTCATTTCCTGATTAAAGCTTTTAGACAGCTGGGCATTTTCATTTCTTAGAGCTGTAGGGAGCTATGCAAATTTCCACGCAGCAACTCCAAGATCATTAATCTACGGAAGGCATGTGCTAATAGAATATTGGATTTTACATTGTTTCAGTGGAGAAGAGGAGGGGTGGGTTAATCTAATTACCCTATGTGTGGTCACCTGACTGTGGTTAACAAAAAGATCAAATGCTAAACTGTACAATCAGCAGCAAATTCCTAAGTAATGAAGCATTTCACATCACAAAAGGAATGGGAGGAGGGGGGTGACATTCTTACATTGCTTAAAACCAAATACTGTAGCAATAAAAATAATCACACCAAGTTTACACAAATCATAGGCAGGGCATTTTAATTACCATAAGGAGCTAGGACCATAACTATAAATCAGTCTCGGTCTCTCTCTCTCTCCTCTCTCTCTCTCTCTCCCTCTCTCTCTCTCTCTCTCTCTCTCTCTCTCTCTCTCTCTCTCGACACACACACACACACACTTGGCTGGGCGCGGTGGCTCACATCTGTAATCCCAGCACTTTGGGAGGCCGAGGCAGGTGGATCACAAGGTCAGGAGATTGAGACTATCCTGGCTAACACAGTGAAACCTTGTCTCTACTAAAAATACAAAAAATAAGCCAGGCGCGGTGGCAGGCGCCTGTAGTTCCAGCTACTCGGGAGGCTGAGGCAGAAGAATGGCATGAACACGGGAGACAGAGCTTGCAGTGAGCTGAGATCGCACCACTGCACTCCAGCCTGGGCAACAGAGTGAGATTCTGTCTCAAAATAAATAAATACATACATACATACATACATACATACATACATACATACATACATACATACTGGAAGGTACTTCTAGAGAGAAGGATGGCTATCTAGAGCTGAAGTTGTCAGGAACCAGACACAAGTGGGCACCGAGAATTGGACTCACCCTGTAACCATGGTTACATGCATCTGGCATGTGTCACTTGGGGCATGGTACTGTTATTCCTTCTTCCAGTAAGGAGCAGCTAGATTAGGAAAGGCATCAGCCTGGCCCAAGCAGCTGACACTTCAATTCCTGGTTCTGATACCACTGAGAGCGTAACCTTGGTGCCTCAGTTTTGTTAGTTTATCAAACCATTCTGAAGATTAAATAAGATCTTGTGAATAATGGCACAGCCTCTGGGTCCCAGGATTCTCTGGCTCCATCAGTAGGAGGGAGAACCCCACCTGCCAACAGACATGGGCCAGGGGCTAAGAAGGGATGGTTGAATGCTAAAAGGAAAAACTTTTTAGTATGCAACTCCTAGTGTGGTTGGTTTTGAAGAAGTTTCAAAAAATTTACTTGAAGCCGTGCACTGGCTCCCTCAGAAGGCTACTGGAGGGTGCATTCCATCAAGTCAAATGAGTAAAACAAGAAAGAGAAGGACGCAAGATCCAGGACAGTCAATGAGAGAGAGGAGGCGGCGGAGGTGTGATGGGAATTTCCTGGCTGACAGCTGGGCAGCAGAGTGGAACAGGAGGTTGGAAGGCTCTGGTGTTTTTCCAGGAGAGGGAGAAGGAGAGAGGTAGAGAGGGGGGAGGGGAGGGGGGAGAAGAAAACAAGGAGGAGGGAGGGGGGGAAGAGAGAGAGGGAGGGAGAGGGAGATGGTGGTGAGAGAGGGAGGGAGAGAGAGAGAGAAGAGAGGAAGTAGGGGAGAGAGAAAGAGAGAGAGGGAGGGACGAAGAGGAAGGAAGGACAGAGAGAGAGAGGGATAGAGAGAGAAGGGAGAGAGTGGGGAGGGAGGGGGGAGAGAGAGGGAGAGAGGGAGATGGGGAGAGAGGGAGGAAAGGAGGGAGAGAGAGAAATAAAGCTATATACGTAAGTTAATTATAGTATATTCTTGCTTCAATATTCAATATCAACATTGCTACATTAATGAAAACATTAAGTATAGATTAAAGCAAAACCTGAGATATGTGCATATAGAGAAAAGCTGAAGTCCTCAACTACCATGATAGTTAAGAGATCATATCTAGAATCGACAAACCAAGAGAGCAGCAATGAATATTATTCAGAAGCACAGCAGCAAATAGTAGAAGCAACAGCTAGAACTGAAGAACGACTGCCTCCTAGAATATAAGGACACAAAGAGAAGGGACAAGAGGCTGCTGGGTACTCACACATCTTTTAGCAGCATATGACTTTCAAAACTGTGTGTGGGTAACCACTCAAAAATTAATAATTAAAGGTATACATGTTCATTCCAAAAAATACATAACAAGAGGACACAAATGGACTCTTACTATGTGTGCTATACTGCAACTTGCTTTCTTCAACTTAACAATGCATCTTAGACAACTTCTCCATCAGAGCTTTGCCCCTCTTCCTCATAGCTGCACAGAATCCAACTGTAGGATAGACCAGTATCAAAAGGGACAGTCTGGTTGTGTCTGAAAGTAGATTTTGGAACACGGAAGTGAAACTGCCTTTGCGAAAATTAAAACTGAGGAAATTATGACAATGAAAGAGATCAGACCTAACCGACTCCATCTTGCTTCTAACCTTTAAGCTGTCCCTGTTCGTTCCTGGGCGTAGGCCGAACTAACCTTGGAAAAGAATTTAGTTTACGGTTTGACTGTAAAACAAAATTGATAATAGCCCTTTCCAGAAAAGACCCTCTTCTTGCCTGGGGACCAGTATGCCTTTGGAGGGCTAAGAAATTAGCTGCAAGATTAGAAATTACAGTTTAGGGGTCATGCAGCTCCTGGCAAGAGTCTGAACCTCCCCAAATTGCTCCTGGGGATAACATCACTACTGTAAAACCTAAGATCAGTGCTTGAGGTATTTTGCAGACCCTCTACTAGATCAGCTGACACCATCCAGACTGGTAAACTGGCTCAACCAGTTGTGCGATCCCACCCAGGAACATAAGATAGCAAGGAAACCTAACTTTGACCCCCACTATGATTCCATCTCCAACCTGACCTGAATCAGCACTACCCACTTCCCAAGCCCTACCTGCCAAATTATCTTTAAAAATTCCAATTCCTTGAGTAATAATAAAACTCTGGTCTCCCACACAGCCAGCTCTGCAGGAATTACTCTTTCTCCACTGCAATTCCCCTGTCTTGATAAATCGGCTCTGTCTAGGCAGCAGGCAAGGTGAATCAGGTGAGCTGCGTTATTTGTCACCATACCACAGATGAAGGCACAACAGTTGTCCTCATTGGCTCTTCTGAAATGCTCATGGAAAAAAGATTTGTGGCACAGCAAACTTTGGCTGTTTCTGAGATCTGGCAAAATCTCCCTTGCCATTTAGACCACTGGAAACCTGCGAGTGGAGATTGGTATCTGGGATATACCTTTTATATATACCTCATACGCTCCTGCCTGAGGCAATCTCCTTTCTAAATTTCTGTATCCTTGGCTGGTTAAACGGGTAACTTATTTGAATCTTGCTGGGTAGGAGATAGTTCTCTTCTCACAGAACTATAACCCACATGAAACCACCCAGTTGTCTCAAGTCCTCTGCGATTACAAACAACACTACATTGAGCATCACTGTGCCCATAACTCTGCACATATACCACAAAGGCAACTGAGGGACAAATTCCCTAGAGTGAAATTTCTGGGTCAACAACTTGGTGCATCCTTACTTTTAGCAGATAATAAAAAACTGGCCTCCAAAAAATTTATCAATTACACTCCCACCAATAGCATGGAAGAGAGCTGATTTCCCCATACTATTTTTAAATGTCTTCATTTTTGCCAATCTGATAACAGGAGATGATATTTAATTTGCATTTCTTTAATTAGTAAAAAATAAGGTTGAACAGCTTTCCATATGCTTACCGTTATCCACTTGTCTTTTTCTGTGATGAGCTTACTCATGTCTTTTGTCAATTCTCCTACATAGCATCCTGCTTTTCCCTCTCATTTCTAATAGCTCTCTGTATATAAAAGAAGTGCCCCTGGGGCTGTCATATGTGTTGCAGAATTTACCTGTTTGTCATTTGTCTGTTTATTCTATTAATTCTATCTCTGTCCATACAGAAGTCTCTAATTTCTATGTAGTAAAATCAATCAATCTTTTCCCTTAGGTCTTTCAGATTTGTGACATGATTGCAAAGGCCTTCCCACTCAAAGATTATTTTAAAAGTACAAAGTAGGCCGGGCACGGTGGCTCATGCCTGTAATCCCAGCACTTTGGGAGGCCAAGGTGGGCAGATCTCTTGAGGTACGGAGTTCGAGACCAGCCTGGGTAACATGGTGAAACCCCGTCTACACAAAAAACACAAAAACTAGCTGGACACAGTGGCATGCACCTGTAGTCCTAGCTACTCAGGAGGCAGGAGGACCACCTGAGCCCAGGAGGTGGAGGTTGCAGTGAACTACAATTGCCCACTGCATTCCAGCCTGGGTGACAGAGCAAGACTCTGTCTCAAAAAAAAAAAAAAAAAAAAAGTACAAAATACCCATTTTTTCTAATAATTTTATGGCAAAAGTTAATGCACATTATTAGAAGGCCTCTCATTTCCCACCTGCTCCCCACTTCAAAAAAAGAAACACCCAGAAGCCCAATTTAGAATAACTCACATGGGGAATTACAAGGCCCTGATTTTAGGAGCCTGGTTTCCAAAGCTTAGGTTTGGGGGTGAGGAAGCATTTCAGAGTGGGAAATGCCCACTGATCAGAGCTAACACAGAAATTTCTTCATTTGTGCTTAGAAATATCTGCGTTTATTTAGCTTAAAGAGAAATAATGTTAATAAACAGGTTAACAGGTCATGACTAAATTTGGTCATTTCTTCTCAAAACAGACTGCCCATCTACCAAGAACAGGATCCAAATTTCCCCTGACTCTGACCCCTGTCTGGATTCTATAAGCACTCCTGACTCTACTCCATCATGGGACCTGGCAACAAATACCCAGAGGCCCCCAGAAGTGACACTAAAACCTTGAGGACACTATTCCTTAGCAGCCCCACAATGACAGGGAAGGGAAACGTTTTCTAAAAAGCCTTTTCCTAGGTTTAACCCTATGGCTTCTAGGACACAGCATCAGGGGAACAGAATAAAAGGCGATGGTGCATTATCATTAAATCTTTTAGCCACAATTACTAAGTGCCTTAATATATATCAAGTCCTATGTCGGGGGTAGTGTTAAAGATGGCCACTGCTACCTAGGGTCTCACCATCTAGGAAGGCTGGAACTCTGAGTGGAGTGGACATGCGCTCCAACTCTTTTTTTTTTTTTTAGACTGAGTCTTGCTCTGTTGCCAGGCTGGAGTGCAGTGGTGCGATCTTGGCTCACAGCAACCTCTGCCTCCCGGGTTCAAGCGATTCTTCTGCCTCAGCCTCCTGAATAGCTGGAACTACAGGCTGTGCCACCATGCCCAGCTAATTTTTGCAGTTCTTTTTTTTTTTTTTTTTTTTTTTTTTTTAAGTAGAGACGGGGTTTCACCATGTTGGCCAGGCTGGTCTCCAACTCCTGACCTCAAGTGATCCGCCCACCTTGGCCTTCCAAAGTGCTGGGATTACAGGTGTGAGCCATCCTGCCTGGCCAGCTCCAGCTCTTAATCAGAGTTCCAGTCACTTCGTGACCATGCACAAGGTCCTAACCTCTCTGAACTGAATAGTCCTTAGTAATAGTTTCTTACCACTGCTCTAACAGATTACCAAAAACTTGGCGACTTAACCCAAAGTTAGTATCTCACAGTTCTGGAGGTTAGAAATCCAGAAACTGTCTTACTGGGCTAAAATGGAGGTGTTGGCAGGCTGCATTCATTCAGGGGCTGTAGGAGAGGAGGTTCTCCCACCCTTTCCAGCCTCTAGGGGTTACCTGCATTCCTTAGCTTGTATTCCCTTCCTCCATCTTCGAGGCCAGCAGTATAGCATCTTCAATGCTCGCTCTCTCTCTGACCTCTGCTTCTATCATCACTAACTCTGATCTTACTGCCTCCCTTTTTAAAAAAAATTTTTTTTAATTGTGGTAAATACACGTTACATAAAATTTAACATCTTAACAGGTTTAAACTACACAGTTCAGTAGTGTTAAGTACAGTCACATTGTGCAAAAGATCATCAGATTTCTTTTCCTCTTGCAAAACTGAAAAAGAAGCTCTGTACCCATTAAACAACTCCTTTCTCCCCTCCCACCAGCTCCTGGCAACCAGCAGTCCATTTTCTGTCTCTGTAAAGTTGACTTTAGATACCTCATATAGGTTAAGTCATACAGTATTTGTCCTTTTGTGACTGGCTTCTGTCACTTAGCATAATGTATCAAGGTTCAACCGCATTGTAGCATGTGTCAGAATTTCCTTCTTTTGAGGCAGAATGATATTCTGTTGTATAGACACTTGGGTTGCTTCCACCTTTTGCCTTCTGTGAATACTACTGTGCACATGGGTGTATAATATCTCTGAGACCCTGCTTTCAATTCTTTTGGATATATACCCAGAAGTAAAATTGCTAGATCATATGGTAATTCTATTTTTAATTGTTCAAGGAACTGCCACATTGTTTTTTATGGTAGCTACACCATTTTACATCCCCACCGACAGTATATAAAGGTTTCAATTGTTCCACATCCTCACCAACACTTGTTGTTTTTTCTTTTTTTATAGCAGCCATCCTAATGGGTATGAGGTGCAATCTCACTGTGATTTTGATTTGCATTTCCCTGATGGTCAGTGATGTTGAGCATCTTTTCATCTGCTTGTTGGTCATTGGTATGTCTTCTTTGGAAAACTGTCTATTCAAGTCCCTTGCCCATTTTGAATTGGGTTATTTGTTTTGTTGTTGAGTTGTAGGAGTTCTTTATAGATTCTGGATATTAACCCCTTATCAGATATATGATTTGAAAATATTTTCTCCATTGTTCAGATTGCACTTTGAGTCTGTTGATTGCATCTTTTTTTTTTTTTTTTTTTTTTTTTTTTTTTTTTTTTTTGAGACAGAGTCTTGCTCCGTCGCCCAGGCTGGAGTGCAGTGGCACAATCTCGGCTCACCGCAAGCTCCGCCTCCCAGTTTACACCATTCTCCTGCCTCAGCCTCCCGAGTAGCTGGGACTACAGGTGCCCGCCACCAGGCCTGGCTAATTTTTTGTATTTTTAGTAGAGATGGGGTTTCACCATGGTCTCGACCTCCTTACCTCGTGATCCACCCGCCTCGGCCTCCCAAAGTGCTGGGATTACAGGCATGAGCCACCACGCCTGGTCCGATTGTATCTTTTGATGTACGGAAGTTTTACATTTTGATGTTGTCTAATTTATGTATTTTTGCTTTTGTTGCCCATGTGCTTCCCTCTTATAAGGACCCTTGTGATTCTAATCCAAAATCCTTAACCATATCTGCATCGTAAGGTAAACACTCACAGGTTCTGAAGATTAGAACGTGGACACCTTTGAGGGGCCATTATTCTGCCTACCATAGTCCTTATCCTTAAAATGAGAATAGTAGTATCTAATTCAAAGAGTTATGACAACAAAATAAAATAGCACATGAACTGAGCTTAGAACAGTGCCTGGCATACAGTAAATATTAGCAATTGTCATTAACATAAAACAAAGTGTTATAGGAAAAGAGACAGGTGTGGCTAAGGGTACTGGTAAGAACAGAAGCTAAGGCCATTCATTCTGCCTGGGAAAACTCTTTCCAAAAGGGACAAGACACCAACTTGATCATAAGAAATGAGTAGAATTTAGAAGGTCTGAAAAGAGCAAGCCAGGAGGGAAAATTCCAAATTTTCTCCCACATTCTGACATTGGCATTAACATCCCAGAAATCTTGTTTCTTTCCTAAGAAGCCACATCTGCTTTTTGACAGTAGCTGTGAGGTGATTTTCTTTATTTATAAGGAAACATGCTCAGCTGAATTTCTGAGTCTTAATAAACAATTCACAAACTTTTTCCCAGCAAACTATTTTTAGAGTAGAAAGGGATTTTTTTTTAAAGAAGCAGCTCGTATTTATAAAATTTGTCCTGAAAGCTTAAAAATAGATCCAAAAGTTTAGCACCAGCCCTGTCCCACCCTCATCACTCAGTACCAGAAAGGCAGACACAGCATGCCTTTGTGAGTCCTCTGGGACTCTGATTTTTTAAAGTTAACCCCTGCTAATCTCCCTTCCCCTGGAACGTGCACAGTAAATGGCAGGTGAACAGAATAATGAAAGAAAATAATCACTTATTGATGTTCTTCTCATTTCTCCTTGCAGACATGCTGGGAAGCTGCGATAATTAACTGGCTGAAATATAGAACAATTTCTCAACTTGCCCTTGTCCTCTAATGATCAACATCCTCCCTCCCCCCACACCAGTAGAGTAGCTTAGCTTTAGTTCAAGCAGAACTTCGGTGGTTCTGTTGACTTGGAAGTTAATTTGCTCTGAACCCAGAGCACACGGGAAAACCTGACAAATGAAAATGCAGAATGGTTTTAGGTCACACACAGGAAACCTGTCAATACCAAGGCACCACATGGGTATCAGTTTTCTAATGGACTGCAAACACAATGCACAGACACACAAAATACACACACTGGCTGCAACTTAATGAGAATTTTACCCAGACACAAACGCAGATGAACAGAATGGCAGGATCTATTACCCTCCTCAGCTATCTTGTTGCTGTCTGTCCATTTAAGCCAGTCAGCTATTACCACCCTGGCTCAGCAATAAGACAGCACCTCCAAAAGGTTAAATATGGAAAGGGCGTGTGGGTGACTGTTTTAAGCCTCCATGACATGTTGAAGGGGGAAAAAAAGCACACAGCAATATCTGGGGTTCAGCCCAAGTTAATCGGATCATTCTACAATTCACACCTCGCCTTATAAATGAGAGATTTGAATTCAATACATTCCATCCACAACCCTAATAACCACTCAGGGGGAGGCTAAACTCCACCTAACGCCACTGACTCAGCCACACAACCAAATGGCACATACCATGGGCATCCTAGATACACCAAACAATTTCAGCTGGCATTTAATTTATCTTGGAGCTAGATAATACAGGCAAAGAACTGTGATCTTTTTGAAGGAAAAGAAATAGATACAAACTATTTATTGTGGTGTCTATGTTTAGGAGAAACAGGAAATGCTGAGTTTTCAACATGAAATAGATGTTCACAATAGGAAGATTAAAATTCAGTCAAAATTTTCCAAGACTGACCCCCAAGTTTGCATCCTTTCATCAGTAATCCCATGGTCTGATTTATGGGTGAACATATGAGTACACATTAATTATTTCAGAAATTTCTAAAATGTAGCTGTTGGAGGCATTCAGGTTGAAAAGACAGAACTGACATTTTAATCTTGTTTTCCTGTCTGGCCAAATTCAGTGTACACACACACACACATTTGGGTTTTTTTTTTTAAATTAGTAAGATCTTTGTTCTTATTCCATGTAAAGTGTCCTGTCCTGAAATAGAGACACCTCCTGTTAAGCAGAAGGAGGTTTTCACTTTATAATAGCATATTGAGCAATATTATTATACAGCTGCGTTATAATTTTTTTTTTTTTTTTTTTTTTGAGACAGGGTCTAGCTCTGTCACTCAGGCTAGAGTACAGAGCAGTGGCTCGATCTCAGCTCACTGCAACCTCCACCTCCCAGGCTCAAGCAGTCCTCCCATCTCAGCCTTCTGAGTAGCTGGGACTACAGGCATGCACCACCATGCCCGGCTAATTTTTGTCTTTTTCTTCTTTTTCTTTTTTTTTCGTAGAGACAGGGTCTCGCCAAGTTGCCCAGGCTGGTCTTGAACTCCTGGACTCAAGCAATCCACCCAGTTTGGCCTCCCAAAGTGCTGGGATTACAGGTGTGAGCCACCACACCAGGCCTTATAATTTATTTTCATTGCAAATAGTCATGGCATAATTTTGCTCCTTTTCAAAGCAATATTATTGTTGATTTAGCATCACTTGCCAAACAAACAAAAAGAAATTCTGTCTTAACTACCTTCCAGCCATGACTTTACTCATGATATAACATACTCAAAATGCACATGGGGCACTTCATGTTTTTCTCAAGTAGAAGATGTTTAATACAATGTGTGGTTGTAATAAGCCACAAGATTGAACTCTCACGTTGCAGTTTGAGTACTGGAGCAGTAAAGATTAATCAGACTGCTAAAAAAAATCTAACTTAATGCAGCCATTGGTTTTAACTCCGGATTTTCTCTCTAGTCAATATGACAGAACCTTCCTAAATGGCAGATAAGTCATCTAGTATCACAGAATCATAAAATCAGAGATCAAAGTCCAGAAGTTTATTCTTTCCAAGTTCTCATGCTAAACTCTGACTGTAAGACTTTTGGCCCACAATCCCCCACTCCTTTTGTGTCACAGCTGATTCTTGAAAATATCGCTTAAAATGTCTACACACAGTATAACCAAGGGTTCTCACTCTCGGATTCATGGACAAACATCTGAATCTAAAAATGGGCAAAGGTTATGAATAAATAGTTCAAAGAAGAACCATATATGGCCAACAGACATACGAAAATAATGTCACTAAGTGCAGGTTTGTTATATAGGTAAACTAGTGTCATGAGGGTTTGTTGTACAGATTATTTCGTCATCCAGGTACCAAGCCTAGTACTCAATAGTTATTTTTTCTGCTCTTCTCCCTCCTTCCACCCTCTACCCTTAAGTAGGCCCCCATGTCTGTTCCCTTGTGTCCATGTGTTCTCATCCTTTAGCTCCCACTTATAAGTGAGAACATGCGGTATTTGGTTTTCTGTTCCTGTGTTAGTCTGCTAAGGATAATGGCCTCCAGCTCCATCCGTGTTCCCACAAAAGACATGATCTCATTCTTTTTTATGGCTGCATAGTATTCCATGGTGTATATATACCATATTTTCTTTATCCAATCTATCACTAATGGGCATTTAGGCTGATTTCATGTTTTTGCTATTGTGAAGAGTGTGGCAATGAACATACTTGTGCGTGTGTCTTTATGGTAGAATGACTTATATTCCTTCGGGTATATACCCAGTAATGGGACTGCTGGGTCGAATGGTAGTTCTGTTTTTAGCTCTTTGAGGAATTGCCACACTGCTTTCCACAGTGGTTGAACTAATTTACATTCCCACCAAGAGTGTATAAGTGTTCCCTTTTCTCTGTAACCTTACCAGCATGTTATTTTTTTTTTTTTTACTTTTTAATAATAGCCATTCTGACTGGTGTGAGATGGTACCTCACTGTGGTTTTGATATGCATTTCCCTAATGATCAACGATATTGAGCTTTTTTTCATATTCTTGTTGGTCACATGCAGGTCTTCTTTTAAAAAGTGTCTGTTCATGTCCTTTGCCCACTTTTTAATGGCTTTTCTTGTAAATTTAAGTTCCTTACACGTGCTGAATATTAGACCTTTGTCAGGTGAATAGTTTGCAAATATTTTCTCTCATTCTGTAGGTTGTCTGTTTACCCTGTTGATAATTTCTTTTGCTAACATACTGAATTTTTAAGGTTTATTTTACCCAGGGAATGGGGGGTTGAGCCTTCTCCTACATTACTGTGAGAGTCTGATGTGGCACACTTTGGTGAAGACCAGTTGGCAATATGGATTATAGGCCAAAAAGAAAAAAACAACAACACCGCTCATATTCTAAACCCAGTAACTCTACTTATAAGGACTTATCTAGGGAAGTAATCACAGATGTGCTTCAAAGAGGATTTAAAGTATGTCCAAAATTTTTTCTTTATAAGAAAATTAGAGCAATCTAAGCTATTAACAATTGGGGCAGTATAAGGTAGGTCTATGTGCTTTCAAAGTTGGCTACTGAGTGTGACCAGGATCCCTAGGAGGCCTCAAAGCTATGGGGAGGGTAACCGTAAACTGCAACATTGACAAGATATAGCCTGGGCTCCCCACTCCTGCCTCAATGGTGGTGCAGCTCTGCTTGAAGCTCTCTGGTCTTTGAGGAAAGGGTTCTGCAACTTTAAAAAACTTGAAAAACATTACTGATGTTGTAGAAAATTAAGTAACTTAGTATTACACTTAAAAATTGGTTACAGCTGGGCACGGTGGCTCATGCCTGTAATTCCAGCACTTTGGGGGGCCAAAGCGGGCAGATCGCCTGAGGCCAGGAGTTCAAGATCAGCCTGGCCAACATGGTGAAATCCCATCTCTACTAAAACTACAGAAATTAGCCAGGCATGGTGGTGCGCACCAGTAATCCCAGCTACTCAGGAGGCTGAGGCAGGAGAATTGCTTGAACCCAGGAGGCAAAGGTTGCAGTGAGCTGAGATTCTGCCATGGCACTCCTGCCTGGGCGACAAAAGCGAAACTCCGTCTCAAAAAAAAAAAAAAAAAATTGGTTACAATTTTCTGTTGTGTATTTCACCACAATTAAAACAAAAAAAAAAACTTCTTATAAAACACCACCTACCATATGATTCCATTTTTGTAGAAAAATAACAAACACATATCAGGCTTACAACAAACGACTGGCTAGAAAATGAATTATCTTTCTGGTTCCTGCCTGCATTTTACAAATTTTAAGTATACACATTATTTAAGAAAAAAAATACTTGTGTTGGTGGTTTAAAAAAAAGGAAATTCATGACATTTGCTCAAGTGGAAGAGGAAAAAGAGAAAAACAGTTGGGAAAATACCTTAGAAAAGTCATTTAAATTATTGCCAATGATGGTGTCCTCTTTAAAAACTCAGTTATTACCAACAATAAGAGAGTCTGTTCATCTTCTGGGAGCGCTGTTAGGGGAAATCCACTGGTACAGCTGAAGAGTAATCTTTCAGTAAAGGGAGTTAGCACCACCTTTAACAGCTTTGGGAAGCTTTGTGACCTTCAAAGCAGAACCAAAGAGAGAAAGAAATGGAAGGAGGGAGGTCAAATGAAAGCTAGCAATCAGAAAAAAATAAGGCCCAAACAGCCTGGGGCCAGTTTTTGTTTTTTGTTTTTTTTTAGAAGAAAATTCGAGGCCTAATAAGGGCGATTTCCTCAGCTTCCTGAGTCACCACCCATGCTCCCCCCATTTCCTCTCCGTTCCAACATTGAACATGAAAATTAACTGGAGCTGTAAAAATCATTCCCAGGGAGAAGAGTTTCTGCAGTAGAGAAAGTCAAAGGAAGCATTCAGAATTCTAGGAATATCCCATGGAGATGGGCGAGGACAAATGTAATGCAAAGTGAAAAGTGTGTGGGTGGTTTGTCAGGGAAAAGGGTCGGGAGGAGGATGTAAACCACAAATTAAACACGATTCTAAAACTTCCAGCTGGCTCTTCCTCCTCATCTTCCCCCACTCTTGTGACAGGTGTGACAAGATCATGAGAAAACCTGTTCACTGTGTGGGGCTTTGGGGCACACCCATTTTTGCTAAGTGTAACCTTTCTGCAACTTGTAAGAAACCATATGTGGCATTGACCCAGGCCAGTGTGCTCCATCTGGCAAGTGTTTCTGGGGTAGCCCGTTTACAGCGAGTGGGAGAGGCAGACCCATAGACACAGAAAAACAGAACCCCCATACACAGAGACACTGATGCACAAGCATAGAGACTCACATAGAGAATACAGATAGGCACACAGACACAAATAGGAGAGAAACCCATAAGAAGAGATCTCCCAGCCTCCAGGGTGGCCCATGACACAGGTAGCCTTAGTAGCTGTGTTTCATTCCTCCTTCCACCTCTGGCTCTCCGAGCTGTCACTCATCCCAGAGGTTCCTTTGTCCTAGATCACAACTTGCTCTTTGGAATTGTACCTCACTTCAAATTATTCAAATTTAGCACAATGTATATTTGTATTTTCTAAAACCGTAAATCCACAGGTTTGTGTGCATATCTGAGTCATCTGCATTCACTAGTCTCTTACCTACTGCTTTCACAGATGTGGGCTCATACTTCTGAACTCAAATGCAAATTTTCTCAAGCAATTCAGTCTCTGTCTCTCTCTCTCTCTCACACACACAAACACACACACACACACACACACACACACGTGCATGCACACACAGACACACACACACCCCCCTATAAGAATCATCATTTTCAGCCAGGCGCAGCGGCTCACGCCTGTCATCCCAACACTTTGGGAGGCTGAGACAGGCGGATCACAAGGTCAGGAGACTGAGATCATCCTGGCTAACACAGTGAAACCCCATCTCTACTAAAAATACAAAAAATTAGCCAGGCGTGATGGTGGGCGCCTGTAGTCCCAGCTACTTGGGAGGCTGAGGCAGGAGAATGGCGTGAACCCGGGAGGCGGAGCTTGCAGTGAGCCAAGATCTCACCACTGCACCCCAGCCTGGGCGACAGAGCGAGACTCCGGCTCGAAAAAAAAAAAAAAAAAAAAAAAAAAAAAAGAATCATCATTTTTCTGGACTGGTGTCTCCTTCCCAGGTCCTCACTGATGGTGCCACTGTCACTGTGTGAAAGGCATGTGGCTCTGGGGAGAAGAAGCTCATGTCCTGAGAACACCCTGTCACCCTTTCATAGAAAACGGAATTAGCAGCTGTTTGTCAGCATTTGCAAATGTTACATGGCTTGAAAAGGCAGAATTCTGGGAACTCAGTAGCTGCCCTGTCACCAAGGTCAAATGGTCCTCATGGCTCAAAAACTCTCCCAGCCCTCCTATAGGGTCTTTTTTGACTGTCTTTTTTTTAGGGCTTCACCCTGATTTTATCCTTTTCCTCCTATTTCTGGTATGAAATAAAAGTACTTGATTTCCTACTCTGTAATGTGTGCTTTGGTTTTCATCTTACCTTTTATAAACAACTGTTTGAGCAAAATAAAAATACATCTTTGCATAGATCCTTTGGTTAATCTTCAGTGATGCTCACTTGGTTAACTTTTAAGAAACCTAAGCCGCCGGGCGCGGTGGCTCACACCTTTAATCCCAGCACTTTGGGAGGCTGAGGCGGGCGGATCACGAGGTCAGGAGATCGAGACCATCCTGGCTAACACGGTGAAACCCCGTCTCTACTAAAAATACAAAAAATTAGCCAGGCGTGGTGGCAGGCGCCAGGAGTCCCAGCTACTCAGGAGGCTGAGGCAGGAGAATGGCGTGAACCCAGGAGGCGGAGCTTACAGTGAGCCGAGTTCACGCCACTGCACTCCCCTGTCTCAAAAAAAAAGAAAGAAAGAAAGAAAGAAAGAAAGAAAGAAAGAAAGAAAGAAAGAAAGAAAGAAGAAACCTAAGGAAATTCTAGTTTATACTGCCTTCCCCAATAAATATGGGGGGTTTATTAACTTTATTAACACATAGAAAAATGAATCCTCAGCTTTACATTTTAAAAATTATATTCTTTAAATTACAGAGAAATCCAAAAAGGTTTAACTAGACAAAAAAAGTAATCATCAAAGGGGTCTTCCTACTTTACAAAGCTAGACCCCCACACCTGGCCAGACCTTCTATGAGAGCATCAAGGCTTCTGAGGGGAGCGCATTGGTCCCCTCATTCTCCTCCCCCAAGCCCTCTCTGTTTAGTAGTGTCACACAGACTTTTCACAAAGGATTTGTCACCAGTCCACAGATCACAGTCTCTGGAAATTCCACCTGTGGTTTGACATCAGGGGACTTTATCAGACTGGAGGGCAGAAACCATCCAAACTGACTTGAGGCAAAATCTCTCCACAGGTCTTCACGAGTACACAACAAGAATTCTGAAATTGAGGCCCTGTAACATCCACTCTGTTCCATCAGCCTCACTGAGGTAAAGTACCACACCAATGTCAAAAGCTCCAAACACACCAGGAAAGCCGACGACATCACAGAACTAGAGAAATGTTTCTCATCTCAAATGTTCACTTGGTTTCTAAACAAATCTAAATATTGGGTGGGCTTGGTTTGCTTTCAATTAACTGCTCTTATTTAGCCTGTAAGCCTTTTCTGGAAAGTCTTCCCCCACATTTTCAACTATTGATTTAAACATCAAGCCTCGTTCAATGTTTCTCACAAAATATTAGCACTGTATCTTACACTCACGTGCCTGCTTACTCTAACTCACTCATTACCAGGGAAAATTGAGTGCCAACATTAACTCTAAATGGAAGAATTAGTTGTATTAGTCCAGGATTGACTCCAGTCCATTAATAAACCACACAACTAATTAGTCCTTGGTCTATTTGGAGTACGCAGGCCCTGGACACCATCATCCTGCATCATGGACACCACCGCTCCTCTGCTCTGTGTCTAATTCATCTTTTTCAGAGACTTACCCCTATTCATGCTTCTTAATGAGCCAAAGGCACTAAAGATCTGCTTTAAATGGCCTTTCAGGAAAATTACCTTCTCGATTACAGCTAGGAAAGTATCTTAGCAGCTGTGTTTTCACTGAAACAGCCATAATATCAGAAGATTTGCAAGCTACTTCACATTTATTATCCCCCATTGATATTTAATAATTCTACTTGCAAGTACCACAGCCTAATTTGTCCCTTGCAAATTGCCAAGAATAAGATGTTGTCCTCATCCCATGGTGTCCGCAGGGAGCTCGCCTGATATTTAGCACAAATGTGACTAGCCCAAAGGACAACAGAGTGTGCCAAGAATTCATTCCCCCATCCCCCAAAAGGAATTGGCTACTACAGCTAGCTTACAGGAAAGAAAGACCTCAGAAGATACTTTCCTCAAAATGCTCTAAAGTCAGAAGTCTCAAAATAACATGTCAATGTCCACGCTTCCACATGTGAGCCATAAGCGCCCTGTGCTGTTGGAGGAAATCTGATGTGGAAATGTTTTATGGCCTGAGATTCTTGCTCAAGTGGCCTAGCAGGGCCTAAGAGAAGATGCTGGGGGAGAAATGAAAGCAGGAGGGAAAGACTGCCTCACAGATTCAACTCCCTGGAGAAAACCCTCAAAAAGAGTGGGAGTGGATGAGGTATCCACTGGGCAGTGATGTCCCTGGGCCAACAGACAACAGAATTAAGTCTATATCAAGCAGAATCCCATGGAAAAAATAAAAGAATTTTTTTTAAAAAAAGAATTCTAAATCTAGCTTGACAACCTGGTTTTTTTTTTTTTTTTTTTTTTTTTTTTAGAGAGAGACAGGGTCTCACTCTGTCACCAAAGCTGGAATTCAGTGGCATGATCATAACTCATTGTAATCTCAAACTCCTGGGCTCAAGTGATCCTCCCACCTCAGCCTACTGAGTAACTGGGACCACAAGCGCACACCACCATGTCCAGCTAATTTTTTCTTTTTAATTTTTTGTAGAGACAAGGTCTTGCTACGTTTCCCAGGATGGTCTCAAACTCCTGGCCTCAAGTGATCCTCCTGCCTCAGCCTCCCAAAGCACCAGGATGACAGGTGTGAGCCACTGCACCCAGCTGACAGCCTAGCTCTTTAAGCCACTTCCTCTCTTAGTTTTCACAGACACCCTCACCATCCTGAATATTTTAACATACCTCTGATTTAAACCAAACCACCAACCGCCTGCCACCTGAATCTGTACTGAAAGACCACACAACCACCCCAAGACTGGAAAGACACATTAAAAGATCACTGAGCAAGACAAACTTGAATGAAGATTTCCTCCATCTCCCTTAACCCTCTCCAGCTGCCATCAGTTGTCTTTAAGCCTTTGAGGATAAAAAAGGTATGCCCTTGAGCCTCCAAATGACAATGCAATTTGAGGAACCACAGTCCACTCCCCATTTCACTAAGGACTGCAGCTTCCACCAGCAACTGGCCAGGGCTGTGTGCTACAGGGTCAAGTGGGAGGGTTAGACACAGAGCCTGGAGCCAAAGGGATCCTTCCAGAAGAAACTGCCCTGCCCTAAATACAGGGGAAAATCCCACCAAGAGGAGAGGAGAGGAAGTCAACAGAAAGGGCCAGGGCTGAAAGGTTATAATGTTCAGTACAGCCTTGGGCCAGCTGAAACACAAAGGCATGTGGCAGGCTGAGGCCCCAGCCTGCCCATACCTGCTGGCTTTCTGGATGAGTTCCTGTGAAGCCTTAAGGACCTGGGGCTCTGTTTTTAACCCCCTAGTTCTCACCCCCACTACTTGAAGGAATTTGAATGAGCCACTGCTTCTTATACTCTGAAGGGCCTGTCTAAAGCTGCATTCATTGGTGGAACAGGCACACACCACTGCTAGGCGCTACCCCTAGAAGTCTGGACGGGCTCCCTAGATGCAAGGGTCTCAAACACACCAGTCCTCCAGCGCCTTATTCTGCCTACTTGGAAGCAATTGCAGGGGAAGAGGGGCAATGAGGGGTGGGCCAGAGCAGTAGTTCTCAAAGTGGAGTTCCACACCAGCAGCATCACCAGAGAACCTGTTAGAAATGCAGACTCTCTGGCCCCAGCCCAGACTATTGAACTAGAAGGCATGGGGTGGGGTCCAGCAGTCGGTGTTTGAGCAAGCCCTCCAGGAGGTTCTAACGTATGCTCTGGTGTGAGAGTCACCACCCAGAGAAACAAAAAAGGTTGAGGCTACAGGAGGGGCCGAGATCCTCTGGAGCAGCTGGCTGGATCCCACCCCGTGTGGGGGCAGGGATTCCTTCATATCCTACTCCTCCAGGAAGAAAAAAAAGCTGGAGGAAACACTTCCTTCTCATCAGGAAACACTATAGCAGTGGAAAGCTCAGAGAACACAGCAGTGCAGAAAATGAAAGGGGAAAATTCGGCCGGGTGCGGTGGCTCACACCTGTAATCCCAGCACTTTGGGAGGCCAAGGCGGGTGGATCACGAGGTCAGGAGTTCGAGACCAGCCTGGCCAAGATGGTGAAACCCTGTCTCTACTAAAAATACAAAAATTAGCTGGACACGATGGCGGGCGCCTGTAATCCCAGCTACTTGGGAGGCTGAGGCAGGAGAATTGCTTGAACCCAGGAGGCTGAGGTTACAGTGAGCCGAAATTGTGCAACTGCACTCTAGCCTGGGAGACAGAGCAAGACTCCATCTCAAAAAAAAAAAAAAAAAGAAAAGAAAAAAAGGGGAAAATTCAGACTTACCCTCTCCTTGGAACTCACTCAATTCCTCCTTGACCTAAGGAGCCTGGCAATCGGGCAGATACGAAGTGAATACACAAGTCCCGACCTCTTCACATACTTCCCAAGGATCTGAGAACTAGGAAGGCCAGTAAATATTCAAGAGACTACAATCCTTGTGAAAAGTGGGAAAACGGAATCGAAAGGCCAGTAGGTGTGATCTGAGGAAGGTATCGTCACTCCCATGACTGACTTTCCACCTATGAGGAGTAGTGTGCTACAGATAGTTGAAGCAGCAGGGGCTTCCAGGAGTGACACATTGGGCTGCTTTACAAGGGCAGAACCGACTAGTGGAGGTTGGAAATTGAGTAAGGATAAAATTACAACAGATAAGAAAGTGATTACATGTGGGTCCAGCATTTTGTTCCTTTCTATTTCACCGCTGCTCAGTAACAACCTACACTTCACTTTTTGATGCCATTGTCATTCACTCATTCATTCATTATTTGCTCATTCATTTTGTTCAACAATGAAACCAATGCTCAAGCAGATGGAGGTGGCTGGGTGCAGTGGCTCACACCTGTAATCCCAACCTTTTGGGAGGGCGAGGTGGGCAGATCACTTGAGCCCAGGAGTTTGAGACCAGACTGGACAATATGACAAAACCCTGTCTCTATAAAGAAAAGAAATTAAGGTAGCCAGGTGTGATAGTGTGCACCTGTAGTCCCAGCTACTTGGGAAGCTGAGGTGGGAGGATTGCTTGACCCCAGGAGGTCAAGGCTGCAGTGAGCCATGATTATACCTCTGCACTCCAGCCTGGGTGAGACAGCAAGACCCTGTCTCAAAAAAAAAAAAAAAAGGAGGAGGAGAAGGAGGTGAGAGTTAGCAAGATGTGCTAACATCATGTATTGGGGGTTCACATTTCCTATTATCTGCTTGGCTTTAGGTCTAGTTTCCAGGAAAACAGCACTTTATTTTTTTTTTATTATACTTTAAGTTTTAGGGTACATGTGCACATTGTGCAGGCTAGTTACATATGTATACATGTGCCATGCTGGTGCGCTGCACCCACTAACTCGTCATCTAGCATTAGGTATATCTCCCAATGCTATCCCTCCCCCCTCCCCCCACCCCACAACAGGCCCCAGAGTGTGATATTCCCCTTCCTGTGTCCATGTGATCTCATTGTTCAATTCCCACCTATGAGTGAGAATATGCAGTGTTTGGTTTTTTGTTCTTACAATAGTTGACTGAGAATGATGATTTCCAATTTCATCCATGTCCCTACAAAGGACATGAACTCATCATTTTTTATGGCTGCATAGTATTCCATGGTGTATATGTGCCACATTTTCTTAATCCAGTCTATCATTGTTGGACATTTGGGTTGGTTCCAAGTCTTTGCTATTGTGAATAATGCCGCAATAAACATACGTGTGCATGTGTCTTTATAGCAGCATGATTTATAGTCCTTTGGGTATATACCCAGTAATGGGATGGCTGGGTATATACCCAGTAATGGGATGGTATTTCCAGTTCTAGATCCCTGAGGAATCGCCACACTGACTTCCACAATAGTTGAACTAGTTTACAGTCCCACCAACAGTGTAAAAGTGTTCCTATTTCTCCACATCTTCTCCAGCACCTGTTGTTTCCTGACTTTTTAATGATTGCCATTCTAACTGGTGTGAGATGGTATCTCATTGTGGTTTTGATTTGCATTTCTCTGATGGCCAGTAATGATGAGCATTTTTTCATGTGTCTTTTGGCTGCATAAATGTCTTCTTTTGAGAAGTGTCTGTTCATGTCCTTCGCCCACTTTTTGATGGGGTTGTTTGTTTTTTTCTTGTAAATTTGTTTGAGTTCATTGTAGATTCTGGATATTAGCCCTTTGTCAGATGAGTAGGTTGCGAAAATTTTCTCCCATTTTGTAGGTTGCCTGTTCACTCTGATGGTAGTTTCTTTTGCTGTGCAGAAGCTCTTTAGTTTAATTAGATCCCATTTGTCAATTTTGGCTTTTGTTGCCATTGCTTTTGGTGTTTTAGACATGAAGTCCTTGCCCATGCCTATGTCCTGAATGGTATTGCCTAGGTTTTCTTCTAGGGTTTTTATGGTTTTAGGTCTAACGTTTTAAGTCTTTAATCCATCTTGAATTGATTTTTGTATAAGGTGTAAGGAAGGGATCCGGTTTCAGCTTTCCACATATGGCTAGCCAGTTTTCCCAGCACCATTTATTAAATAGGGAATCCTTTCCCCATTGCTTGTTTTTCTCAGGTTTGTCAAAGATCAGATAGTTGTAGACATGCGGCGTTATTTCTGAGGGCTCTGTTCTGTTCCATTGATCTATATCTCTGTTTTGGTACCAGTACCATGCTGGAAAACAGCACTTTAAATGACTGACTCCACTGATCAGTATTTACATATGCACTTTCTAAATTTTAGCAGTCTGTCTATAATTATTGTCTTATAATCAATTCCTAGAAATGGAATTACTGATACAGTAGATATAAAACTATACACAAATATTTCTATACAAAGATAATTATTGCAGCTTTATTTTCAAGGGCAAAAAAAGATGGGAAACAATGTCTGCCATGAAGTGGCTAGTTAAATAGATTGTGGTATATTCTTACAATGAGATTTAAAATGTTCTCAGAAGAGATATAATACTTTTGGGGAAGTGCTCATAATATATTAAGTGGACAAGGGATCAATATAGCAGATACAATGTACCAGTATGTCTAAGTCTAATATAGAGAATGCCTTGGGGATCTTGCTAAACTGCAGATTCTGCATTTCTAACAGGCTCCAGGTGATGGGATTGTCCTTCTCCATATTTTACAATCAGAAATGTTTTCTTAAGTTTTAAATAAAACTTTAGGCCAAGCATGGTGGCTCATGTCTGCAATCTCAGCACTTTGGGAGGCCAAGGTGGGAGGATCGCTTAAGTACAAGAGTTCTAGACCAGCCTAGGCAACATAGTGAAACCCGTCTAAACAACAACAACAACAAATTAGCCAAGCATAGTGGCATGCACCTGTGGTCCCAGCTGCTCAGAAGGCTGAGGTGGGAGGATCACTTGAGCCCAGGAGGTCGAGACTGCAGTGAGCCATGATTGTACCACTGTACTCTAGTCTGGGTGACAGAGTGGGACTCGGTCACAAAAAAAAAAAAACAACTCATATGAAACATCCAGAAAAGGCAGATCTAGAGAGACAGCAGACAGCAGGCAGTGAAGCTGGGAGTGGGAATGGGAATTAACAATAAATGGGCATGAAGGATGTGGATGTTATTGGGGTGATGAAAATGTTCTAAAGCATTTTATGATGATGGTTGCATAACTGGGTATGTTTACTAAAAACCATTGAGCTATATTCTTGAAATGGGTGAATTACATGATATTTAAAATGTGCCTCAATAAAGTTACTTTCTGAAGGATTTTTTTAAATGACCAGGCAGATTTTTTAAACTATCACATTATGAAGGCTTCTGTTTCTTCTGCTTCCTTTTCAAGGCCCCATCCTGAATTGCTACTCCTACTGTGGTAAATTGAATGGCAACCCCCTAAAAAGATATGTCAACATTCTAATTCCCAGAATCAGGATCTTATTTGGGGAAAGGGTCCTTGCTGATGTAGTTAAGGATCCTGAGATGAAGAGATCATTCTGGATTATCCTGGGGGTCCCTAAATCCAATGACAAGTGTTGTCCTCATATGAGACACACAGAGGAGAAGATGGACAGAGGAGAAGGCAATGTGAAGAGGAAGGCAGAGAGAGGAGTGATGCGGCTGGAAGCAAAGGAAAGCCAGGAGCCACCAGAAGCTGGGAGAGGCAAGAAATGGCTTCTCCCCTAGAACACCGTTGGAGGGCACATTGATTCTGGACTTCTGGCTTCCAGAAATCAGAGAGAATAAATTTCTGTTGTTTTAAGCCACCCAGTTTGTGGTCATTTGTTGTGGTAGCCAAGGAAAACTAACCTGTCCACCAATGAGGCCTCTGGGTCTGGTTCCACCAGGAGCTCCACTCAGATCCCAAGACAGCCAGAGACTGGCTAGCCATGGTGGCGTGAGCAGAGGAGAGGAAAGGAAGGCTTTGTACGCACACACCAAAACAGAGAGCCCAGGACAGACACGTTTCGCAAGATGGGATTCTGCTGGAAACACCTAGTGACATTCTGAGAATACCAACTAAAAGAGCACTTGAAAGGAGTACCTCTCCATAGCACAGCTGCTCTGTCACCGCTCTGACAGTTCATGAGGCTTTTCAGACAGACCTCAGCTCTCTCTTTCACTGTTTCCAGCAATACAACCTGCGGCTCACTAGCACCCCCAAAACAGTTGCTGATGCCTTTCTCCAGTTCAAATAACAGGTCAGGTGCGGTGGCTCATGCCTGTAATCCCAGCACTTCGAGAGGACAAGGTGGGAGGATCTCTTGAGCCCAGAGTGCAAGACCAGCCTGGGCAACATGGCGAAACCCTGTCTACCAAGAGAAAAAAAACAACAACAAAAATCAGCCAGCGTGGTGGCGCGTGCACAGGCACTGTGCAGCTACTCAGGTGGTTGGGGTGGGAGAATCACTTGAGCCCAAGAGGTCGAGGTTGCAGTGACCTGTGATCATGCCACTGCACTCTCCAGCCTAGGTGACAGAGCGAGACCCTGTCTCAAAAACAATAACAAAATGACCATTGAGTCTCACTGACTCTGGAGGCAGCTCACAACCCTTTTTCTCGTTGCAAACCACACTTTAAGGAGTTTTTCTTTCTTTGAAAAGCATTTAGTAAGACTTTAGAATAGCAAACCCCAGTGTTTTGTTTAATTGACACATAATAATTGTACATATTTATGGGGTACATGTGCTATTTCAATACATATATACAATGTATAATGATCAAATCAGAATTAGCATATCCATCACCTCAAACACTGAGCATTTGTTCGTGCTTGAAACATTTGAAATCCTCTCTTCTAGCTGTTTGAAAATATACAATAAACTGTTGTTTATAGTCAGCCTATGATGCCACAGAATACTAGAACTTATTCCTCCCATCTAGCTGTAATTCTGTATCCCTTAATCAACCTCTCCCTACCCTCCTCTCTCTGTACCCTTCCCAACCTCTTATAACCATAATTCTACTCTGTTTCTGAGCTCAGACTTTTTAGCTCCCAGATGTAAGTAAAAACGTGCACAGACCCTAGAGTTTGAACGGATCTCTGAAAATGGGAAATATCAGATTAGTGTATTCGAAATGTCTATTCATATTCATTAACTCAAGCCTCAGAAAACAAATAAAAAAAAACTTAAACACACACACAAAAATCCTCACCTAATTTTACAAATTTAACCACTTCTAAGGGTGGACGTTTTAGCCAAAATAAACCATATCCTTAACTTTTTATTCCAAGTACATCATGCAATCAATTCACTGGTTCCTATTTTCCAAGAGTTACTTCCAAGACATTAGGGAACTCAATTTCCAAAAAACCCTGTTGGCATTCAAAGACCAGCAGAATTACTAAACCCTGCTACTGGAAAATTCAGGCCATTATGTTCCTCAAATGGGCTTAAAATGAACCCGTATCAATTATTTGACGACCATCTGGTTGCTAACAAGAGACTTTTGGAAACCAGGCTTAAAATAAAAATGTACAAATGAGCATAAAGTTCAGAAAATCAACAAGATTCAGTACTCAGATCACATCTGTCCTTTCTTATCAGCATTTTTTTCTCTAATTCCAGAATTTTCATTTTCCTCAGTTGCTCATTGCTTTGACTTCTTCTCATGGTAAGATTACCATTAAGACTTCCGATGAGATTCATTATAAAGATGATTATGTCAAGAGGAGGTTTGTTTTCTATCCGTGTATATCTAGGAAATGTGGTACACGATTAAGCTAAACTTAAAATCACTTTTTAGATGGTAGCTTTTTTATTATTCAAAGAATGGCACCCACTGCACAAAGAGGAAGTCCCAAATCCAGAATGTTATTTTAAGAAACACTATATCCTGACATGGGTTTACTTGTAGGTGACCACCTCTGGGTATCATTTGAGGGGCAGTGAAAATATGTCTATCCAAAAATTTCACTACCTCCCCCAAATCTCCAGTATTCCAGAGAGTCTGAAATTTTCATCATCAGATTTATTTTTTATTTTATTTTATTTTACTTTTTTAGACAGAGTCTCACTCTGTCGCCCAGGCTGCAGTGCAGTGGCGCGATCTCAGCTCACTGCAACCTCTACCTCCTGGGTTCAAGTGATTCTCCTGCCTCAGCCTCCCAAGTAGCTGGGATTACAGGCATACCACACCTGACTAATTTTTATATTTTTAGTAGAGATGGATGGGGTTTCACCACGTGGGCCAGGCTGGTCTCAAACTCCTGACCTCAAGCGATCTGCTCACCTCGGCCTCCCAAAGTGCTGGGATTACAGGTGTGAGCCACCGCGCCCAGCCTGGGATTTTCAGGTTTAATGATGGACCCAAACAATGTTAGAACCAAAAGGGGTCTTAGAATTCATCTGGTTCAACTTCCTAATTATAAAGGTATAGGTACATGCCTTGCCCAAAGTAACACTCCTCCTCCAACAAATACATACACAGTATCCACCCAGTGCCAAGCACAGTGCCAGGTACTGGGCAAATGAAGATATCACCCCACCCCCTGCCCTAGTCTCTCTAAATTCATAATCTAGTCTGGTGAGAGACAAAATTCAATGTAAGAGCTTTGAGAGAAAATGCTGCCCTTGGTCACAAAAGCAGAAAGGAAAATTTGCTGGTTTTTCAAGTCAAAGTATTTGGTATAAGAATTCTCAAGCACTTTTGGAGGATGAGGTGAGCGGACTGCTTGAGCCCAGGAGTTGGAGACCAACCTAGGCAACATGGTGAAACCCGGTCTCTACAAAAAATACAAAAAAAAAAAAAAATTAGCTAGGCGTGGTGGTACGTACCTGTGGTCCCAGCTACTTGGGAGGCTGAGGTGGGAGCATCACTTGAGCCAGAGAGGCGGAGATTGCAGTGAGCCAAGATTGCGCCACTGCACTCCAACCTGGGCTACAGAGTGAGACCCTGTCTCAAAAATACATATATTCTCAAACTGCTCAGAATTATTCTCTTAACTGGAGGGTAATAGTGTGCTGAGGCATTCTGATGTGCTACAGCATGAAATTATTATGAGCCATAAAACCTTATATTCTAAGAGGGGGCAAAAAGTAAAGTTAGCCCAAGTATCTATCAATGACTGAATGGAAAAACAAAATGTGGTATATCCATACAAGAGGATATGATTCAGCCTTACAAAGGAAGGAAATCCTGTCACATGCTACCACACGGATGAACCTTGAGGACATTATGCTAAGTAGAATAAGCCAGTCACAAAAAGACAAATCATATATGATTCCACTTACATGAACTACTTGGAGGAGTCAAATTCAGACACAGAACACAGAATGGTGGTTGCCAGGGGCTGGGGGGAAGGGGAAATGGGGAGCTGGTGTGTCATGGGTGCAGAGTTTCAGTTTTGCAAGATAAAAAAGTTCTGAAGATTAGTGGCACAACAATGTGCATGTACTTAGTGCTATTTGAACCATACACTTCAAATGACTAAGATGGTACATTTTATGTTACCTGTATTGCACAATAATTTTTTACATTTTTTTAAGTAAAATCAAATGAGTTTAATGTGATGAGCCAAATTCCATTAAAGACAGCTTTTCCCACCTAAGCATCTAATGTACTCTGCATGTCTGGGGCCATGGTGGGACTCAGGAGGTCAGAGTAATAATTCTAAATTATTCCATCAGAATGGCATTGCCTTCAAAATAATCAAGGCCAGGGAAGAAGGGAAGAATGAGGAGGAGAGAGAACAAACAAAGCAGCATTGGCCAGCAGATGATAACGCTGAAGCTAGACGATGGGTAAAAAGGGGTTCATTAGACCAGCCCCTCTATTGAGTGCTATGCTTCAAACCTTTCTTGTGGCGGCCAACAAAAGTGAAAGCTGGTCAAGGGAATTTCATTCTCTGGGCAAATGCAAAAGTTTATCTCTAAGATATCTGGTGTCACTAATTATCTTCGTTTATTATGTCCCAGCAAGGCAAAGCACTAAGTCAATTTAAGGGTAGCAACAGTGTGACCAAATACTATTGTCTTCACACCTAACTTTTTGAATAGGATACATTTACATCATTCAAATCACACACATACACACAAACATCCCCACACAGAATCTAGCTCCCATTCTCCCAGTCTACCACTACCACACATAGGTTATTAGTTTCTTAGGCAACTTCTAGTTTCTTTAAGAAAATATCATACATTAGCATATCATACCCACTGTCCTGCACCTTGCTTTTCTCACTGAACAATAATATATTTGGAAGGTCCACAGCGGTAAAAAGCATCCTCATTCTTTTTTCTGACTGTAGAGTATTCTACTATATGGATGTACTATAACTTATATATCCCAAGTTGATGGACATTTAGGATGTATACAATATTTTTCTGTTACAAATCATTTCATATCTATCTTGTGAAGAAAATTTTTATTAAAACCTGGTAGTTCAATATATACTGTGACTATTATACAGCTTAATGATATTATGTTAATATTGTCTTGAGCTGGTATTCTCCCTCCTCTCCTGGGATCTCTAACTCTTTAAGGCACAGCCCAAGCCTAACTAAGTTCCTCAGCAAAGCCTGCCTTGATCTTTCTGGTCCACAACAAGCACTTCTTCTTAATTTCTGTACTACACCTTCTCACACCACTTTGCATGTATTATCTATTTTTTGGCTGTTTGATGTGAATTGTGTGTTCCTGGAGGCCACAGCTATTGCCTATTCTATTTCGGTATTCTGCACAGCCCCTAGCAGTTTCAGCAAGGAGAACATATTTAACAAACACTGATAATTAACTAGCATTAGTAAATGTTTCCCTTATTCATGATTCACAGGTTTTCTGGACCCAAGATGTCCTTCAGAGAAGGGGTCTAGCCAGTTTGATTCTGTGAATTGTTGTAAAATCATAATCAAATAGTGACTCATTGCAAAAAAAGATCCAAATTCAACAAATTGAATCCTCTTGGCATGCTCTGCACACAGAATAGGAAACATCATGACATTCAGAAGGTGCCCGACATCTCAATTCACAGGCACAAAATGATATTTAAATAGCATCTGTGATGGGGACACAGCCAACATATACAAAAAAGTTACAAGTAACATTGATGTGGGGTGGAGAGGAGTTCTCTCACACTTTTAAGGGTAAATTATGCTCAGCATAATTCTCAATCACATTTTAATTTTACTCTGCAATCTATTTCACTCATTCAATCACTCTATATTGAGGGTGGCCAGGGAAGGCCTCTCCAGCAGGTGACTTCTTCGCTGAAATCTGCATGGCAAACAAGAATGGCAGACCAGGCAGAGGGACTTCTCCTGAGAAGCTGCCGGACGCAGGCAGAGGTGCACAGATGGCAAATAGGGTTCCAATATAATTGGTGTTATGAGTTGAATTGTATCTCCCCAAAAGATATGGAAGTCCTTATCCCCAGTATCCATGAATATGACGTTATTTAGACATAGGGTCTTTGCAGATGATCAAGTTAAAATTAGGTCATTTGAGTGGCGCTAATCCAATATGAGTGGTATCCTTATAAAAAGGAGAACTTTGGGATGGGAGCTGTGGCTCACGCCTGTAATCTCAGCGCTTTGGGAGGCCAAGGTGGGAGGATCACTTGAGCCCAGAAGATGGAGGCTGCAGTGAGCCATAATCGTGCCAGTGCACTCCAGCCTGAGCAACAGAGCAAGATTCTATCTCCAAAAAAAAAAAAAAAACAAAAAAAAAAAACACAAAAATGAAGAACTTTGGACACAGAGATATGCACACAGGGAGAATGCCATGTGAAGATGAAGACAGAGACTGGGGTGATGTGTCTACAACCCAAAGATCGCCAGCAAACCACCAGAAGCAAGGGGAGGAGCAGACTCTCCCTCACGACCCTCAGAAGGAACCAACCCTGCCCACACCTTGATCTCTGAATTCCAGCCTCCAGAACTGCCAGACAATAAATTTCCACTGGTTAAGCCACTCACAGCATGTGGTACTTTGTCACAGCAGCACAAGCAAACTAATACAATGGGTGTCAGGTACAGTAAATATTCACACCACGCTGAAAGTCACTTTGAATCTATTTTGGCAGCAGAATCCTTGTCCTAAATACAATTTTACCTGGACCTCCAATATGTTAACAGATGAAAAGGATGAAAAGGGTTACTCAAAAGAAAATACTTCACTCAACCTATAAAGTACCAATCTCTGATCACATGAGTTCTTTGCAACCCTCTTTGAAAAGGACTTAAAAGGAAAGTTAAAAAAATAAAAAAATAAAAAGAGGCCAGGCACGGTGGCTCACGCCTGTAATCCCAGCACTTTGGGAGGCCTAGGCGGGCGGATCACGAGGTCAGGAGTTTGAGGCCATCCTGGCCAACATGGCAAAATCAGGTCTCTACTGAAAGTACAAAAATTAGCCGGGCATGGTGGCGCATGCCTGTAGTCCCAGCTACTCAGGAGGCTGAGGCAGGAGAATTGCTTGAACCTGAGAGGCAGAGGTTGTGGTGAGCTGAGATTGCGCCACTGCACTCTAGCCTGGGTGATACAGCAAGGCTCCATCTCAAAAAAATATATAAAAATAAAAATAAAGAAAGAAAAAGAAAAACCTCAAACCAGACGGGGTCAGAAAACTTGGGTGAGGGAAGGGGGTGGTGATTTCTATTATCATATTATTAAATGATTATGGTGACCACCACCACTGCCATTTGAAAGTACCTCCTAGAAGCCAGGCACTGTGTCCACTCTTCTTGTCAACTCAGGGTGTTGTGGTCCCTCTTTAGGAAAGCAAAATCAGGGGACCTGACTTGCTAAAAGCCCCCATCTTAGTCAGCCTAGGTTGCCATAACAAAATACCACAGACTAGGGGGGCTTAAATAATAGAAATTCATTACCTCACAGCTCTGAAGGCTGGAATCAAGGTACATTGGGTTTCTCCTGGGGCCCCTCTCCTTGGCTTGCAGATAGCCACCTGCTTGCTGTGTCCTCACATGGTCTTTCCTCTGTGCGTCTGCGTCCCTGGTATCTCTCGGTGAGCCCTAATCTCCTCTTCTTATGAGGACACCAGTCAGATTGGATTAAGGCCTACCCTAATGGCCTCATTTTAACTTAATCACCTCTTTAAAGGACCTATCTCCAAAGACAGTCACATTATGAGGTACAGGGGGGTTAGGGACAAAATTTGGCCCATAATAGCCCCTTAGGGAAAAAGCCACAGAGCCCACATTCCAACCCAGAACTATTTGACCCCAGAGGCCATTTTCCTCAGATCACACTGCCTGCCCCCTAAAAGCCCTCTTCATTTGCTATAAAGGAAAATATATTATCTGAACAATAAGAAAAATAAATAACAGCTTTTTGGTTTGTTCCCTTTTTAAGACTCTCTCGAGGTCATCCCCTGGGAAAGGCCAGGGAGAGTCCCCAGGGCACAGTGTCAGCCCTCGGGGCTCAAGGAGAAAGGAAATGAAAGCTGCCCCACCTCCTCTAAGAGGCCCAGCCTGAGGCCAAACCTACATGGATTTTAGCTTCCACCTTCCAGGACACTTCAGGCCGACTCAAAAAAAAAAAAAAAAATCCTGGCCAAGAATACCCTAAAAAGTGCCCATCAGAAAGCCCTGACTTTTCAGAAAATATGAGCCCTTCACATGGTTACCTGGGCTCTGGCAGCTGCCGTACCCACCAGGGTTCACAGAATCATCTTCAAACATCTACCATCCTCTGCTCCTTCAGATACCAAATCATATAAAAGATGGCACCCTGCTGTGCCCTTCCCTAGGCAGGAAAGCAGTGCTCTGAAGACTGAGATGACAGAGTCCTTTATGAGCACCGTTCTGGGGGCCTACAAGGGGGAGATGTCCAGGAGAGAGCCCTCCTTTACCAAGCACAGGGACCCCATGAAATCAGAAGAATTCTAGAGTGGACAACCAATCAAAATACTTACGTTCCAAACACCCAGCCAGAGTGAAGAGGACCAGAAACCAAGTGTTGGTTAAAATTTGATTAGGGATACATATCTGATCCAAGATAATAAAACAATTTAAAGCCCTAAATGCAGTACCAGCTATATTTTTTTTAAGGACAGTGTGAAAAAAAGTCATCTTGGAGTGGGAGAAGATGGGGAATGAAGAAACATCAGAAAAGACGTCATGGAAGAGATAAGAGGGGTAGTAATGACTGTAACATGATTATAACATGTTACATTTACATTTATTATATTATGTTCCATTTGATACAGTGTACCAAATGCCAAATGACCTATGCTTCTATTTCAGAGACCCACTGATATTTACATGTCACAACCTCTTTAGTAATAAGGGTCCATTTCTAACCACCTCAATTCTAATTGAGGCATGTCATCGAATACTCCCAGAAAGTTGTCTATCTGGGTATTGTCTCCCAACTTTATATGCATATTCTAACTCTGTGGTTGAAAAAAGTAAAAGCCAGTTTCAGGCCAACCCCAGGAGGAAACCAGTAAATACACATCCCCCTGAGTATGCTCAAGGCTGAAAACCAATACTCATAATGGTCATTAGGGAAGACATGGTCTCCTAACCAACTATGCTCCTTCCTATAGATGAGATTCTACCTTTGTGTTCCCAGCTTATTAATCAATAATTTATGCCAGGCATGAAAAAAATGCCTGATAGAAACAAGTCAAGCTATATATTGCTGGTAGAAGGGCAATTTAGCAATATCTATCAAAACCATAAGGACATAAACTCTTAACCCAACAACTCCACTGCTAAGCATGTATCCTATGGATAGACTCATAATAGAAGGTGACTTGTTGCAGGAGAAGCTGAAAACAACCCCAAATAGGGCACCAATTAAACAGAATAAGGTGCTGATATAGAAAGATGCATTAAGTAGAAAAAAGCTACTTGGCTCACACATTGCATTCTGTTGCCCAATTTGTGGGTTTTAAATTTTTTTGTATTTCAATATTTGTACAAGCATACAAAAATCCTAGAGAATGAAAAAAAAAAAAAAACCAAGAGGGAGGGGAGTAAAGTAGGAAACTTTATGCTCTTCTCTACCATCTGAATGTCTTTTCCGTGAGTTTATAATTTAAAACACATAGAAGAAAAATCCATGAGCAATGAGAATTCACGAGCATATAGCCTTGAATTTCTTTCAGTAGTGAACAGAATCTTAAAGGACGGTTAAGCAACCTTCACTGGGCTGATTCCTACTCAGGAAGTAGCCTGACACAGTTAAGACTGGGCTTCATGAACAAGGCACGAAACCCAAATGGTTTCTTATTAGTCATCGTTCAATCAGAAAACCAAAGAACTTTCCACACCCCATTCTGCAAGTCTAGCACATAAACACATTTTTAATCAATACATTTCCGTAATTTTGAGGGGTAAAGGTATGTGACATAATTAAAATACAATCCAGAACACTATGAATTCAATATCTTACTCAATGGATACTAAAAATTACAGTGATGGTAACTTCTAGAAGGAAAAAAAATAAGCTGGAAAGGGTGTAAGTATGCACATGGATACTCACCACGGTTTTGCATGTTAACAGCAAAAACAAAATTAGAAGCAAACCAAACGTACACAACAGGAGACTAAGTGAATAAACTATATGCTAGCCATACAACAAAATACTACAAACCTTAGTAACTCTGTATCATAGATATGGAAAGGTATTTGTGGCACATTTAAATTAAAAAGCTGTTTATAACAGCTTTTGGTATGGCTCTATTTGGAAAATTATTTTTTTAATATATACTTGTATACGCATGCTGGAAAAGGTTAGAAGGAAATAGACCAAAATATGAACCATGGTTATCTCGGCAGTAGGATTACAGGAGATTCTGCATATGTATATTTTGGCTGATCTCTATTCTAACTTTTCTATCAAAACATTTTTAACTGTGTGATTTTTAACTTAAAAAAATGTTGGCTATCTTATCCTTTGGCAGACACAATGCTCTTCCACGGAAGAGAATTCAACATGAAACATGTTGCTTGTTCTCTATTTTGCCCCTTTGCAGGTCTTTCAACAGTTTTTCTGATGCTTTAGAAACTAGAGAAAGGGGAAGAAGACAGGTCTAACATTTTCAAGGTCGTCTTTCCCTCTTTTAAATGTGGCTATTATGTTAGGCCAGTGGTTCCTAACCAGAGGCAATTGTGCCCCAGCAAGGGACATTTGGTAATGTCTGGAGACGCTTTCCTTTGTTGTCACGACTTGGAGGGATCTGGCGGGGGCGGGGGGTGGGGGCAGGGGCGGGACGGGCGATTGTGCTATTGGCATCTAGCGAGTAGACCCCAGAGATGCTCCTAAACATCCTACAACACACAGGACAGCCCCCACAACAGGCTTAACTGGCTCAAAATATCAACAGTGCCAAGGCTAAGAAACTCTGGGTAAATGAGTCTTCAAGTGACTCCCTAACCCTTCATAAACAGCACCCTCAAATGGCTATATAAGAGCATCTGGGCCAGGCATGGGTGGCTCACACCTGTAATCTCAGCACTTTGGGAGGCCGAGGTGGGAGGATTACTTTAGCCCAGGAATTCCAGACCAGCCTGAGCAATATAGTGGGACCCCATCTCTTAAAAAAATTTTAAAATTAGTCAGGCATGGTGGTTGCACACCTGTAATCCCAGCTATTTGGGAGGCTGAGGTGGGAGGATTGTTTGAGCCTGGGAGGTTGAGGCTACAGTGAGTTGTGATCACACCACTGCACTCTGGCCTAGGTGACAGAGCAAGCAAGACATTGTCTCAAGGAAAAAAAAATATATATATATATATATATATATCTGGCTAAGAGGCACCCGTGCTAAAGTGGGAATGCACTGATCGCTGAGGCGGAATACCTGGGTTGAATCCTGGATCTGCCTCTTTTCTAGCCGTGAAGCCTCAGGCAGGCAACTGTACTATCCTGCTGATTACCCCATCCTCCTCTATAAACTGGAAATCCCACCACTGGCCATCCACCTCCCACCTCTGAGTGCACAAGAAGCTTCAACACAATAATATGGGAGAAGAGGTTTTGTAAACTATAAAGCACCATGCACATGTGAATGCTATTATCATTCTAGGGTAGTAGTTGGCCAAGTTTACTAATGAACACACACTTAGGGTTTCAATGAGTCTTTACCTAGCACATTCCCACTGCCCTGAGTCACATTAACCTACTTCAGATGCTAACTTGGCAGTGATTTTTACTAAATACTGAAGCTGAAAAACATAAAGAGTGGTTTTCCTATATTATCTCTCCCTTGGCTTAAACTGTGAAGCACCAGAACTTAGTGATCAGACAACATGACCTGGAATCAGACTCCCAGGAAAGAATCCCACCTTTACATCTTACTAGCTTGGTGACCATGGAAAGTGATGTGGCTTCTCTGTGTCTCAGTTTCCTCATCTGTCTATCCAAACCAGAACATTTCAGAGTGAAATGGTTTATCATCTGACCAGGACATCTGAGAATGAAAGCAGGTGATGTCAATGTTAATGCGAGGACAACAGGCATACACCAGAACGGTCCCCAGGCAAGTAGAGGAAATAAGGTGGCTCTAAAAGAAGGGATAATGCTGGGCATGGTGGCTCACACCTATAATCCCAACACTTTGGGAGGCCCAGGCAGGCAGATCACTGAGCCCAGGAGTTCAAGACCAGCCTGGGCAACATGGTGAAACCCTGTCTCTACAAAAAAAAAAAAAAAAAAAAAATCAGCCAGGCATGGTGGTGTGCAACTATAGTCCCAGCTACTCAGGAGGCTGAGAGGTGGGAGGCTCACTTGAGCCCAGGAGGTCGAGGCTGCAGTGAGCTGTGATTGCACCATTGCACTCCAGCCTGGGTGAGAGTGAGATCCCGTCTCAATAAATAGATAAATAAATAGGCCGGACATGGTGGCTCACGCCTGTAATCCCAGCACTTTGGGAGGCTGAGGCGGGCGGATCACGAGGTCAGGAGATCGAGACCATCCTGGCTAACATGGTGAAACCCCGTCTCTACTAAAAATACAAAGAATTAGCTGGGCTTGGTGGCAGGCGCCTGGAGTCCCAGCATCTCGGGAGGCTGAGGCAGGAGAATGGCATGAACTCGGGAGGCAGAGCTTGCAGTGAGCCGAGATAGCGCCACTGCACTCCAGCCTGGGCGACAGAGCAAGACTCTATCTCAAAAAATAAATAAAATAAAATAAAATAAAGAAGAAAATGATAACAGTGCCTGCCTCACAGCCTTGTAGTGATGACTAAATCAGATAAAAGAGGCAAAGCACACAGTACACACTCATTAAATGCTAGCTACGATTTTTTTTGTCCTTACTCCTTCCATTCATTCAGCAAATCCTTAGTGCCCAGGCATGACTCTGGGTGCCAAGAAAGTAACAGGAAGTCAGTGAATAAGAGCTTATCTGATCAACAAAGACAAAAGGATTTATTATTATCCCAAAGTCCCTGATTCAGGAAAGCTATTTCAGTTTGACTAAAAGTGAGCTATAAATGAATCCCATTAAGTTGTATTAATTAATGCCCTTTGTAACTTAGCACTCAATGCTTCAAGGCATGTTACGATATTCGCTCCCTTTCATTTCTATGCACACCCCATTATGATGAATTACATATGGCATGTCCACCAAGACAGCTTTACAGAACCCATACATTATGAAAGCAAAGTTGCTTTAGCTTGCTTTTGCATGGAGATGCATCTGTATCTTTTGCCAAGAATTAAGCATTTTAGTTCAGTATACTAGAACAATTTTCTCTAAAAGTCAACACTCACCATGAGAGGTAGATATTCCTTATTTTACAGAGACGTTCTTTAACCTCTAGGGGCTTGGTGCTGTAATCACAAATTCCTTTTCCTTCCTCCTTTTGCCGCCCTCCATTTCAGTAAAATTGGTCTCAATTACTATGACCACAAATTCTCACACCCTAATGTTTCTGTACTCAACTACGGGGCCTTGCCCTTTCCTCCTCCTCCTCCTCCATGTTCACATTTTACGAGGCACATTCTCAGTCAGCCCTCCTTTTGTGCTAATTTCTGAGGCCATTACAGAGGCCATATTCCACTCCTTCGGCAATTCTTAGATCTCAAACAAATACCAGCCAGACCCCATCACTGGAAAGGCAAGCTACGGACCTCCAAAAAGAGTCTGCCTATGGAGTAAGCTGTTTGTGCGTAATTCACAACAAACTGAGGGGCTATCAGTTTCTGTTGTACTTCATGCCTCTGTCTTGATTCAAAGAAGCTTAAATCAATGGTGTGTGTTTTGATCTCGTGCTAATTATGCAGATGTGTTTAGTTTGTAAAAATTCAACAGCCGTACCCTCATGCGCATTTTATGTATGTCTATTATATTGCCATAAAAATTCTTTTTAATAGCTTACACCATGTAAACCTCTATATAAACTAAGCATAGTTTACACCTCACCTACACTAATGTCCCTCAAACTGTTTTCAAATGGACTGCCACCAATCGGTGGGCCACGTAATCAGTTTAGAAGGTCCTGACAAGCATCTGTTGAATGGAATGGAGAATACAAGAGGGCATCACACACAGTGAAGGCAGCTACTGTTTCAGGAAACTTACCTCAGTTACATGGGATGTGTACCGTAGACCAGGTTGCCAGATGTTTTTTTAACTGCAGAACTTGGTTGATATAGCCCTGGGAGACACTGAGTACATCAACAAATAAAAGATGAATTTGGGAGTCAGACAAGCCTGGTTTCTGATCTTGGCTGGTTGCAACCTATGTGCTTAGGAACAAGTCACCTAACCTCAGTGAGCCTCCATTTTGCTATCTCTAAAATGGTGGTAAAAACTGTCAACTCCCTGGAATTGGTGTAAGGTGTCAGTGAGCTGGCAAACAGTCTGCCACAGAGTGCTACTTAGACATGGTCCCTACCCCCACTGCCATTTAGGTGGTGCCTTGGGCTAGCTTCTTTACCTGTAGGAAGGAAGTTTCAAGGAAATATACAAAGAAAGGAAGTGCCAAGGTCGAGACCTCACTAACATCTGAGAGCATCAGGGCAGGGGAAAGCTATTATCCCAGCACATTTGGTGGTAAGTCATCTGGCTTTGTATTCCAACCAGAGGGAAAACCACTTTCCAAGATAATGGGGTTTTTCACATTATTCTTGGCAGGAGGTGGAGAAAGGCAGAAAGGGAAGAAGGTCTCAGTAAAGAAATAAAGCATTTATTTTAAGCAAATCACGTTGAAGACAGGTGGTTTTCATTTTGAGAACAAAAATGATGCTTAAAACAGAGGGTTATCCCAGACACCAGCCAGGGGCTGGCCAAGACAGAGAAATAGTGCCCTGGGGTCTGAAATGCTCCCAAAGTGCCAGAGCAGTGATGGATGCAGATGGGGAGGGGGCCAGCCACATAAAACATGGGACTGGCTCTATCAGCTTGCAGTCACAAACTACTTAAAAGTAATTCACCGTGTTAATTATCCAAAGCAACTATTCATTCAACAAATATCTGTTGAGCATTTACTATGCATCTAGAATTGAGTTAAGAGCTGGGGATATGGTAGGGATAAGACAGACAAGGCCCCTGCCCTCATGGAGCTAAAATTCTGGTGGGAGAGACATCAAATACCAAGTCCATCAATGAGTTAACAAAATATTTACAGGCTGTGATATAAGGACTGCAAAGGAAATAAATGTGGTGATGTGATGGGAATGGAGAAAGGAAACTCAAGATGGAGGCTGGCCCTTGAGACAAGATGGCCCTGGAGGGCTGCTCAGAGTGGTACCTGAAAGAAGAGAAAGGGCCAGCCAAGCAAGGAGCCAAAAAGAAAAAAAGGGGCATTCCCAGCAGTGAGAATTGCAAGTGACCAGACGCAGAGACAGTGCTGGGACAGGCGAGAACTCAATATGGCAGAAGGCAGTGGCCGAGTGGGAAGATGACCCCGATGAGGCTGAAAAGGTAGGCAAAGCCAGACCATACGAGGCCCAGTAGACCATAGAAAAGAAAGTGGATTTCAATGAAAAGCAAAAGAAAAGTACCGAAGGTTGGCACTCTGATATATTACTTTGATGTTGGTTAAGAGGTGCTCTTAAATCATCATACGCAAAACAAACTGTCCTGATGATTTATACAATGTCTCTCCGTAATCAGTGATAAAAGTTAGCACTGTGTCAGAGATCACTGATACACGATTATTGAGGAGTCTTGCCAGTCAAAGACAAACAACTTGAGCCTATGGATGAGATGAAATATGAGGAATTCAATGGGGGAAAGGGGTGAGAGAACTTGTGACTGGCAAGGGAACACTATCATCGGTAATTAACTCACAGCAAATATAAAGCACATAGTACAGTTAATTAACAAAGCAGGCTCTAGAAAGTGCCCTAAACACACACACACACACACACACACACACACACACGAAAGGCAACTGGGGCTTGACCGACGTGCATGGTGGCTGCCTAAATTCATAAACACATTAAATGAAACAACACAATGGAAAAGTACCATGACGGTGTCCTACATGTACTTCTGAATCAGAATTCAGATGACTGCTCGGCAGTTTTCAATCAAGGTTTATTTTTATTTTTATTTTTTTGACACAGGGTCTCACTCCTATCACCCAGGCTGGAGTGCAGTAGCGTGATCATGGCTCACTGCAGCCTCGACCTCCCAGGCTCAGTCAATCCTCCAGCCTCAGCCTCCTGAGTAGCTGGGACTACAGGCGTGTGTCACCATTCCTGGCTAATTTTTTTTTATTTTTGGTAGAGACAGGGTCTCACCATGTTGCCCAGGCTGGTCTCGAACTCCTGGGCTCAAGCGATCCTCCTGCCTCGGCCTCCCAAAGTGCTGGAATTACAGGCATAAACCATTGTGCCTGGCCGAGGTTTACCTTTTGTTTTCCTTCTCCCTCCCTCTGGCTGAATATAGGTTTTAATAAGTTGGAAACTCAAAGCTGGACGGGAAAGGGGTCTTTTGAATTATCACTCTCCCCAAGGACCTGTAACACAGCCTCCTAACTTGGGTCCTCAGTTCCCATCATCTTTAACTTAAACGTTAGCTATGAGACATAACCATGACTCACTCATACCCTTTCCCCAGGACCTTGTTTTGGGAGGCGGGTCACCTGGCCATGACTAAAAGGGCAACCTGGGGCTACATACTTAAGCAAGGCCAACTGGCCAACCCCAAGATCAAACCTATGACACTGACCATGAGAACTTGGTGGCCACAAAAGATGGCCTGAAACAAGCCAGGACAGCAACACTGGTGGCATCTCACAGAGCCCAGCACACTGCTTGCATTTATGGCATAGAGTGCCATGGAAAAGGAGAAGGATGGCAACCAAGCACCAGGTGCCTTCACATTCATTACTTTAAACAATCCAGTAGTCCTGCGAGGTGGTAGGATGCAGATTTTCAGATGAGAAAAGTAAGACTTGGAGAGATCTTGGTTAGCAGCCCATGGCTGCACAGTTAGCTGAGTGGGGAACTGAACCTCTCCCGACACCTCAGTTGGCATCTGGCAACAGGACAGTGCTCTTGACAGACCCCAAGCTGACTTTCTCTCCTGTCTCCCATCTCATTCTTACCCCCACCCCCTTTATTTCTTCACACTACAGGAAAGCTAAATTCCACACCTGGCTTCCCCCCTAGATTCCCAGATCTGCCAGCTGCATCAGAAATGTTACCTGCTCCCAACCCCTGAGAGGGGTACCTCACTGCAGAAATGGATGCCTGCAGGGGGTTTGGTTGAATGCAGCTATCTGTGTGCCGTGTCCCCTGGAGAAAACTCACCTGGCTGTCGATAGTGATCAGAGAGGGAAAGAGCCACCAAACCAGATGACAGAGCTATTCAAAATCTTTATAAATGCCACTACAAAAGGAACTCAGCCAAAGAATCCACTTCTATCACAGACAAGGGCTTAGTGAAAGAAATACCCTTCGGCTATAAACCAGAAAACTGAGACCTGGGGCCAAGTGGAAAACAGTGTTGGTCACCATCTTGGAAGGACTGGCCTGAGACCAAATTCCCCATCATGCCTCCCTCCTGGCCTACAAAGTAGTCGGGCAACAGGCTACAAAAGATGCAGACATCGCAACAATCAAAACAGATGTATGGCCTACTTACAATCTCAGACAAGTCTGCGGCACTTGGGGCTTTGGCTGCTGAAACCTCCATTCTGTGAAGTATGAAATGGTAATTTCTGGCTGTGTCTGAACTCTGGGCAGGAATAAGTTCCGTGCTCTCCGAGAACTGCAAGTCTCTCTGATTCACTTGGCAGCAAAATTATTCTAAGCATCCTGTCCCGTACCCAACCCGCCTGCCCCTCCCACTACACACTCACACTGGTGGTTTTTTTGTAATTCTTTGCACTTATTTCTGTCGCAAATCAAGTGAAAAGTAATCCAATCTCTGGCACTTGAGAGTGTGGAACCTGTATGACTGAGGAGGAGGAAGAGCCACCTAATTAGGAAGAAGTTATAATTAACATCAGAGAGGAGAGAGCTGGAGAACCGCAGAGTCTGCAGTAACAGCAAAATGGAGATTATTTGAGACAGCTGAAACACTCCACCCAGGCCTCCAGAAGAGGACATGCACGGGAAACAAAGGGCATATGGTGTTTGCTTTCTTCAACATCCGTTCTCACCATTACGAGCTGCACCAGCAAACGTTCATTACTTACATGTGGACAAACCTCGCCCTGAAATGCACTCTAAAATACAGCTCCTAATCAAATAAATGACTTCGCAAAGCAGAGGCTTACCTTGATTTTTTATTACATATAAGTAATAAAGTAAAATTTAATAAAGTCCAAATAACTGGCAGAATGTCTATTTGGCTCAGTGAAGCATGAATTATACTTGAAAGTCCATTTTTGTTAATTTCAGGTTCATACAGTAATTCAAATACTGACATAGTCAGAGCAGGATTTTATTTTTTCCCCAAGGAGAGATTCCAAGGGACTAAGTTAATAACTAGATAGGAATGATTTTCTACTATTTACTTCTAGTCGTATATTTAGATATTTCTATCCTAAAGCAAACAGGTTTTTCGAATGTTACTCAAATCATTTATTTCCCACATATGTTAGTGTTACCACCATCACCAATATTACCCTCACTATAAAACTGTTCAAAGGTAAACTTCAGCGAACTTCTTGACCAAATTATCAGAACCTCCTGAATTAGTGAGATCTGAATTGATACTTTTCAGAGATGTAAAGTTAGGGTCAGCTTCAAAAATACTCACATATTATTACTCTCAAGCCTATTGAGATCAACGATCAAATCCGCTGTCACTCAGCCAGGATGAACTGGGATTGGTCTGCCTTCCCCCAGATAACAAGTTCAAAATCAGAGGATCACCTTGCTTGCATTTAACATAAAAAAGGCCCCCAAGTGAAAGGAAACAAACAATCCAATGCAGTTGGTCAGGAACCCTCAGTGAGCACTGCTGGTTGCCTACCCAGTAGAGCTGGCTCCCTTCCTCCTTCCCCAGCAGAGCCCACTCCTGGTCACAGGTGCCATCCATTCCCCCATGGAGCCCATTTCCAGCTCTAGGAAGGACAGCCTAATTAATTCTAAGCCAATCATTGCTTCAGGGTGGGCAGGGGGAACAAAGCTCACCCAATCAGACTGCAAGAAATAACTCCTCCTACATACGGGCTGTGAGCAAGGAAGCAAAGGGCCCCACTGCAGATGGACACCATTCTACAACCATCTGATGACCACAGGGAAGCCAGCCCTTGGGTGAAGCTACTGCCAGAACAACACGGTGGGGGAAGAGACAGCAAGAACACAGGTTTCTGATGTCACACTGAGCAGCTGATCACACTGCCCCTGGGGTCCACCCTACCTCTAGCCTCCCAATTATGCAAAATAACAAATGTCTGTGTTTAAGGCAGTCCCAGACAGGTTTCTGTTCCATGCAATCTCAAGTGTGCTGGGAGGAACAGGCTAAGCAGTAACTAACCGGGTAGCCAAGAGTAAGAGTTTATAATTTGGGAGACTCCTTAAAGTAAATAATACATTTGCAGAAAACATTCTCCTTAAAGAAAAAGGAGAAATTACAAAGGTGAGTGGTTGCCTAGGGCTGAGCGTGGAAATGGAGAGTGACTGCAAATGGGCACAGGTTTCTTTTGGGGGTGATGGAAATGTTCAAGAATTAGATTGTGAAGATGGTCACACAACTCTGTAAATATATTAAAAAGCACTGACTGGGATACTCATTAGGTCAATATCATGGCATGTAAATTAGACCTCAAAGCTGTTTCTAAAACCTTGCCTGGGCCAGGTGCAGTGTCTCACGCCTGTAATTCTAACACTTTGGGAGGCTGAGGTGGGCGGATCCCTTGAGGTCAGGAGTTTGAAACCAGCCTGGCCAACATGGAGAAACCCTGTCTCTACTAAGAATACAGAAAAATTAGCTGGGCATGATGGCAGGTGCCTGTAATCCCAGCTACTTGGGAGACTGAGACAGAAGGATCACTTGAACCCAGGAGGCAGAGGTTGCAGTGATCCAAGATCACACCACTGCACTCCAGCCTGAGCGACAGAGCAAGGCTCTGTCTCGGGGAGGGGTGGCCAGTGGGGAACATGCCTGGAGGCTCAGTGCGGTGGCTCATGCCTGTAATCCCAGCACTTTGGGAGACCCAGGTGGGCGGATCACTTGAGGCCAGGAGTTCGAGACCAGCCTGGCCAACACAAGGAAACCCGGTCTCTACCAAGAAAACACAAAAATTAGCCAGTTGTGGTGGCGCATGTCTGTAGTCCCAGCTACTCGAGAGGCTGAGGCACAAGAATCACTGGAACCTGGGAGGCGCAGGTTGCAGTGAGCCAAGATTGCACCACTGCACTCCAAAATATTAAAATAAAATAAAAATAAATAAAAACCTTGCCTGGGAGCAGGTGCTCATTCAGGAGAGGTCACAGATTGAAGGAACTTTCCTCCATCCACATGTGACGGTGCGGCATACCCCTGCTTAGAATCCTGCCTCAGTGGTTCCCAATTACCCCAAAAGTCCAAGTTCCTTTCAAGGGCGTGCAAGATCCCTCTCACCTTCTGGCCTTGCTTCCCATTTTACTCTGGCAAGGCTTATTTCTAGGTACTCATCAAGCTGTAGGCCTCTGTTCACACTCACACTATACCCTCATTCTCACTCGCTCTGGGCTCTGGCCCGTCCTCTTCACCTGATCAAATTCCTTCCTCTTCTGCCCCAGGCTCTTAGGTCCCCCTCCCTTTGTGCTCCCTTAGCGTACTGGGCACGCACCACAACGGGTTGGAAAAGTGTGCTTCCAGGTCAGTCTCTCCCCTCATGCTCTCCCCCGGGGCCCAGAACAGCTCTCAAGACATAGCAGACACTCAACAGATGCCCACTGGACTGGGCTAATCTTTCTCTTTCGGGAAGGGCACCAATCTCTCCCACAGGGCACTGTGTCATTGAGGTTGGGGGCGTGAGAGCCAGAGGCAGGTTCCAGGAGTCCTTGCTCTCATCCACACCCACCTTCCTCCAGCGACTTCAGACTCAGTACAGGACACAGGGGGCAGCTTGCACTGGCAGCTTCCACAACGTGCAGGAAATCCCTTATCCAGATCACACTTAGCGCTCTGCTTCTCGGCTCCAACCCTCCCTGACACAGAAGTTCATGGTGACAATGCACAACATCTCTCACCGTAGAAGCTTCAGAAAAGGAAGACAGGGAATGTCCAACTTTTTTTATTTTTCTGATTGTGAGGTTTCCCTTATTTATTTTAGAGACATTGTCTCACTATGTTGTCCAGGCTGGTCTCTAACTCCTGGGCTCAGGCAATCCTCCCACACCCCAGCCTCCCAAGTGCCAAGCCAGGCACACACCACCATGCCTGGCTAATTTTTAAATTTAGTGTAGAGACAAGGTCTCGCTATGTTGGCCAGGTTGGTCTCAAACCCCTGGTCTCAAGTGATCCTCCTGCCTTGACCTCCCAAAGCACTGGAATTACAGGCATAGGCCACCACACCCAGCCCCTTATTTTTTTAATCCTTAGATAATGTAAGGAGTTAAGAAAAGTCACACACGCAACACTGGGAAACACTTGGTTTTAAAGAAAGACTCCAAGTTAAAAGAGAGACACAATAGCTTGAGGAGGGCGAAAGCTAAGTCTCTACCTGGTGTCTTATCTTCCTGCTTGACCTCAGGGGAAAAGATTAATAGTAAGATTTACGAAATGTTAAGAAGACACTTGCTGGGGTGTCTCAGTTATCAAAAAAAATAAAATAAAATAAAATCATACCGTGAAAGTGGCAAAACTCCATGGTGGTATCTGCTTTATCACAACAAAGACATCCCCTGGCCCTTCTTTCTAACCTGTCCTGGCTCCCCACACACTGCTAGAAATGAAACCCCAGGCTGGGCACAGTGGCTCACGCCTGTAATCCCAACACTTTGGGAGGCCGAGGCAGGCGGATCACGAGGTCAGGAGATCGAGACCATCCTGACTAACACGGTGAAACCTCATCTCTACTAAAAATACAAAAAATTAGCCAGGCATGGTGGCGGGTGCCTGTAATCCCAGTTACTCGGGAGGCTGAGGCAGGAGAATCAGTTGAACTCGGGAGGCAGAGGTTGCAGTAGGCTAAGATCGCGCCACCGCACTCCAGCCTGGGCGACAGAGTGAGAATCCATATTAAAAAAAAAGGAAAAAGAAATGAAACCCCAAACCCAGGAGCGTAGGAAAGAGCTGAAATAACACTTTAAATATTCACGATGGTAATTGCAACTCCTACCTCATAATCATGACTTCTCTTTTCCATATTTGGGCCCCGGCTTCCCTGGAGGCACTCCAGGGGCCTTCACAGACATTATCTAATGCTAGGCAGGTCAGCAAGCTAACCATTAAGTACTCTTTTTTTCCTCCACTCTCTCTGATCTAAGCCAGTTTGGACATACTCATAAAGAACTAGTGAGTTCCCTTCCAAGATGGGTGGCTGCTAAGATAGCTCATGTAGTTTTGGAGTGGAAGCCCTTAGGATGTCAAAAAGCTTAACTTTAAACATCTCAATCTGATTCCAACAGTGAAGTTTTCAAAGCTGTCATTACTCCCCCATCCCCAATAAACAAAGCTGGCAGATGTATTATCAAATGATTTCTATAGCTTTTTTTTTTTTCCCCAAATACCTGCTGGTTTCACCCCTGCAGAGATCTGATTCAATAGGTCTGGTGTGGCTGTGAGAAACTGTGTTGTTTAAACTCCCCCAGGTGATCCACACAGCCAGAAGATAGAGAGCTAGGTCTAAAGTGTCAGAAATTATTGCTACTAAAAGGAGGATCGACTGGGAGCTTCTTAGAACTGCAGAATCTCAGCTTCCCCAAACCTACCCGCCCCCAGCCCAAACCCTACCCCCCCCCCCCCACCCGCTGCCATCACAATCTGCCTTTTAACAAGATCCTAGGAAGAAGGGCACATCTGAGTTTAGGCAGCCTAAGGCTACACTGTCGTCTGGCCTCAGAATCTTCTAGGGTTTTTGTTTTTTGTTTGTTTCCCCTTTACAAATGGGAGGGCACAATCAAAATTCACATTCCAGTTTTTTCCAGGATCTTTATTGATGAACAACAGAGTCAAATCCTGCTCTCACCCTCACCATCCTCCTAGAAAACATGACTAGTCAGATTAAATGTAAAGGGAGTCAAAAATGAGACAAAGCCTGTTTTTTAAATTAAAGCAATACATTGTTCCATTTGTGCTGGCAGCATCGGCACTTGCATTACTGCGCATGTTTAAAGCTGCCAGTCGAAATCAGCTCTAGATAGTCAAAGCAGCAGAACCTGCAAAATCTTTTAGCGTTAAAGGGCTTTATGTGGAACCAAAGCATTCCACGGTAAATAATTTGTGGAGCTAATGAGAACTACTAATTGCATCCATTCTTAAAAATCAACATACTTGAAACTTTTTAAAGATTCATGTGCTTATTTCCCTTGTTCAAATAACATCATAAGGCATCCACAGGAAGTTGTGGTTTCAATTAAGACATGGCTGCATATTAAAAAAAAAAAAAAAAAAACACCTCACAGTACCCTATCACAGAGCTCAGCCAAGACTCCCAGAAGTTCTCCGAACCTGACAGATTTGGGTGCCCCTCATGCTAATTACCGTCTGGTTTGAGGTTTGTGAACATAGCCAAGGCCACCCAGACAATGCTATACCATAGTACAATTAGGGGTGAGAGAACACAGACTCTGGAGTTAAGCCACCCACCAGCCCACGTCGAGACCTGCCATTTACAATCTGTGCTCCCTTGGGCAACTTACTTAATGTCTCTGGTCCCTGGGAAGTGCTATATAAAAATTTGCTGTTTGCTGTTTTCCTCATCTAACATGCAGTCCCATGAATGGTACAGATAAAGGAACTATGCACACAGTGGGTGCTCAGTTATTGCTAATGGTTGAAGAACTCTCCATTCACCTGGTATTTCCCTCAATGAATATATCATTACCAAATACCAGCAACCTTTTGGTGTATCAAGAAAGGTACTCTTGGGAAGGTGTTTTTCTTCCCCTAATGGTGAAAAACAAAAACCAATGGATACAAGCATCTTCTTAATCCAATGTAACAGTCTCCCTCTCCAGTCATGTACTTAATATGGTTCATTTATTTTATGTCTCATATCTTCTCAAAAAATAAACACTACTATAGAAAAAGTATGAAAAGCATTTGAGCAGGTGAAAAATGCAGTCTACAAAACAGTAGACTGGGCCAGGCACAGTAGTTTATGCCCGTAATCCCAGCACTTTGGGAGGCTGAGGCAGGTGGATCACTTGAGGTCAGGAGTTCGAGACCAGCCTGGCCAACATGGTGAAACCCTGTCTCTACTAAAATACAAAAATTAGCTGGGCATGGTGGTGTGCACCTGTAATCCCAGCTACTTGGGAGGCTGAGGCAGGAGAATCGCTTGAACCAGGGAAGCGGAGGTTGCACTGAGCCGAGTTCGCGCCACTGCACTCCAGCCTGGGCGACACAGCGAGACTCCATCTCAAAAACAAAACAACCCACTAGACTGGTACCAATTACTTAACAGTTATTGAGATCACAAAAAGTGATTTCCAGAATGTTCCAGGTAGGGAAGTGTCAGACAACATTGCCCTCACGGTATTAATACTATACAATAACACTGTATAGTATTCTGCTGTGTAGTAAGACACAGCAGAAATTGGGACGTTGCAACTATTTACCCATTTTCATCTATTTTAAGCACTCATGACAAATGAACAAGTGATAGATAGTTCAACATGCATTTACTAAATCCATTTCCTTAGGCAGTTTCAGCAGCCAATGTTTTCACATAAACTTAGTACGTGAATTTTACAACTATGTTTGGTTTTCGGTTTTCTTTTTCATCAGAGGCTCCACTTTTAAGAATACCTGTCCTTCTAATTAGTTCTCACAACACAATCCTGGGAAGTCAGGCTGCCAGAGTTCAAATAACTGGGTTGACCCTTAATAGATCTGCAATCTTCAAGTCAGGCAACCTCTCTGAGCTTCAGTTTTCCCATCTATAACATAGGAATAATCACTACTTGGGGCAAGGGATGGAGGGTAAGGAGTAGCTGAGTTAATACAAAGAACAATACAGTTGCACTGGATAAATGATGCAGTATCTACTCACAATTGCAAATTCACATTCCTTTTCACCCTGTACCAGGTCCTGAAGTGGTTACAAACAAGATCTAACAGATTCTCCTTGTCCCTCAAAATGGAGGAAGACAGGTAATTCTTACACATGTTTAAAGAAAACTCACCCACCACTTTATCCCTAGAGGTTGGCCATGACAGCAACACAATTGTAAAGCTTGCTGTAATCAGCACCATGCCCATAGCGTTTTTACCTTCCAAGGCAACAGTGCAGACCGAGGGAGGATCCAACCTTGTTCACGCCTCTGGGCAATTATGCTTCTTGTTCTCTGCTTGGATGGCTCTTAGCAATGGCAGGAGCCTCTTCCTCATCATTCACGTGTGGGCTCCAACTTCTCCTCACCTGAAACAGCCCACACACTCCACCAGCCACTCTAGCCACTCTAGCCTTTTCCTCTCCTGTGTTTCTTCATGGCTGCATGTTTCACTATCTATAATTATCTTTTCACTTGTCTGTGGTTAAGCTCTCTGTACTCTGTTGGAGTGTAAGCTCTCTAAAAGCTCAGACCTTGTTAAGCTCATTCTGAAATGGCTCCTAAAATGGCACCTGTCACAGAAAGGGCACTCAGTGGACAGAGCTAGGTAAGATACATGTGTGTTTTGATCGTTGCAGCAGCTATATCGCATTTGCATCTGGTTCTACTGAGTGTTTTGTCTCTTCAGACTGCTTTTACCTGCCTTTTGGCATGCCTTGTAATTTTTGGTTGAAAGCCAGACATTTCATAGAAGGTAGCAGATACTAAGGTAAATGAGCCCTTAGTGTGGAACTGATATTAATCTAGTCAGGAGTTGAGCTGCGTTGAGGTTTGTTGTTCCTATGAACATCAAAAACTTCAAATTCCTCTAGTGACCTTTTTTGTCCCCTCTCTTGGCTTTGGGGCTTTCCTTTATGCTGTTCCCAGTGTGAGCCTGTCTCTTGCAGCTCTCCCTGCTGTAACCCACTGTTATTCCTGGGGGCTTGCTAGCCTGCAGGTGGGGTGAGGGAAGAAGGGCAGTTCTCTAATATTTCAAGTCTCAGTCTCTAAAATATACACAGCGGGCCTGTGTCTTGAAGGTGTAGGCTTCACAACGTATTTGCCCTAGGGATACAGCTCCTCCCACCCCAAACCCCCAGCTGTAGCAGGTATCACCAATGTTCTCAGTCTACCACCCGCTTAAAGACCTTTTTTTTTAGGTGAGATGGAGTGGGGAAGGGGCTGAAGGGGAGCTCCATCCCCCATCTGCAATGGTTAATTCACCAGGGCCCTCAGACCATAGCCTTCCTCTGCAGAATAAGCCTTTTGCTCCTTAAAGGAGAAGGGTCTAAGTAGATTGCTCAGTGGTTCCTGAGCCAGCACCATGAGTTTTCTCTGAATTTTCCCTCACCCTCCCAGTTAGAGCCAAATGGGGTTCCTGGAAGAAAAGCCTGCAAAGGGATAGGACCCCCTCCCCCACAACTGCTGCCCTCAAGACTTCACACTCTCAAGTTAGCCCACACTCAGCCTCCAGCAATTTGTCAAATTTTCTAGCTTAATCTTCCTACCTACTTCTATGGGGTCTGGTGGCTTCTGCTCCTGTAAACAAATGCTCAGGTCCTGTCCTGTGTCTCAGAAGGCACCTCTTTCCAGATTTTGAAATGGTCGTTTGCTCTGCAAACTCAGTTCTCTGTTAATTTCCAATCTGTCCAGATTTTTTCTTGGAAGCGTGGGAGGGACATCTTTGCAGCTCTCTACATCTCTGAGCTGAAATCAGAAGTCTACTTATTTATTTTTTTAAGGATCAGAAGTAAGTATGACAAAATGGCAACATTTGATAGAACTAGGTAGTGGGTAGCTAGATGTTGGTTATATGCTCTTTTATATTTTCATGGTTCAGTAACATTTCAAATTATAAAATTAAGTTGTAGGTGGCCATGGTAGAAAAGAGTACTATAATATAAATAGACTGAGGTATGTGTACAGCACTTGGTTCTTGTTCAATAACTTACAGAAATCACCTGAATTTTAAAATACAACCAGCATTTTTGGCAACGCTTCAGAAATTGTCCTGAAAAAATATAAATCACTCCAATACACCATTAAATGTCAGTATCAGCCAGGCACGGTAGCTCACGCCTGTAATCCCCACACTTTGGGAGGCCGAGGCAGGCAGATCACGAGGTCAGGAGATCAAGACCATCCTGGCCAACATGGTGAAACCCTGTCTCTACTAAAATACAAAAAATTAGCTGGGTGTGGTGGCGTGCACCTGTAATCCCAGCTACTCGGGAGGCTGAGGCAGGAGAATCACTTGAACCCGGGAGGCGGAGGTTGCAGTGAGCCGAGATCGCACCACTGCACTCCAGCCTGGCGACAGAGCAAGACTTGTCTCAAAAAAAGAAAGAAAGAAAAAAAAAGTCAGTATCAAGGGAAAGGAGAAACTGAAATGGAAAAATTAATGTTCTAAAAGAAAACAAATGTATCTTAAAATGTGCATGTTTATAAATCAAAGTATATGAAAATTACATGTTAATTGATTCACTATTCTTTAAACTGATATCCAACCATCATTAATATTCATGGAAAACGATAATTAATAATGCATGTGCCAGCAGACCATAGGTCAACCAGCAAGTGCCAGATCCCAGATTGCAGTACATTATGCAACACCTAGTAACCAAACATCTTAAACCTTCAGACGGCCATGCTTCCTTTTACCCACATTCCTAATTTAATATAATTGGTAATCGCCTGTAAATGAAAGCAGCAGCAGCTTGGTAAGATCCACCTCATGGAAAGAACATTCCCTTTTTACTTAAATAATTCACTATCTCAGATAATAGCAAATAAATGATATGCTACTAAAAAGTGAGCCATTTAATAACTCCAGAAGTGCAGATTAATCTTAAGGATTGTGTATTAAATTCAATTAAACCAGATGAATATTTAACATGTCCTTCTATGTCCGTAAGACCATTCTAGCCACTCTGGGAAGAGATGGGCCAACATAAGTTATCTACCAATCCCTGCCATCAGGACAGACACAGGGATGGGTCACAGGGCTGAGTCCAGGAAAGGCAAACATGCACCACATTTGCATACATTCTCATTAGCAAAGCGAGTGACTTGCAAGTACTTTTATACTTTAACATTCACTTGTACGTTCCATTTAAAAGGGAAAAAGAATATAGTTTATAGTAAAGTGAATCTTCGTGTGACTTTCATTATAATGAATGAAGACAGGACTAAATTTGTCTGTAATGAGACTAAAATGGGCTGAATCTACCAATGATGAATCTGTGGCTTTAATTATCCTGTGTGGCTCTGTGAGATGAACCCCAGGTGGAACTGCAATCAGGGTGATCACTCAGACAGCTAGATAACACACTTCACCCTGCCTGAGAACCATCACTTGTCAACTGTATTACGTTGTCACAAGGGCTGTTTACAAATCAGCTACATCTCTGCATTGCAACATGCCCTAAATTAGATCTCACATCCAGCTTGAGGGCTAGGGACTGTGTTCAGCTTCAAGCTGGCAGCGCCCTAGACTTGATTGTCACCTTAAAATATCTGTTAATGGAACCCATTCAAATTCAAGTTTTAAAATAAAAGGATGAGTTAAATTGAATTAAAAAAAATCAGAGGCTAAAAAAGGAGTGAGGTATATGGATTTTTAACCACCACTGACAGCAGAAGCTCACACTATAATTGCATGGATTATATGCACCAAAGAGATCAGCTGTCATGTGACATTTTAAGCCAAATAACAGAGCAGTCCTTGGAAAAATGTCAATAAGCACAAAGAAGTGATTTCTCAACATCTGAAACCACACTAACCTCCATATTCAAGCGTTTCAGCATTAGTATTACGTGCCACCAGAGCCCAATGTCATAATCACTCATTTAACACAGAGTAGCTGAAACTACTTTCATAGGGCAGATGTATTTTTTTAATAAGCAGATTGGCAATTATTCCAGTTTCAAGACCGGGGGAGAAAAAAACTTGTGCGCACACTCACGATTTTGCAGCTTACAGAAATAAGGATTGAATTGTGGAAGCAAGAAAAAAACAAAAAAAGATTGAATCATGAATATAAGCCAGGCTGTTAAACAGCAATTACAGAACGACAGCTACCATCCTGATTCCTTTCATATCTGTGCCCATGAGGGTCCCGATATTACAATATGACTACAGGCTTAGCAGTTAGAACTTGATAGCGTTTATGGTTTTAAACAGCTGTAATGTATCTTTTACCAATAATCTGTCAGCCTATTGATTTTGGATGTTGTCTCTTAGATAAAATCTTATCTGGTCAGAAAGCAAATCCCACTGGACCGAAGCCTTCGGCAGCAGGCATCACACTCTTGACAAGGTACTCTCCAAACATGTCCAGCTTTGCTAAGAATATGTTCACATGTTAATACTTCATCAATTCCAATTATGTTGTAGTATAATCACAACTAAAATGTACATCTAATAAATATTTTAAACATGGTTTTAATGTTAATTTACTTTTTCTTCCATGATACGCAAAAACAGTCCCTCTTTGGTTTTGACTTGGCCCCCACTGCGCCGATACTACCTACCTGCACTAGCTATCTCAGACCTTGACCATGGCTTCGTTTGACAGCCAGGAAAAGTACAACCCCAAGAGCTTCAGCATGGCCACCAGTGGCACAGCTGGTTCACAGCACAGCCACAACTGGAACTGGAACCAACTTCACAACCTTTACTGGCAACCAGTGAGTTGTGGCCTCCCTAGAAGAAAACTTCAGTGTAAAGAGGACATAGTCACCAGGGCCTCCCCCACACCTCCTGGGAACTGAGCATGGCTCTTAGGAAAGCATTGGCACAGTTCCTCCCGCTCTGGGTCTCCATCTGGGACCACCTGCCTCTAGAAACCCAGGGCAGGATGTGGTTTGACTCGGACAACTTCTCAGCTTACAAACTCAGGCAAGCCCACTTTGTTTTTCACCCTGACTCCCAGACACATGATATCATCTCTTTGTTAGTCTTCATGAGAAAATCCTGGTGGTCCCAGAGGAAGTATGACAATAATGAAAAGCTCTCCTTCATGACGAGCAAAATAGACAGCTAAGAGCAAAAACGGGCTGACTTCATACACCTCATTCCACAAATAACTGTGTGTTTGTGTGACTTTTGTGCTAGTACATGTTGTGACTACACATTAAAGAGACTTTCACATCTTCACCTTCACTCTCCCTGAACTCTCCTCAAGAATTTATCTCATCTCCCTCAGTGGCATAAAGATGATGAAATTTACCCCTTAGCCTGCGAGTGGGGCAATATACTATTTCATATCCCTTTGTGAGTTAAGAAGCTAAAGTGAAACAAAATGTCTTCTGGGTAGCCCTAAAGATGTACTGCCCATATGTTCCTTCAAGAAAGAACTTGGCCAGCATAGTGGCTCACACCTGTAATCCCAGCACATTGGGAGGCTGAGGCAGGAGGATTGCTTGAGCCCAGGAGTTTGAGACCAGCCTGGGCAACATAGTGAGACCCCGTCTCTACAAAAAAAAAAAAAAAAAAAATAGCTGGGGCTGGGCATGGTGGCTCATACCTGTAATCCCAGCACATTGGGAAGACAAGGTGGGCGGATCACCTGAGCTCAGGAATTCAAGACCAGCTTGGGCAACATGGTGAAACCTTGTCTCTACAAACAATACAAAAATTAGCCAGGTGTGTTAGTGCACGCCTGTAGTCCCAGATACTCAGGAGGCTGAGGAAGGAGAATCGCTTGAGCCCGGGAGGCGGAGGTTGCTGTGAGCCAAAATCGCACCACTGCACTCCAGCCTGGGTGAAAGAGAGAGACTCTGTCTCAAAAGACAACAACAAAAAATTAGCTAGATGTGGTGGTACGCGCCTGTAGTCCCAACTACTCAGGAGGCTGAGGTGGGAGGATCACTTGAGCCTTGGAGGTCGAGGCTGCAGTGAGCCATGATCGCGCCACTGCACTCCAGCCTGGGCAACAGAGTGAGACCCTGTCTCCAAAAACAAACAAAAAAAAAGAAGAAGAAGAAGAAGAAGAAGAAGAAGGAAAGAACTAACTTGCACCTTTGGAATCTGCCTCAGCTTTCTTTCTAGCAGAGGCCATGCTCTCGCTGAGGAGCCAACAGCTGGTCACTAATCTGGGGAGTGCAGTCCTAGAGCCTGGCCATTTCTGCCCATTTCTTTTTTTTTTTTTCCAGCCTTACTGAGGTATGATTGACAAAGAAAAATTGTATTAATATAAGGTGTACAACATGATGATCTGACATATATATACACCGTGAAATGACGATCACAATCAAGCTAATTAAGAGACTCATCACCTCACAGAGTTCCCTTTTTGTAATAAGAACACGCAAGAGTTACTCTCAAATTTTAAGTATGTAATGCATGATTATTAACTCTAGTTACCGTGCTGCACAGCAGGTCTCCAGAACTCGTCTTGTAATTGCAAGTTTGTGCCCTTTGGCTAGCATCTCCCCTTTGCTTTCATGGAGCAATTTTTGTCCAGAAGCCCCCTGTTAGGCTGGCCAGGACAGACTGGCATCACCACCTGAGGCTCTCCCTGCCCTGCTCCTCTGCTCTCTCATCCTTCAAGGGTGTTATCCCCCCAGCCCCCAAACAAACCTCCTCTACTCCTAACTCCATCTCAGCATCCGAATCCTACAGTACCAAACTGCTAAACACCATCTAAGTATTTCTCCAGTGTCTTGGAGTGGCTTAATACTGATATTAATAGCTAATATTTGTTGACAAATTAATATTTACCAAGTTGCTCTAAATGCATGATTTCACATCACAGGGTGACAGGTAAGAAAAGCAGCCATCCTTGCATCAAACAGGAATTGTAGTGCCAGAGGTGGTTCTGTGGTGGGCCTGGGCTGACAGCCGGGCAGCTGTGCAAATTCCTATCTCTAGCCTGGACCTGGCCCCCACACTCCAGACCCACATCCCTACCATGCTTCCCAATGCACAGGACAAAAACCTTAGAGTCATCTCTCCCTCCTTCCTCTCCTGCCACACCCCCAGTCTTACCAGCAAATCCCGTTGGCTGTACTTACAGAAATATCCAGAATCTGACCACTTCTCACCCTCCCACTGCCACCCCCTGGTCTCCCCTGTATTCCTGCAAAGGGCCTCCAAACTGCTCTCCTCGCTTCCACCCTTCCCCCTTGCAGTCTTTTCTCAACACGGCAGCCAGAGGGAACCTGTTAAAACATCTCTGGTCGCATCAGCCTCCCCAGTTACTTCCCATCTCACTCAGAGTCACAAGTCACAAGGCCCTCCCTGATCTGGAGCCCTGTAACCTATGTCCTCTAACCCCTTCTCCTATTGCTCTCCCCTGCCCTCTTCCCTCCGGCAGTGGTGGTGCACTGGTCTCTCTGTTGTTCCTCCAACAAGCCAGGGACACCCTCCTCCATAGGGCCTTTGCACGTGCCGTTCCCACTGCCCGAAGGGCTCTTTCCCCCAGATCCCCACAAAGTTCTTCCTCACATCCTCAAGTCTTGACTTAAATCACCTTTTTCATGAGGCCTTTCCTGGCCTCCCTATCATAAATTGCAATCCCATCCCCAACATTCATCTTCCCCTCCCCTTCTTTCTCCTCCTCAAACATGCTTGCTCCAAGAGACTAGGCCCAGGGTGAGGCTCAACAGGGTCTCTGAGGCCCACATCCTCTCACACTCCACCCCCACTTCTCTCTTCCTCCATCCTTCTTTTCTCCTCCCAACTCTACTTCTGTCATTGGCCCTCCAGTCTCCAGGCCAACCACAGACAGGCCAAGTGATAATGCCTCCTTGGACCTGCTCAAAGCTGGGGGTGGGGCTTCCCCAAATCCCAGCCTCAGACATGACAACAGGATGACAGAGTCTGACCTCCTGAGAAAGAACTGAAACACCTGTAATCTGTCACCCATCACCCATCACCCACAAAGAGCTGGAGAACTGCAGTGTATGGGAAAGTGGTATGGTCCTGGTGGTGGTTATTATTTTTTTAATTTAATGGAAAACAACAAGGACAAGAGTTAGAAATCCTAAAAAATACTAATGCTGAGACTCACAATCAGAGATAAAGATGAGACTAAGATGCAGCCTGGGCATCGGGATTTTTAAAGCTCCTTGGGCGATACTTGTGTGCTGCCAAGGTTGAGACCCATTGGAGATTTTTTTTAATTTTTATTTTGAAGTAATTATCTACTCACAAGAACTTACAAAAACGGTGCATGGAGTCCCATAAACCCTTCACTTAGCTTCCCTCAGTGATGATATATGACTATAGTACAATATCAAAACAAAAAAATTGACATTGGTACAATACTGTTCACTACAGACCTTATTCCGTTTTCATCAGTCATTCCATACACTGATTTGTGTGTAACTCTTTGCAACTTGATCCAATGTGTAGATTTGCACAAATCTACACACTGGATCACAATCAATATACAGTCAAGATACAGAACTATTCCATCTTCAAAAGGAACTCCCTCATGCTACCCCTTTATTGTGGTACCAGTCTTCCCCACACCCTGTCATTGTCCCTTGGCATCCAGTAATCTGCTCTCCAAGTCTATAGCTTTGTCATTTTGAGAATGTAATATAAATGAAATCATACAGTGTGTAACATCTTAGGTTGGCTTTGTTCACACAGCACGATGCCCCTGAGATCTATCTAAGTTGTTGTGTGTATCCGAGTTCATTCTGTTTTATTGCTGAGTAGTATTCCATGGTATGGTTGGACCGGAACTTGTTTAACCATTCATCCACTCAAAGACAATTCAAGATATTTCCAATTTGCAATTATTACAAATAAAGCTGCTATGAACATCTGTGTACAGGTTTTTCTGTGAACTTAAGTTTTTATTTCTCTGGGATGAGTGTCCAAAAGTATAACTGCTGCATCCTATGGGAAGCACATAGTTCTATAACAAACTGCCAAACTATTTTCCAAACTGACTGAACCACTTTTCATTCCCACCATCAATATATGAGAGAACCAGTTTCTCTGCAACCTTGCCAGCATTTGGTGTTATCACCATTTTTAATTTAGCCATCCTAATGGCCATTCTAATAGATACATAGTAATTTCTTGTTGTGGTTTTAATTTGCATTCCTCTAATGACTAATGATGTTGGACATCTTTTCATGTGCTTATTTTACATCTGCATACTCTCTTCAGTGAATGTCTGTTCGTGTATTTCACCCATTTTCATTAGATTGTTTTGGTTTCTTACTGTTGCATTTTGAGAGCTCTACACATTCTAGATACAAGTCCTTTGTCAGACATGTGGTTTGCAAATATTTCCTCCCAGTCTGTAACCTATCTTTTCATCCTCTTCACATTTTGATGAAGTCTAATTGATCTTTTTTTATTTAATAGATTGTGTTGGCCAGGTGTGGTGGCTCACACTTGTAATCCCAGTACTTTGGGAGGCCAAGGCAGTGGATTACTTGAGTCTAGGAGTTTGAGACCAGCCTGGGCAACATAGGGAGACTCCATCTCTACAAAAAATACAAAAAATTAGCCAGGCGTGGTGGCTCACACCTGTAGTTCCAGCTACTTGGGAGGCTGAGGCACAAGGAGCACTTGAGCCTGGGAGGTCGAGGCTGCAGTGAGCTGAGACTGTGCCACTGCACTCTAGCCTGGGCAACGGAGCAAAAACAAAAAAGATTTTGTTTTTGGTATGATATCTAAGAACTCTTCACCTAGGCCTAGGTCCCCAAAATGTTTGCCTATGTTTAATTCTAACACTTTTATAGTTTTATGTTTTACATTTAAATCCATGATCCGTTTTGAGTTAATTTTTTAATAAGATGTTAGATTTAGGCCGAGTTTCACTTTTTTTGTCTATGGATGTCCAAATACTCCAGTATCATTTGTTGAAAAGGCTATCCTTCCTCCATTGAATTGCTTTTGCCCTTTTGTCAAAAAGTCACTTGGGCATATTTGTGTAGGTTTATTTCTGGGTTCTCTAGTCCGTTCCTTTATCTATATGTGTATTCCTGTGTCAATACTAGACTGTCTTGATTACTATAACTATTAAAGTTAACTCATAAAATTGGGTAGATTCCTATTTTGCTCTTCTTTTTCAAAATTGTTTTCAAAATGTTTTGACTATTGTAGTTCTCCTGATTTCTTTTATAAATCTTAAAATAAACTAGTCTATAGCTACAAAAAAAAATCTTGCTGGAATTTTGATAGAAATTGCATTAGATCTACAGGTTAATTTGGGGGAATCAACATCTTAACCACACTGACTCCAGTCCATGAATATGGTATGTCTCTCCATTTATTTAGATCTTCTTTGAATACTATTAACAACATTTTGTTGTTTTCAGCATGCACATCCTGTACATGTTAAGTTTATACCTAAGTATAGTCATATGCTACATAACATTGTTTTTGTCAATAATAGACAACATATACGTCAATGGTCCCCATAAGATTATAATACCATACTTCTATTGTATTAAGTACATTTTTTATATTTATATATGGTTTTGTTTTTGTTTTTTTGAGACAGTATTGCTCTGTTGCCCAGGCTGGAGTACAGTGGTGAGATCTCAGCTCACTGCAACCTCCGTCTCCCAGGTTCAAGCGATTATCGTGCCTCAGCCTCCTGAGTTGCTGGGATTACAGGCACAGGCAACCATGCCCAGCTCATTTTTGTATTTTTAGTAGAGACAGGGTTTCACCATGTTGGCCAGGCTGGTCTCGAACTCCTCACCTCAAGTGATCCACCCACCTTGGCCTCCCAAAATGCTGGGATTACAGGTGTGAGCCACAGTGCCCAGCCAATATTTAGATATGTTTAGATATGCAACTACTTACCATTGTGTCGTAACTGCCTACAGTAACATGCTGTGCAGGTTTGTAGCCTAGGAGTGATAGGCCATACAATATGGCTAGGTGTGTAGTAGGCTATATCACCTACGTTTGTATAAGTATACTACTCTATGATGTTCACACAACAACAAAATCACCTTACAATGCATTTCTGAGAACATATCCCTGTTGTTCAGCAATGCATAACTGTATTTCAATTCTTTTGGGAGAGACTGTACATGGCATTGTGTTTTTAATTTCAGTTTCCATATGTTCATTGCTAGTATCTAGAAATATTAAATTGTGTGTTTGATCTTATATCCTGTGACCTTACTGCACTCACTTATTCTAGGAGTTACTTGGTAAATTCTTGGGATGTTCTACTGGAGAATCACGTCATCTGCAAATAAGATGTTATTCTTCCTTTCCAATTCATATGTCTTTTATTTTTTTCTCAACTAGTTGCTCTAGCTAGGACTTCCAGTATTACGTTGAATGAGACTGGTAAGAGCAGACATTCTTACCTTATTTCCCCATTCTCAGGGGGAGAGTATACAGTCTTTCACCATTAAATATGGTGCTAACTGCAGCATTTTTGTAGATGCTCTTTATCAAGTTGGGGGAATTCCTCTCTATTCCTAGTTTGCTGAGAGTTTTTATCATGAATGGCGTTGAATTTTGTCAATTTTTTTCATCAATTGATCTGATTATGCGATTTGATTTTTTCTCCCATAGCGTGTTGATATCATGGATTACACTGATTGATTTCCAAACACTGAAGTGGCCTTGCACATCTGGAATAAACCCCACTTGGTCATAGTATATAATTTTTTTTATAAGTTGCTGGATTGTTTTGCTAATACTTTGCTGAGGACTTTTGTGTCTATGTTCTTGAGGGACACTGGCCTGCAGTTTTCTTTGTTGCACTATCTGGTTTTGGTATTAAGGTAATACTGGCCTCATAAAATGAATTGGGACACATTCCCTCCTCTTCTATTTTCTCGAAAAGATTATGCAGAATTGGTGCTAATTCTTTAAATGTTTGGTGGAAATTATGACGAAAAACCTCTAGGCCTGGAGATTTCTTTTTTGGAAGCTTTTACATGACAAATTCAATTTCTTTAACAGTTAGTTATAGGACTATTGACATTATTTCACTTTGGGTAAGTTTTGGTAGTTTGTAGTTTTCAGGGAATTGGTTCATTTCATCTAAGTTGTCAAATGTATGTACATATAATTTAGTATTCGCTTATTGTCCCTTTAATAGCTGCAGAATCTGTAATGATATCACCTGTTTTATTCCTACTATGCTAATTTGTGTCTTTTTCATCTTTGCCTGTCTTCTTAGAGGTTTACCCATTTTATTGATCTTTTTATTTATTTATTTTGAAATAGGATCATATTCTGTCACCCAGGCTGGAGTGCAGTGGCACAATCACAGCTCACTGCAGCCTCAACCTCCCAGGCTTAAGTAATCCTCCCACCTCAGCCTTTTGAGTAGCTGGGACCACAGGCATGCACCACCACGTCCAGCTAATTTTTTGATTATTATTATTATTTTTTGATTGGCGAGATAGTGTCTTGCTATGCTGCCCAGGCTGGTCTCAAAGTCCTGGGCTCAAGTGATCCTCCCACTCCCGCTTCCCAAAATGCTGGGATTTCAAACATGAGCCACTGTACCCAGCCTATTGGTCTTTAAAGAACTGGCTTTTTCATTGATATTCTCTGTTGTTTTTCTGTTTTCACCTTCAATGATTACTGCTCTTATCTTCATTATTTCCTTCTTCTGGTTGTTTTCGGTTTATTTCACTTTTTCTAGTTTCTTGAGGTAGGACCTTAGATTATTGATCTGAGAACATTCCTCCATTCTAATGTAAACTTTAGTGCTATAAATTTTCCTCTCAGTACTGCTTTAGCTGGGTCCCACACATTTTAATATGTTGTATGTTCATTTTCATTCAGTTCTATGTGTTTGTTTAATCTTTTTGAGACTTCTTCTTTGACCTGTGGATTATTTAGAAGTGTGTGATTTGATTTCCAAGTGTTTGGAGATTTTCTGATCTTTCCATTACTGACTTCTAGCTTAATTACTTATGGTCAAAGAACACCTTTTTTATTATCTCAATTCCCTTAAATATATTGAGGTTAGTTTTATGACCCAGGATATGGTTTAACTTGGCAGATATTTCATGGGTACTTGAAAAAAATGTGTTTTGTGCTGTTTCTGTGTAGGATATTCTGTAAACATCAATTACAACTTCTTGGTTGATTATGTTGTTCAGGCCTTCTATACCCTTGCTGATTTTCTGTTTAGTAATTCTGTCAAGTGCTGAGAAAGAGATGCTAAGTTGCCAACTATAACTGTGTACTTGTCTATTTTCTAGTTCTATCAGTTTTTGCTCCATATATGTTGCAGCTCTGTTGCTTGGCCCATACACATTTAGGACTGCTACGTCTTCTTGGTGGAATGACACTTTTATCATTGTGTAATGTCCTTCTTTGTCCCTGGTAATTTTCTTTGCTCTCTGGTCTACCCTATCTGATATTATATGTAGCCACTCCTGCTTTTTTAAAATTAATACTTGCATAGTATGTATTTTCCAACTTTTACTTCCAACGTGCCTATATCAATATATTTGAAGTGAGTTTCTTACAAACAGCATATAGTTGAGTCAAGTTTTTTTTTTTATCTATCATCTCTGTTTTTTAATTGGTATATTTAAAACACATATTGACATGTTAGGACTTACACCTGCCATTGTATTATTTGTTTTCTGTTTGTTCACTCTGTTTTTCATTGTTTCCTTTTTCTTGTCTTCCTGTGGGTTACTTGTACATTCTTTAGAATTTCCTTTTATATATAGGCAGTTTTAGTATATCTCTTTGTACAGTTATACTTTTAGTGATTTTTAGAGTATTTTAGTTATTACAATATACATATGTAACTTGTCACAGACTACTTCGATCAACATTTTCCTATTTCAGTGAAGTGTAAAAACCTTACTTCCAGTTAGGTTCTTTTACATCCTCCCCACCTCTTAAATATAATTTTCTTGCATATTACCTCAATATATATTGGATACCACACCAGATGATCTAATTTTTGCTTCAACCATCAAACATGTTTTTAAAAATTAATGATACAAGCCGGGCACAGTGGCTCACACCTGTAATCCCAGCACTTTGGGAGGCCAAGGCGGGTGGATTACCTGATGCCAGGAGTTTGACACCAGCCTGGCCATCATGGTGAAACCCCGTCTCTACTAAAAATACAAAAATTAGCCAGGCATGGTGGTGCACATCTGTAATCCCAGCTACTCAGGAGACTGAGGCAAGATAATCACTTGAACCTGAGAGGCAGAGATTGCAGTGAGCCAAGAATGTGCCACTACACTCCAGCCTGGACAACAGAGCAAGATTCCGTCTCAACAACAACAACAGAAAAAAATTAATGACACATACCCTATACTTGGCCTACTATACATACTCCCTATTTTTACCCATTTGCTATTTTCTCCTTTCTGAAATTCCAAAGTTTCTTCTGTTACCATTTCTTTTATGTTTAAAAAACTTTTTTTTTTCTGAGATGGAGTCTCACTCTGTCGCCCAGGCTGGAGTGCAGTGGCATGATCTCGGATCACTGCAAGCTCCCCCTCCCAGGTTCACGCCATTCTCCTGCCTCAGCCTCCCGAGTAGCTGGGACTACAGGCGGCCGCCACTATGCCTGGCTAATTTTTTTGTATTTTTAGTAGAGATGGGGTTTCACCGTGTTAGCCAGGATGGTCTCCATCTCCTGACCTTGTGATCCGCCCATCTCAACCTCCCAAAGTGCTGGGATTACCGGCGTGAGCCACCGTGCCCAGCCTAAAAAACTTTCTTTAGGCATTATTTAAGGATAGGTCTGCTATTGATAAATTCTCTTAGTGTTCCTTCATCTGAGAATGTTTTCATTTTCTCTTCATTCCTTAAGGATATTTTCACCAGACAAAGAATTCAGAGTTAATCTTTCTTTTCTTTCAGCCCATGAAAATGTTGTACACTTCCTTCTGGACTCCATTATTTTACAGGAGAAATTCATTGTCATTCAAATCATTCTTCCTTGTAAGTATATGTCATGTCTCTCTTGCTGCATTTTCTTTGCCTTTCATTTTTAGAAGCTTGATTAGTATGTATCTTGGCATAGATTTCTCTAGGTTTATCCTGTTTAGGTTTTGCTCAGCTTCTGAATTCTGAAGATTTATGCTTTTTGCCAAATGTGGTGAGTTTTCAGTCATCATTTCGTTCAATATTGTTTATTATCATAACCTTCTTTTCTCCTTCTGGAATTCTGATGACCCAAATGTTAGATCTGATGTTATTATCCCATAGGCCTCTAAGGCTCTGTTCATTTTTTACAGACTATTTTCTATCTGTTGTTCAGACTAAGTAAGTTTCATTGATCTATTTTCAAGTTCACTGATTCTTTCCTCTGTCATCTATTATTGAGCTCATCTGGTGAGCTTTTTAACTTGTTTATTTTTTGGTTCAATAACTTCCATTTTTAAAAAACCTATTGATTTGCTGAGATTTTCTAATTTTTCATTTGTTTCAAGAGTGTTTGGAATTGCTTATTAAGGCAATTTTATGACAGATGCTTTAAAACCTTTGTCAGATAATTCCAACATCTGAGTCTTCTCAGTATTAATATCTGTTGATTGGCTTTTCTCATTCGAGTTGTGATTTTCCTGGTTCTTGGTATGACAAGTGATTGTTTAAATTGTACCTTGGGCACTTGGGTTATTATCTTACAAGACTCTAGATACTATTTAAATTTTAGCTGGCATTAACCCTATTGAGGCTAAGTACGCACATCCTGGGCTATTTTCGTTGGCTGCAGTTTTAACGATAGTTTGATTTCAGAGCCCTTGCAGTACTATTCTGGTCTGCTTCATCTCTGTTACTTAGAGGTCATTCTGAAAACCTGGGTGATATTCTGTGTTAAAGTTTCTATTGCTAAACTTTTTGGCATGTTTGTTCTAGTCAGATTCACATGCAGGTGGGTTAGGAGTTGTTTGCCCAGGACTTCCAATGCAGGCAGGGAATATTCCTTTAATTAATTCCTTTCTTCAGCTCCCTCCTCTCCAAGATTTTCCCCATTCTCTAGTGGGGAGGGGGAGCTGCCTACCACTGCTGAGTGGGAGGATGGGGATGGAAGTCCAGAATCCCCAGTCAGTCTCCACTGACGACATTCCAGCAGAGGAGGGAATGCTGCCATGGGTTATCTAAAACGACACCCATTTTTTATCTCACAGTTCTGTAGGTCAAAAGTCCCGATAGGCTCAACTGGATTCTTTGTTCACTCAAGGTCTCACAGGCCAATATCAAGATGTGAATAGGCTAGACTTTTATCTGGCGGCTTGGAAGAATAACCCACTTCCAAATTCACTCAGGTTGTTGGCACAATCCAGCACCTTGCGGCCGTAGGTCTGAGGTCTCCATTTCTTTCCTGGCTGCCAGCCAAGGTCTACTCTCTGCTCCTATAGGCTGCCCATTTCCTTCTTACATGACCCCTCCCTCTTCAAAGCAGCAAGTCCTCCTCTGACTTTCTCTTCTGCCACTAGACAGGAGAAAGTTCTCTGCTCTTAAGGACTCATGTTAGGCCCACCTGGATCACCTCCCTGTTTAAAGATCAATTGTGCCATATAACATAACAAAATCACTGGAGTGATAGCTCATCACATGTAGAAGTTGTGGGGACTTAAGAGTAGAATCTTGAGGACCATTGCTAGAAATTGTGCCTATCTCACTACCACCAGGTATAGAGTGGGATGGAGAATCACTGAGTACAGAAGTTCCGCAATTAGAATGTATTAATTCTCTTTGGTTTTTTTTGTTTTTTGAGATAGTCTCACTCTGTTGCCCAGGCTGGAGTGCAGTGCCACAATCTCGGCTCACTGCAACCTCTGCCTCCCAGGTTCAAGCGATTTTTGTGCCTCAGCCTCTGAGTAGCTGGGACTACAGGCATGGACCACCACGCCTGGCTACTTTTTGTATTTTTAGTAGAGACAGGTTTCATCATGTTGGCCAGTCTGGTCTCGAACTTCTGACCTCAAGTGATTCGCCCGCCTTGGCCTCCCAAAGTCCTGGGATTACAGGTGTTAGCCACCACACCCAGCCAGAATGTATTAATTCTAATGGACTTAAATCAAGCACTGTTTACATAGCACTATGTTCTTTGTGTATTTGTAGTAAACTTTTACAATAATTTCCAGCATGATTGTGTTTACTTACATATTCACTAATATAGCTATTAATACTTTATCCATAAAGCTACTTTAGAAATAAGATGAAAATATTTTCTAATTGAAGTCACCAGCTACCAATTCATGTTCTTGAGAAAAGAAACTAGAATTAAAAACATGGTACTGCCCTATCGGTACCATTGTGCAAAATGAATGCCCAAGCTTTAGATCAAGCAGCAGAATCACCTGAACTTTTTAAAAGATTCTAAGGCTTCTATCCCTACTCCTGCCCCCAAAACAAAATTCTGATGACGTAGTGCACCTGGAGCAGGACCAGGTTAGAGACACACTGACATGGAGTCGCTGTGGGAGCCCCAAGCTTAACAAGTTTAAATATCCAGTAATGATCACGGTGATATCTCAGATGGTTTAGATTTTGATCTGGTAGAAAGCTAAGGGTTAAAACACATGATCTTAAAGTCCCTTTCCAAGCTAAGATTCGATAATCTTGCCATTAAGAAAATAAGATTCCATTATGCATAATCACCACGATCAACTCAGTCAGGCGATTAAAACTCACTGAGGTCACAGCTCTCCCTGAGTCACAAGACCGCCCCCCTCCACCACATTTTCTGCACTACAACAGTTACAAAGCCTGAAGAAACCACCAAATGATGTGGGTTCTTATTGGTAACACACTTGTACTTAATTACTCCAGACCCTACTTGGAATAACATTTCTCACAACAGAATCTAACAGGTTCCAGTTGTTAGTTTTAGAAATTGTTTTTCTGAAAGAAAACTGTATGTTTAAAGTTTCAAGAATAATTTGAGCTGGAATTGGTTGGTTTTGAGGGCCCCGTGGATGGGGAACAATTGGATAGTCACACATCTTGATTATTTACCACTGATAGAAAAGACAGTCAAACTCCTAGAAAGCATAGCCTGCTGAACACTGCAAAACAACGTGTGCTTACAAATTAATAATAACGAAATATTTTCCCTAATTGCCTTAATTTCAGAATTTGTAGGAAAAAACAACACAAGCCCATAAATCCAGGCAAAGGTTGTTCTTTTGAGTTGAAAGGGCCAACTTTTGAAGAGAATTATTTAAAATGCAGACAGAAATAAGTTAAATACCATGATTCCACCTGAATGGACACTTGGGGAAGGCATAATACAGCAGACAATAATGGTGAGGAGCACAGTCCTGTCAGGACAATTCAGACACCCAGATAATGCTGCCCGCTTGAGCTCAGGTTGCAGAGCTGGTTGGCCTAGATTCTAATGCTCTCTTTGCTCCTCACTAGTTTGTGTGACTGTGAGTATGGCTTTTAACACTGATATGCCTCAGTTACCTGTCATAGAGTGGTAGAAGAATTTGATGAGATAAAAAAGCATGGAAAGGGGCTGGGCACGGTGGTTCATGCCTGTAGTCCCGGCACTTTGGGAGGCTGAGGCAGGTGGATTGCTTGAGACCAGGAATTTGAGACCAGACTGGCCAAGATGGCAAAACCCTATCTCTACTAAAAATACAAATATCAGCCAGGCGTGGTGGTGCACGCCTGTAATCCCAGCTACTCCAGAGGCTGAGGCACGAGAGCTGTTTGAACCTGGGAGGTGGAGGTTGCAATGAGCCCAGATTGCACCACTGCATTCCAGCCTGGGTGACAGAGTGAGACTCAATCTCAAAAAACAAACAAACAAAAAAACATGGAAAGGGCTTGGCCTCCTTCCTACCTGGCATACAGTAAGGGCTCAACAAATTTTAGTCACTGTACACAGACAGACATGGGTAGATTATACATACAATGCCAGGCAGCCAGTAAGCCTTGAATAGAATGCAGCCATTATTACTCCATAAAGTAACACAGCCATCAGGGCCAAAAAGCTAACTGTAGGTTCATTTAGCACATTCTAACAGTTGCTGGATGAATTCAGCCAGAAACTTCTCAAGTGGCATTTTAATCCAGAACATCTTTACAGAATATCTTTGTAGAACAATGTTTAAAGCACAGAATTCCCAAAGGCAGGTCATAGGAGCTAAAACTATCATCCTCTAGAAGTTACATTTGTGACAATATTCCATTCAGTCCATCTCATTTGAGTTTATATCCTCTGGTGCCTAACACACAGCAGATGCCCACATGCCCAAGGACACCAGGACTAAATGTTGTGAGCAAGATGAGGCTCTGCACATTATAATACATACCTGGACAGGGCACGGTGGCTCCTGCCTATAACCCTGGCATTTTGGGAGGCCAAAGCGAAAGGATCACTTGAGCCCAGGAGGGCAACCAGCGTGGGCAACATAGTGATACCCCCATCTCTACAAAAAATTTAAAAAAAAAAAACAGGTTAGGTGGTTACATGTGTATAGTCCCAGTTACTCGGGAGGCTGAGGTGGTAGAATCACCTGAGCCTGGGAGGTTGAGGCTGCAGTGAGCCATGATCATACCACTACACTCCAGCCTAGGCTATGGAAGGAGACACTGTCTCTAAATAACATAACATAACATAACATAACATAACATAACATAACATAACATAACATAACATAACATAACACACCCAGAAAAATTACTGCTACCTTGTGAAGAGAGACAAACATCTTGAAAACAATCATCCATATAATTCACAAAATTAATGGCCCTTGAGTTTAAAGTTTAAAGAAAAGTGAAATATGATTAAAGAGGTCCATGTCAGGGTCTTTGAATGTAGAACAGTAACCTGAAAATCTCTACTTTATGACACTTGTTGAAGTAGATTTGTGATCCCTTCATAAATCAAGAAGAACAAAGTAACTGTGAGCTTTATCTTGGAGTGGTACAATTAGGCAAAATACTGGCCTTTCGCCTCATGGATCAAAAAAGAACAGCCACATTCACCAACCACTTTAAACAAATATCAAAATGGGCTCTAAATGTGCCAAAGAGAGATCTAAAACACCTAGCAAATGAAAGCTGAGGCCACGGCAAGTGAGCTGAGAATGGTTATGCTCAGCACACATAGGACATGCAAGCTGCAAGTGTACACACTTCACCCATCAACAATTGGGCAGGCAGAGGGGAAAATGTACTTTTGCCGAACACATACAAAAACAGGCAGAGAAAACAGCTTACTTCCTCACAGACAGAGTCAGATAAATTTAAAGATCAACAAGCATATTCTTTTAACCCCTATCATAGCTTCCTGCCTTCCACATGTCTATCTGTGAGCTACAAAATGTTGAGGGCCTGTGTCCTGTTGAACTTTATCAAATGTCCCCTAACAGACAAATGTCCCCTAAAAGAGCAGGCAGACACATGCACATCAGCCCGAGCTATAGTTTCAAGGCTTTTTTTCTTTTAAAATTCATTTGAAAATGAATAGCTGTGGGTCCCTTCCAGGAGAACTCAGAAGAAAAGGCTGCTTATACATGCTTTGCTTGACTAAAGAACAATGTTGTCTGGATCTGAGGGTAAGGTTTTAAAAGGAAGATACTGGTAGTTAAATCCAACATGGGAAAATTAACCCCTGTGAAAGAGTCCACATCTACCTGAAATAGGTGACTGGCTTTCTGTTTTAGGTAGCAGTCTGAGGTCCCAGAAGTGCAGTCTTTTTTTTTTTTTTTTTTTTTTTTTTCATTAAATGACTTTAAGATATCATCCTAGTTTTTCCTATTATTGTACCCCATATTATGGTCTGTCATGGTCTGTTAAACAAAAAAACAAACAAACAAACAAACAAACAAACAAACAAAAAACCCAAAACTTAGAAACTAGGCAAAAAAGATGATCATGTGACCTTTTAATGTCATGCTATTGCATTTTTAATAAACACTCCCCCCCATCCCCCGCCAGGAGGGTCACCTGACTCTGAAAATGTAACTTGATTTAACTAACACTACTAGGATATTTTACAATCCTATAAAAGTCAGAAGATAATGTAGAAAAATGATAAGGTATGCTGTTTTCTCTTTTTTCTTTTCTGGTAGAGATGATAACCCCAAAGGTAAAGATTTTATTGTTCTCTAAGACATGAACCAGTTTTGAACCTAACTTAGCAATCTTATTTGAACATTCCTTTTTCCACTGAGGTTTTTTTTTTTTCCACTGAGTTCCTCATATCCTCACTGAGCTTGTTTTGTTATTCTGCTAGTTCCCTCATTAAATAAGTTCAACGAAACTTTGACACATGTTCTTTGTATGTTTTTAACAATATAATAGGCCTGGCATAGTGGCTCATACTTGTAATCCCAACACTTGGGCAGGCCAAGGCGGGAGGATCACTTGAGCCCAGGAGTTCAAGACCAGCTGAACAACATAGCAAGACCCGCCCAGGCACGGTGGCCCACGCCTGTAATCCCAGCACTTTGGGAGGCTGAGGCGGGCGGATCACTTGAGCGCAGGAGTTGGAGACCAGCCTGGGCAATATGGTGAAACCCCGTCTATACAAAAAATACAAAATAATTACCCAGGTGAGGTGGCATATACCTGTGGTCCTAGCTACTTGGGAGGCTGTGGCAAGAGGATCACTTGAGCCCAGGAGTTTGAAGCTACAGTGAGCTATGATCCCACCCCTGCACTCCAGCCTGGGTGGCAGAGCAAGACTGTCTAAAAAAAATAAAAAAATAAATTAAAAATCAGTCTTTGTCAGTTCCTGGGGCCCAATAATCAAATCATCACTGGGAGATTGGGTTCTGTGCATCAGGACGCCTCACCAGTTATATTCATAGGTGGCTACATTATGACAAGATTCAGGCTGATTAGCTAAATTGACTAGTGTGGCGCAAATGAGGCTTCAGGCACAGGTATGGCACCTCCTCCCCTCACCCAATGGAAGCCACAACTTTACACAGAGAAAAATCTACAGGTTGAAAGTCAGTGACAGCAGCAATTCCACTCTTACATGTGTGCATATGCAAGAGCAATTAGTGCTAATGTCCATAAGACAACATACAAGAATGTTCAGAGCCTCTATCAATAAAATCCTCAAACTGGAAACAACCCAAATATCCATCAACAAAATATTAAACAAATTATGGGATATTCATCATAATGGGATACTACACAGCAAGAACAAAGTACCGATGTACGCAAAAACATTTTGTTGTGCACCAGTCATATATAAAAGAACATATATTGTATGACTCCATTTATACAAAATTCTAGTACAGGCAAAACTAATGTATGATGATCAATTTCCTAGGGGGAGAGGAATCATTGGGAAAAGGCTTGGTGGAACTGTCTGTTCTTTTTTTTTTTTTCTTTAATGAAAGCAAATTTATTAAGAAAGTAAAGGGGCTGGGCGCAGTGGCTCATGCCTGTAATCCCAGCAATTTGGGAGGCCGAGGCAGGCGGATCACAAGGTCAAGAGATTGAGATCGTCCTGGCCAACATGTGAAACCCTGTCTCTACTAAAAATACAAAAATTAGCTGGGCATGGTGGCACGCACCTGTAGTCCCAGCTACTCGGGAGGCTGAAGCAAGAGAATCCCTTGAACCCGGGAGGCAGAGGTCGTAGTGAGCCGAGATCTCCCCACTGCACTCCGTCTCAAAAAAAAAAAAAAAAGAAGAAGAAGAAAGTAAAGGAATAAAAGAATGGCTACTCCACAGGCAGAGCAGCCCCGAGAGCTGCCTGGAGCTGCTGGTTGCCCATTTTTATGGTTATTTCTGGATTATATGCCAAACAAGGGGTGGATTATTCATGAGCTTTCCAAGAAAGGGGTGGGCAATTCCCGGAACTGCGAGTTCCTCCCCTTTTTAGACAGTATAGGGTAACTTCCTGTCATTACCATGGCATCTGTCAACTGTCATGGCACCGTTGGGAGTGTAGCAGTGAGGATGACCAGAGGTCACTCTCATCACCATCTTGTTTTTGGTGGGTTTTAGCCGGCTTCTTTACTGCAACCTGTTTTATCAGCAAGGTCTTTATGATCTGTATCTCGTGCTGACCTCCTATCTCGTCCTGTGACTTAGAATGCCTAACTGTCTAGGAATGCAGCCCAGTAGGTCTCAGCCTTATTTTACCTAACCCCTATTCAAGATGCAGTTGCTCTGGTTCCAACGACTCTGACATTTCCCCCTTCCTTTTTATAGGCATGCTGGAACTTTCTAGAGGGATAGAAATAGCATTGATCTGGGTGGTGGTTATAGAGGTACGCACTTACGTAGAAACAAAAAAAAAAAAATCATCAAGCCATAGACATATGACTTATGCATTTTACTCTACATAAATTTCACCTTAAAAATGAATACTTTTGTAAAGGGGAGGGATAAAGAAAAATGTATTCCAAAATAAGTGGGTGGGGGCCAGGCATAGTGGCTCATGCCTATAATCCCAACACTTTAGGAGGCCAAAGTGAGAGGACTGCTTGAGCCCAGGAGTTCAAGACCAGCCTAGGCAACATAGTGAGACCCTGTCTCTACATAATTTTTTTTTTTTTAATTAGCCAGGTGTGGTGGCTCACACCTGTGGTCTCAACTACTCAGGAGGCTGAGGTGGGAGAATTGCTTGAGCCCAGGAGTTTGAGGCTACAGTAAGCCGTGATCACGCCACTGCACTCCAGCCTACGTGACAGAATGAGACCCTGTCTCAAAAAAAGACATGGGTGGGGAGAGAGAGAAAGAAAAGAAAGAGAAGGGAGATTTTAAAAGATTCTTCTTCCATATTTACAATAAATAAATAAGGACAAACTAAATAAAAGAGAGACAAACCTAAAAAGGCATGTGGCCTAGCTGGGTACATTTCTGCATAATGAAAAATAGCCCAAGAGCTGACAAAGCACAGGTATCTTCTTAACAATGGGATGGCCTGCTACTCAGTATACCAGGGGAATGGCTGGTATTTTTCTCTTGAGAGACTGAGACAGCACTGAGATGAAGGTGGATACGAATCCCAACACTCTGGAGGACCACGCTCAAATGGGATACTGAATAAGGATCTGCTAAATGAATCAAGAAAATGTTTGGCAGGGCATGGTGGCTCACGCCTGTAATCCCAGTATTCTGGGAGGCCGAGGCGGGAGGATCACTTGAGGCCAGAAGTTCAAGACCAGCCTGGGCAATATAGCAAAACCCCATCTCCACTAAAAATACAAAAATTAGCCATGTGTGGTGGTGTGCACCTATAGTCCCAGCTAGTCAGGAGGCTGAGGTGGGAGGATCACTTGAGCCTAGATCGACACTACAGTAAGCTGTGAACATGCCACTGCACTCCAGCCTGGGCAACAGAGTGCAACCCATCTCAAAAAAAAAAAAAAAAAGAAAAGAAAATGCTTAAGGTAGGCTCTCTGACAGTGGTAACATGGACAGAAAGGCATGTGGGTATAAAAATGGGATTCCTGACCGGGTGTGGTGGCTCACACCTGTAATCCCAGCACTTTGGGAGGCCGAGGCAGACGGATCACCTGAGGTAGGGAGTTCGAGACCAGCCTGACCAACATGGAGAAACCCCGTCTCTACTAAAAATACAAAATCAGCCAGGCGTGGTGGCACATGCCTGTAATCACAGCTACTCGGGAGGCTGAGGCAGGAAAATCACTTGAACCCAGGAGGTGGAGGTTGCGGTGAGCCGAGATCACACCATTGCACTCCAGCCTCAACAACAAGGGTAAAACTCCATCCCAAAAAAAAAAAAAGAAAGACATTCCACAAAACTACCCAATTCCATCTGGGGACACATTATTCTTACACTACATAGGACATGCATAAAGCCACTTTCAAAAGTGCACACCTATGCCAATATGATTACTATTACTTAAAGATGCATTTTCAGCTTTTAGAATTCTCTACAGAGTCCTGGTTATTGTTTAACTCCACTGCAACCACCTACTGAATTTTCAATAATAGGCCTAAAACATTTCCAGTGGGTGAAGACTTGAAAATAGACTCAGCCATCTGAAAGAATAGAAGTTTCTTTTTCTGCCAAATGTGACAGCTACAAGTAGCGCAGCCCCAGCCACTCCTGCTACATCCTTTCTGCCCTAGGTAGAGCAAGCATCTCTCAAGAGCATGTCTTCCCCTCCCTGGAAGTGCTCCGGCTGAAACTAGAGGACACCTGAGCAGGTGAGCGCAGGGCAATTCAGGCCCAGAGGAGAGGACCCATTCCCTCACCCAGTGACCAGCACTGTGGCACACTCACTGAGGGGCTGGCCACTGTGCTAAACAATTTCCAGCATTCTCTGGTTTAATCCTCTGAACAGGCCGATGAGGTAGTCGGGTTCTCAAAAGGAAACAGATGGCCCACTCGAATTAGGGTAATCTCAAGTGGGATTAATACTCTTTCACAGGGTGGGTGAGGTATAAAGAAAGCCCAAGGTGGTAGCCAGGGACTCGAAACAAGGAAGCCCCCAGACCTGAAGGAATGAGGAGAGAGGGGTAAGGAGGAAGGTGAGCCTGACTGGAGCAGCCACCCATCCCATGAGAGACACGGCCAGCCCAAAATCCACATGAGCAGGGAGTTGGTGGGATAACCGCCTCCCCCCGCCCCCCAATCTCACTCGCATCCCTCCCTGCCATCTCCCACCAGGGCTTCCCTTGAGCCAAAGCCCATGGGAAGCCACAGGACAGGAGCCTGCTGCCATGCCCACACTGGCCTAGCCCAAAGCAGAGCAGGTGGGGCAATGCGGAGACCTTCTGGTCAAGACATCACCTCCATTTCACAGCAAGGAGTCCTCTCCGAGCAGGGGGAGGGTCAGGTTCCAGCTCTCGCGTGGGCAGTTCCTACACTGCATTTCCCTGCCCTGGTTCCCTCCACAGTCACTGACAGCGCGCCAGCCCTATGCTATGAGCAAATTCCATAGGCTTTCTCAGTGCCTTCCAACTCAGTTCTCTGAATCTGTAGATTTGTGGTTTAAAATCAGGTGACACTAGGCCAACAAGACACATTAAAGGTGTTCAAAATACGACCTACCCTCAAAACTGGAGCTGATGCTGCAGTCCCTTCTCCTTCCCAGGCTCCTCCTCTCTCTTTCCCATGGTCCTCCTCTCCTTCCCACGGTCCTCCTCTCCTTCCCACAGTCCTCCCTCCTTCCCAGGGCCCTCCTCCCTCTTTCCCACAGTCCTTCTTGCCTTCCCACATTCTTCCTTCCTTCCCAGGGTCCCCCTACCTCTTTCCCATGGTCTTTCTCCCCTTCCCACAGTCCTCCTTGCCTTCCCACATTCTTCCTTCCTTCCCAGGGTCCCCCTACCTCTTTCCCATGGTCTTTCTCCCCTTCCCACAGTCCTCCTTCCTTCCCAGGGTCCTCCTCTGTCTTTCCCACAGTCTTCCGCCCCTTCCCACAGTCCTCCTTCCTTCCCAGGGTCCTCCTCCCTCTTTCCCACAGTCCTCCTCACCTTCCCAAAGTACTCCTTCCTTCCCAGGGTCCTCCTCTCTCTTTCCCATGATCCTTCTCCCCTTCCCACAGTCCTCCTTCCTAGGGTCCTCCTCCCTCTTTCCCACCATCCACCTCGCCTTTCCACAGTCCTCCTTCCTTCCCAGGGCCCTCCTCTCTCTTCCCCACAGTCCTGCTCACTTTCCCACAATCTTGCTATCCTTCCCCACAGTCTTCCCTCCTTCCCAGGGTCTTCTCTCTTTCCCACAGTCCCCTTCTGTCATTCCTTCTTCCTTCATCTTCACTCTAACCACTGCCCCTTTTATCTGGAAAAACCCTCTTTCCACACTAGAATGCAGCTCAACTTCAGGGATGCTCCTTTCCTAAAACTGGGGTCTTTGTTGGGATATGCAAAAGAACTCCCATTCACACCTCAACAGAGTCTGTGGTGGCCCAGATGCAGCACTTTCCCACTCTTAAAATGGGAGCGAGCGGCTGGATTCAAGTGTAGTACAGTGGGGGGAAAGCCTATATTCCTACAACTCCAGAAAGCAATGTTTAGCAGCATGTTCCCTACAAAACTCTCCCCAGCCTTCTCACACCAAAGAGAAAAGAAAACAGAAATGCTAGCAGGATCACCCTGAGACAAGATCCTAAAGAAAGATTTAAATAGGTTCCTATTCATTTTCGACTCTGAAAGGGTAGTGACTGGAAGTCCAGTGTCCATCACACATTTTTCATCAACAACTCCTTGTCATAAAAAACCCCTCCCACCCAGCCCTCAGGGCTCCTTTGGCGGGGGTCACCTGCTTCTCTGGGCCCAAGGTTCCCCATACTACCTGCCTCCCTGTATCCAAGGCACAGTCCTCTTAAGTATTATCTGGTAACACGGAGACTACAGCAGGGGACCTGGGGACTTCTGCATGCAGGTCTTCCCACTGAGGACAACCCATTCTTCTGAGAACAATCCATTCTTCTCCAGTATGAGATAGAAAGTTTATGGCAAGGGGACTTCTAGACCTAGTTAATATTTCCCATGAGGAATAGCCTCCAGGTGATCTTTTTCTACCCAACAATTCAAAGTACTACTTACAACTGTGTGGTAATTTATTAATATGAATGAGTTACATTTTTATAATTAACCTGTAGATGACTTCTCCAAAAGGCATAATTTTCAAAACATTACTGAAGAAGTAAGTCTTGTTTAATGCTTCATGGACATAAAGGGGTAAAGGAAAATAATATTGCTCCTATCAAAAAGGCAATATGAGCTGGGCATGGTGGCTCACACCTGTAATCCCAGCACTTTGGGAGGCTGAGGTGGGCGGATCACTTGAGGTCAGGAGTTTGAGACCAGCCTGGCCAATATGGTGAAACCCCATCTCTACTTAAAAAAAAATACAAAAATTAGTCGGGCGTGGTGGCACATGCCTGTAATCCCAGCTACTCGGGAGGCTGAGGCATGAGAATCATTTGAACCTGGGAGGTGGAGGTTGCAGTGAGCTGAGAACAAGATCATGCCACTGCACTCCAACCTGGGCAACAGAGCAAGACTGTCTCAAAAAAAAAAAAAAAAAGGCAATATGAATACAAAGGTGGAAAACATTGCATAATTTGAATTCTATATTCATTCATTCGTTCAAAGCATTCCATAATTTGGATTCTACCTTTACTTATTTGTTTGTTTATTTATTTAGAGACAGGGAGTGCTCTGGCATGATCACGGCTCATTGCAGTCTCAACCTCCTGGGCTCAAGTGATCTTCCCACCACAGCCTCCCAAGTAGCTGAGAATACAGGTGCACACCACCATGCCTGGCTAATTATTTTATTTTATTTTTGTAGAGACAGGGATCTCCCTATATTGCCCAGGCTGGTCTCAAACTCCTGGGCTCAAGTGACTCTCCTGCCTCAACCTCCCAAAGTGCTGGGATTATAGGCATGAGCCACCATGTCTGGCTGAATTCTACATTTAATTTAATTGTTATTTAAGTGGTCAAAACTGAGTTTTACCTCCATTTTGCAAGGAATAGAAAAAAATAAAATTCTTTTAAACTTCCAAAGCAAATAAACAAGTACATACAACAATTTAACAGCCTTTACTATTTTTTTTTTTTTTTTGAGACAGTCTCGCTCTCTTGCCCAGGCTGGAGTGCAGTGGCGCAATCTCAGCTCACTGCAACCTCTGCCTCCCAAGTTCAAACGATTCTCCTGCCTCAGCCTCCCGAGTAGCTGGGACTACAGGCACATGCCACCACACCTGGCTAATTTTTGTATTTTTTTTTTAGTAGAGATGGGGTTTCACCATATTGGCCAGGCTGGTCTCAAACTTCCGACCTCAAGTGATCCGCCCACCTCAGTCTCCCAGAATGCTGGGATTTACAGGCATGAGCCACTGCACCCAGCCTTAGCATATCCTAAGAAGTGATACACAGTGGAAAGAGATCATCCTGAGCCTCAAAAAAGCAATTTCAAAACAAGTATCCCAGATACCAAGGGCAAAACTATACATGCTTCTCTTGATATCACAGAGGAGGGCAAGCCATTCCCTAAGAGAGTTCATGCAATTCATCCTCAAGCGCCCCCATAGACTTTGGTCAGCAGAGCCCACACAGGAGACAGGAAAAGGGTTTTGCTTTGTACTCACTCTTACAAAGTTGTCAGGGAACAAACCTCTCCTGCCGTTGATCTGTCCCTCCCACCAGCCTCCATCCTCCTTCCTGATGTTGGTGATGATTTCACCCACGCTGATCGTCAGCTCATCATCGTGCTGGGCCTGGTAGTCAAACTCCACTATGGCCTCCACTGGAAGGAACAGGGAAAACAGAGTAATTTAGGTCAGATGTTGGAGAAGGCTGAGGTCCAGTATCCCTTGAAGGCCAGTAAAGTAACATTAAAGGGACTTCCCCTCTACAAATATTCAAAATAACAGGGCCACACACAGTAACCCAATTTTGGTTAACCTGAAGCCTATAGCACAGAAACCACAAAGTGCTGGTCCGTGGTCAGGCACAGGCAGGGTGGCCTACAGGTCTTGGGGCCAGCAGGCGCTTCAGAGGGGAAGCTGCATGATGACAGCCAGATAACAACATTTGCCCCACCCAGAGGGTGTCCAGCATTGTCTCCCCGAGCTCAGAGTACAGACAACAGATGTCGGTTTGACTTCTGGGTCTCCCATCCCCCGCCAATACTATGTGATGCTAACCTCTCTGGGTCTCAGTTGTACAAAATGTCAAAGCTAATAATCCCCATCTGATATGGTTTGGCTGTGTCCCCACCCAAATCTCACCTTGAATTGTAGTTCCCATAATCCCCAAGTGTTGTAGGAGGGACCCAGTGGGAGGTAATTGAACTATGAGGGCAGTTACTCTCATGCTTTTCTTGTGATAGTGAGTGAGTTCTCATGAGATCTGATGGTTTTATAAGGGACTTTTCCCCCTTTTGTTTGGCATTTCTCCTTCCTGCCACCATGTGAAGAAGGATGTGTTTGCTTTCCCTTCTGTCATGATTGTTAAGTTTCCTGAGGCCTCCCCAGCCATACTGAACTGAGTCAATTAAACCTCTTTCCTTTATAAATTACCCAATCTTGGGTATGTCTTTATTAGCAGCACAAGAACAGACTAATACACCATCCGACAGAGGTAACACCCATCTTGCAGCAACAACACGTGTAAAGACAGGTGGCATAGAGGGCCTGGCTGGCCAAGCCAATGTCTCAGACCGCCTACATCAGAACCACAACTGCCCTCTCAACAGATGAGCTCTTACGCATCAATTCCATGTTACATTGTTTTCCTGATCTATGAAAATCTCTCATACTTGGTAATGAGCAAAGGCAACAGGTAAGAAAGGTGGGTCTTCTCACTGACAAAGTGCCAATGCAAATTAGCAGCATTAACCAATCCAAAAATTAGTTAACTTATGCAATTCATTTAGACTGGACTTCTCCTCATGACCACCTCAATATGAACCAATTTCATAACACTTTTTTTTTTTTTTTTTTTTTTTTGAGATGGAGTCTCACTCTGTCACCCAGGCTGGACTGCAGTGGCGCAATCTCAGCTTACTGCAACCTCCACCTCCCACGTTCAAGCGATTCTCCTTGAATGCATGCCACCCCACCCAGCTAATTTTTGTATTTTTAGTAGAGACGGGGTTTCACCATGTTGGCCAGGCTGGTCTTGAACTCCTGACCTCAGATGATCTGCCCGCCTCGGCTTCCCAAAGTGCTGGAATTACAGGCATGAGCCACCGTGCCCAGCCACCTTTTCCTTTTTTATTTGCAGATCCGTATGAATGAATGAATGAATGGCAAATGAATGAATACAAGGATAGCAAAAATTAGATAAATCCCCAGTGGTAAATTAGCAATTCAGAAATTATGATAAAATAATGGAAGAGGAAAAGTTAAATGAGCTCTGTAAAGCATGCATATGCTAAAATTAACTCAAAATAGTTCACAGACCTAAGTGTAAGAGCTAAAATTGTAAAACTTTTTATAAGAATGGATAGGAGAAAATCTTAATGACCTTAGGTTTGGCAAAGATTTCTTAAATAGGAGACAAAAAGCACAAATGAGTAAAACAACAACAACAACAACAACAACAACAACAACAACAACAAACCAACTTCAATACACTGAGATAGGTTTTAAGCATCCATTGAGATGATGGGAGAAAAAAATTACAATGTCTATTCATTTTGTTTTAACTTTAAAAAAGTAATAATTCAACTTCTCTATTGTTCCATTGACAGAATGACACAGGTTCCTTCACCCAGTCTCCAGGACACACAGTCAGGGATCCTTTAAGGGGCAGGAAGCAGCCAGAGGGACAGTGGAATCAAGGAGTACCACCAGAGCAAGCACCAGCATTCCATGTGATGCTAACTTCTCTAGGTCTCAGTTGTATGTCAAAGCTAATAATTCCCATCTGATATGGTTTGACTGTGTCCCCACCATGGGGTGCCCTGCAGTTCTCTGGTGCCTCCTGGTACAGCCTCCTTATGGCTATGACCCCTTCTTGCTGAAATCACCCTCACAAAGTGGGTCAGCTGCTTGAAAAGATCTGTGTAAAGAAAGTAGGAGCTGTAGACAACACGAGGCCAAGTGCCAAGAAAATGGGAGAGCTGGCCGGGCACGGTGGCTCATGCCTGTAATCCCAGCACTTTGGGAGGCCAAGGCCGGCGGATCACAAGGTCAGGAGTTTGAGACCTACCTAGCCAACATGATGAAGCCCTGTCTCTACTAAAAATACAAAAATTAGCTGGGCTTGGTGGTGGGTGCTTGTAATCCCAGCTACTCTGGAGGCTGAGGCAGGAGAATCGCTTGAAACCGGAAGGCGGAGGTTGCGGTGAGCCAAGATCATGCCGCTGTACTCCAGCCTGGGGAAAAGAGCGAAACTTTGTCTCAAAAAAAAAAAAAAAAAAAAGAAAAAAAGAAAAGGAAAAAAAGAAAGAAAGAAAATGATAGAGTTGCCACTTCAGCTTCTGCTGGGAGCTCTTTGCCCACCACATGGGGAAGACACATCAGATCTTACGGGGAGATGGCCCCCAAACACTCAGTTATCAAGATCATTCATAATATGGGTTTCTTTCCACCCCTGACATTGGTGTAAGTGTGGAACCATCAGGATTAGCAAGATATTTTAAAACTATGTACCTGAACCATGAAGAAAATGTCTTCATTTTTCCACCAATGTCTAAAGTCATACAATACTCAATTTTATGTGTTTCAAAAGTTTGTTAAGCCTAATAATAACAGCGTAGGAGCTTCTCTGGGGTTTTCTTGATCTTCAATTAGTACAGGAATATATGTACACAATCTATACATAATTAAGAAGATACTAAAAAAAAAAAACAAAATTTTTTTTTTTTTTTTAGACAGGGTCTGGCTCTGTTGCCCAGGCTGGAGTGCAGTGGCACCATCTCAGCTCACTGCAACCTCTGTCTCCCAGGCTCAAGTGTTCCTCCCACCTCAGCCTCCCAAGTAGCTGGGACTACAGGTGCACACCACCATGCCCAGCTAATTTTTGTATTGTTTGTAGAGACAGGATTTCACCGTGTTGGTCAGGCTGACTTCAAATGTTCTGCCTGCCTTGGCCTCCCAAAGTGCTGGGATTACAGGCGTGAGCGACCACCCTGGCCATTGCCCTTTCTTTAAACTTAAGTAATCATGCACAGCCTCCTTGCCTTCTGGCCACAGCTAGGTCCTGACTGCCTCCACATCACCTTCCAAGCTCTTCTAGACCCAAGGCCTCTCTGGCCCCTGCCACTGAGGCAATCCCAAGCTGTGTCTTGTCTTCCCTGTGAGCCCCTGAATGCCTTCTGGGTATGGATCACCCTTAGTTCTGCTGGGGCCCCTATAAGCATCCATGACATGCAGTAGGTGCTCAATAAAGACTTGATCAACTGACCACTCAGCTTGCATTTTATGATGATAGACCGTTCCCAGCCCAACAAAGGTGCTACTAAAATGTCAAGTGTCAATCACATTTTGCAAATTGAGTCATATTCTTCCGTGCACTAAGGGAGCTTGCTATTTAAAAGATCCTGTGGTTAATTCTTTTGTAACATGAATAATTACTTCCTGCTTTACCTTTCCTGTCAAGATGAATTTTTTTTACATATCAGGTTTCTCTAAGAAGAGGAAACCTGTGGCTTTGTTAAGAGCTCATAAATCATGAGGATATGTCTCTCCTACCCACTCTAAGGGCTCTTTCCAGTGCCCTCTGCAAGCCTTTGAAAGGTTTAGAACTTTGATGTCCAATACAGTGTCACTGCAAATGTGGCTAATGACTACTTGGAATGTGGCTAGTCTGAACTGACGTGTGCCATAAGATACATCCCAAGTTCCAAAGACTTGTTTAGAAAAAAATAATGTGAAATAGCTCATTATTTTCACATCAATTGCATGTTGAAGTGATGTTTTAGATCTGTTGGGTTAAATAAATATATTATACAAATTAATTTTACCTTTTTAAAATTTTATTAATGTGACTACTAGAACATTTAAAATGACATGTGGCTTGTATCACGTCTCTATAGAACAGAATGGTTTAGGATAATACTTGGCAAACAGGTGGTGAAGATCTTGGATGATACAAACACAGCCAAAATTATATCACAAGAGCCCAGAAGAAAGTCTATGCCCCCAAAACCCATTTCCTTGCCTTCGAGAGGCTGCAGGTAACTGCAGGAAGGATGAAACATTACCTATGATTTTTTTAAAGTGGTACCCTTTGAGAAATTACCTCTGGGTATGAGCAGAAAATTAAAACATTAAGCTAAATAAAATACATCAGAGGTGTAATTAGGATAACAGTAAACAAAATCCCATATTTAAAGACACCATAAATTACAAAACTTAAGAACATCTCCCTGTCAGAAAAATACCACCCTCCAGCTGTGTGCTGTGCCAAAAGGCCAGCCTCCACAAGTTTGCTACATCTACAGTCACTGCAAAAACCAATGCTACAGTTAACCCCATGTTACAAAAAGATAGAGCCAGGGGAGATAAGAGATCTGCTTAGAAATGCAAAACACTTCACCCTCCCCTATCTCTACCTTCAAACTTGCTGGAATGTCTCCTCCCCCAAAGACGAAATGGGTGGTTTTTAACTGTGGGTTGGCTAAGCCAGCTGCCTAGCAGCTTCTCAGGGCCAGCTTCTCACTATGGCGGTGGTGGTGGCGGTGGTATATCCGTGGCCCTGCTCTGTGACCCAGTCCTTCCCTACCTCCCTCTGCTCACTGTCCTTCCTGTCTCCTAGGACCAGTTCACCTCACTATAATTTCACACTGACTTACCCCAACTAGACTGCAACCTTCATCTGGGAAAAGCCCTTATCTTTGCCAGGATTCTAAATCCTTCACCTAGCATCCTGTCTGCTTCAATAAATATTTGAATAAACCAGAAAGCATGAAGGAGAATGAAAGTTTCCAATTAATTTCCTCCGCTGTATACACATATACACAATGTCACAGAGGTCTCAGTGCAGTAAGCTTTAATCATTTCAGAAGTAGAAATGTTACACACTTACTGCTTTTGCACTTATTGTGTTCTGTGAATTCTGAAGAATAAATTTTTAATTTTAGTGTTTTGTTTCAGTCCTCTGAAGGGCATAGAAAATCAAGAAGTAATTTTTTGCCAAAACAGACTTCACCAAAAAAGATCATGAGTACTGATCATTAGAGATGGAAAGAACATCAGATATCATCTAGTCTATTTTTTTTTCCTGAATTTTACAAATGAGGAACTGAGGCCTAGAAGGTTCCATGACTTAGGCTTAGAGACATTGAGAGGTAAATAATGGCAGCATCAAGCCCAGGGCTACGTTCTCCTAAATTATGGTCCACTGGAGAGAAGGAAGGATTTAAAAGAGAAAGCAGAGAAACCTGAGACCAGCGAGATACAGACTTTCACACCATTGATGCGGGCGGGGGGGTGGGGGGGGGCTCTTTTTTTCTTTCATGTATAACATAGTTTCCAGAATACCCAGAAAAAGTTACACCAGTCAGGAACATATTTAAAAAAAAACTATGTTCAAATCTAAAAAGACAGAAAACCAATCAGTGGCTGCCTAGGGCCGGGGATGGGAATGGGGATGGACTGCAGATGGGTATGAAGAATCTTTTTGGGGTGACGGAAATATTCTCAAATTAAATTGTGGTGAGAGTTACAGGATGCTGTAAATTTACTTGAAAAGTATTAAACTGTACACTTAAAATGGGTGAAATTTTATACCTCAGTACAGCTTTTACAAATAAAAATTGGCCGGGCGCAGTGGCTCACGCCTGTAATCCCAACACTTTGGGAGGCCGAGGCGGGCAGATCACAAGGTCAGGAGTTCAAGACCAGTCTGACCAACATGGTGAAACCCTGTCTCTACTAAAAATACAAAAATTAGCTGGGTGTGGTGGCACGTGCCTGTAATCCCAGCTACTCAGGAGGCTGAGGCAGGAGAATAGCTTGAACCCCAGAGGCAGAGGTTGCAGTGAGCTGAGATCATGCCACTGCACTCCAGCCTGGGTGACAGAGCAAGAATCCATCTCAAAAAAATAATAATATTAAAATTAAAAGTCTAAACAATATATATTTAAGAATTTATTATTGTAGATTGTCGGTCATTGAGGTGGTAGACTGTGTTTGTGCCCTAGCAGGAGAACACTCCCCATGCAGGGAGGGGAACTGTTTGGGGGAACTTCCCCTCCACCATGAGATAGTTTGATGGGACTGTCCATCAACATGCCCTGCCCTCTGCCAGCCAATGTATGACATAGGACCCAACTGTGATCAAAGCAATGTGACAAACACTGGAGACGGCTGGAGCAGATTCCCCCACCAGGGCTCTCAGAAGTGAGATCCCTGAAGCTGCCCAGTTGCCATCTTTCTCAGACCTGATCCTCTAGCTTCTCCTTCCACCCTATAAACTACCCCAATGCCTTCTGATAAATCCTTTTTGCTACCTTAGTTAAGGAAGAGTTGGTTTCTTTTACTTAAAACCAGAGAACCGTAACAGATACTCGTGCATCAACTTTTTTTTTTTTTTTTTTTTTTTTTTTGAGACGGAGTCTTGCTCTTGTCCCCTGGGCTGGAGTGCAATGGCGTGATCTCGGCTCACTGCAACCTCCACCTCCCAGGTTCAAGCAATTCTCTTGCCTCAGCCTCCCGAGTAGCTGGGATTACAGGCACCTGCCACAACGCCCAGCTAATTTTTGTATTTTTTAGTAGAGAAGGGGTTTCACCATGTTGGTCAGGCTGGTCTCGAACTCCTGACCTCAGGTGATCTACCCACCTCGGCCTCCCAAAGTGCTGGGATTGCAAGCGTGAGCCACCATGCCTGGCCATACATCAACTTTACATACACACAGACTCTTCTCTATGCAAGTCTGCACAAGGCCAAGTTCTTACCATCCAGTGCCCTCCCATTAGTGTCAGGGCTGAAGGGTTTGGGGGTCTGAATTTCCCAGGTCAAGGCCACAGATACTGTGGGGATCTCCGCGTACAATAAAGCTGACCTACATACCAGCCACGTTTTCCTTTTGGTGTCTTCACAAACACACCACTAAGGGACATCAACCCAACAAGCAGGTAATTCCCAAGACCTGCATCTTAAAAACTGAACATCAGCTTCCCCAACAAAGACAGGCTCAGAACACGGACCCCAGTGACAGACAGTCCCTGGGCCTGAACTCTCTCCCTGGGCAGGAGGCAGCACACCTGTGGCTGGATGGCCTCTGGCAGGATTCAACAATGTCTGTAGCAGGCCCAGTAGCAGCTCAAAGAATTGGGGAGCAGCAGGGAAAGCAGAAAAGAGATGAATCAAGAAAGAAGAGAAAAAACAAACCCGGCTGTGTGAGAGGAAAGAAAGGCCCACCATTGCCTGCCTCAGACACCATTAAGGATACTCTTGTCACTTGCTGCTTTCCACGAAGGCCCAAGGAACCTGAGCCTCCCAGCCCATCTCTCCTCTCTTGTCACCTCTAAGCATGAGGTGTAGGAGAAAGCCCAGCAGGCCTGGGAGCAAATTCCAGCTTAGACATTCACTGGCTGTGTGACATGGGGTGAGATTCCTAGCTCGAGCCCACTTTCTTTGTGTTTAAAATCAGAAGGTGATCTGTGGCAAGGGTGAGACGTGATATCTGTAAACTGTATACAGAAGCTGCTCCATTAATGCCAGATGCTAGTCTTGCAGGTCATTATCATGCTATGCTGTGAGGGCTTCCCCGACATGCCCTCCCTACACACACCCTGGAATGGGAGCTCTTAAAGGGCAGATCTGAGCACCCTCTCCTCCTCGTCTGGTGTCTGGCACAAAGTAGGTGCTCAATAAATGTTGGTGACTGAGTGCACCATACGACACCAGGAGTGTCCTTACAAAGTACTGACCTCGAACTATACCTTACCATTCAACTCAAAGAAATGCAGTTACAAATGTGAGCCTTGTTATTTAACTTGAAGGCTAGAGAAAGCTGATGATCAACATGACCAGTTGGCCACAAAACAAGTATACGCCACTAGTCCAGGCCTCTCAAGTTACTGTGATCAGTCTTGATTTCACTCTTACCTTCACCACAACCAATGCCTATATAGCAGAGGGGCATTCAATCAAAGATCAGAATGAAATGCAGGGCCTGGATGGGAAAGCATTCACAAGACCTGTGGGCCTTGAGTCCCCTACCACTTGCCTTCTGAAGCCTCTGCCTCACCAGGGGCTGTCCCTGGAACAAAACCTCAAGGAGCAAAAACAAAGGGTTATCAAACGCTTCCTGAAATTAACCCCTGCAAACCTAACACACAGCTCTTTTAAGAATATGCATTAGAGGCCGGGCGCAGTGGCTCATGCCTGTAATCCCAGCACTTTGGGAGGCCAAGATGGGCAGATCACAAGGTCAGCAGTTCAAGACCAGCCTGGCCAAGATGGTGAAACGCCGTCTCTACTAAAAATACAAAAAAATTAGCCGGGCGTGGTGGCGGGAGCCTGTAATCCCAGCTACTCGGGAGGCTAAGGCAGAGAATTGCTTCAACCCGGGAGGCAGAGGTTGCAGTGAGCCAAGACGGCACCACTGCACTCCAGCCTGGGCAACAGAGTGAGACTCCGTCTCAAAAAATAGAATATCCATTAGATAGACTGGATAAAAATAACTTGACCAGAAGAAGGCTTTTTAAGTGAAAAAGAAAGAATGGAGAAAGTGGGCAGGTGACTTTGCAGGTTAAAAAACAGGCCGGGCACGGTGGCTCAAGCCTGTAATCCCAGCACCTTGGGAGGCCGAGGTGGGCAGATCACGAGGTCAGGAGATTGAGACCATCCTGGCTAACACGGTGAATCCCTGTCTCTACTAAAAATACAAAAAAATAGCCGGGCGTGGTGGTGGGCACCTGTAGTCCCCGCTACTCGGGAGGCTGAGGCAGGAGAATGGCGTGAACCCAGGAGGCAGAGCTTGCAGTGAGCCGAGATCATGCCACTGCACTCCAGCCTGGGCGACACAGCAAGACTCCATCTCAAAAACAAACAGGCAGACAACAACAACAAAACCTAGTAAAAAATAAAGACAACAGGTTAAAGCTGGATAAGCCTGTGTAGAGAATGGTTCTATACAACAATCACGGAGGGGAAAAATCAGTGGAATCTTAGAAAACCATTTTTTTTTTCTTGAGATGGAGTCTTGCTCTGTTGCCCAGGCTGGAGTGCAGCGGTGCCATCTCAGCTCACTGCAACCTCCGCCTCCCAAGTTCAAGTGATTCTCCTACCTTGGCCTCCTGAGTAGCTGGGATTACAGGCATGTGCCACCATGCCCAGCTAATTTTTGTATTTTTAGTAGAACGGGGTTTCGCCATGTTGGCCAGGCTGGTCTAGAACTCCTGGCATCAAGTAATCCACCCACTTCAGCCTCCTAAAGTGCTGGAATTACAGGGGTGAGTCACCATGCCTGGCCCGATATTCTTATTTAGTTTTTAGAGCCTCCAATTAATTCCCATCATTCTACTTTTTTTCAGGTAGTGTTACATGGAATCTCAGAAAAACACATTTTTTAAATGGACTTAATTGTAGTCTCCTGAGCTACTAGGCACAACTGTTTATGAAGCAATATTCTTTTCTTGTTTTGAGTCAGTGTCTTGCTCTGTCGCCCAGGCTGGAGTGCAGTGGCACGATCTAGGCTCCCTGCAACCTCCACCTCCTGGGTTCAAACAATTCTCCTGCCTTGGCCTCCAGAGTACAGGCATGCACCACCACACCCAGCTAAATTTTTTTTTAAGTAGAGATGGGGTTTCATCATGTTGGCCAGGCTGGTCTCAAACTCCTAACCTCAAGTGATTGGCCAGCCTCAGCTTCCCAAAGTGCTGGGATTACGGGCATGAGCCACCACATCTGGCCAGAAAACCAATTTAATAAAAAGTCTGTTTAGTCAAAAAAGTTTAGCCACTTAAAGACATAACCTTTTTTTGTGCATGGAGAAGAAAGTATGCTGCTTTATATAAATATTTGACAGTGTTACATAATAAAATGGCTTGAGGATGAGTAGAGATTTTCCTGACTTTATAATGATAGCCTAGTTCTCAGATTCAAAAAAGACCCAAAGACAAGTGCCTGATTAGAAAGAGATCCCCTGTTTTTCTCAGTGAGAAGATCCAAAAGGTTGTGGGCTAACCTGAATATGTAAACCTCAAAACAGAAGAAGAAACAGTCAAGTGTCTGCTTATACTATGTATTAATGTAATTACAGATTATGTGAAATAAAATAATTAGAAAACATCGCTCCCCACCCCCCAACACCCTCTCATTTCATGAAACAATTTTATTATGGATAAGGTATCTGAAGGATTTGCTCCAACTATTTTATTCAAAATAAATTCATAGAGCCTTTATGGTACAGGATACTTTGTAAGGACTATCATGGAAAGCAACTCTTGCTTGTCTTGAGGATAGGATAGTAAGGGGGCAGGTTGGCTTTATATTTGGACATGTTGTATGAAAGAAGAAAAGCAAAAGCCTTCCTGTTGATTTCAGTGTGGCTAAGCTGAATCAGCTGTAAGAGGCAGGGACCAAGTCAAAAGGAGGGAAGAACGATTCCACAGAAAAATGTGGTTGGTCAGCATGGTTGGGGGTGGGCAAGGGCTGAGTCACTCACTGCATGGCCTTCTGTTAAGAAACATACTTTCTCATAAGAGAGATAGCAGACAGTGAGGTAACGTGAGAGGAAACCACAGTGAATCCTCACTGCTTTCTCCCCGGCAGATTTAATGTCCCATCTCAGGCTTCATTTATACTCCCAGGTGTAGTAATCCTGCTACCGCGAGCCCCTAGAAGGCAAAAGGGACATGTAAAACAGAAGCTGATGGGCCTCCTGAAAGAAAAGTCATATTGCCCAATGCATCTTCCTCCCTCAAGTGCTTGGCTGAGTGCTTGGCCCCGTCAGGCACTCAAGAAATGCTTGTTGTCGAGGGGCAAGAAACTTGCAAGGATGATTTTGACAAGAAGCTGAGAATCTGAGATGAGATCTGAGACAAATGTACAGGGATAAAAGCAGAAGATAACAGCAAAATAACAGCTCTTCAAAGCAGTCTAGAATTTCAAACTGTCATAAGTATAACTACTTTAGGCTCCCAGACATCTAATCTGGAGATACCATCTAGCATATCTGCAACACCATAATGTGCAGGTTATTAGGGAGGGTGCATTTCACGGTTTCATCCTAAGTTTCACCAATGATGTCACATAGTAATTGGGAGTCTATCAAGACAGTAACTACCAACGTTTGTAAGTCATTTGAGTTGGTACTTTTTAATATTGAACAATAATTTGAACTAAAAAGTTGCTAGTCAAGTATCTACTTCACAAATGTTTTCTTAATCAACTACATTGTAAATACTTTATTGCAGCATCAGGAAGCCACTGAGTAAGTATGTGTCTATATAGAGTAACACAAAAAAGAAGTGAAGTTAAAACCCAACATTTGCTTTCCTTTGAAGGTTATAGCTTAAAGTTCGAAAAAGAGAATAAAACCTAAATAAACTGGATTGGGTTTAAAATTTTTGAAACCTTTCCCAAAATTGAAATATGAGTTAGTGAAAATAAGTAAATAAAATTAAAAAGATCAACAGCCTCACACCAAAAGACTCCTAAGAATAATGATCTATGAAGAGCAATGTATACATTTTTTTCTGAAATAATCACATTCAGTCTCCAAATACCGTTTTTCACAAAAAGAAAGCCAGCTACCCTTAGATAAATGGCTGATTTCATTTCTGGGGCAGGAAAGGTGATAAGCCTGGGCCATCTTGTCACACCAAGAAAGCAAGGAGGCCAGCAAACACTACTAGGGTCATGTCAAAACAACTCAGAAGTGAACCTGAAGAGGCTCCCACTGGCCACAAATGGGGCAACATGAGCATGATTAACAATAACTGCCTTGAAACAGCATTGAAAGTGCACTGAAATAATAACTGCATTAGTAACAATAACTGGATTGAAAGACATCAAATTAATTTGATGTCTCATATGTTATGTGATATATCTTTCACAGTGATACTTTTAAAACATCATTGGCCACCTTTGGAAGATGCTAGGGAGCCAACTCATTGTTTTGAAACTGGTAAATTTAAAAAAAGAATCAAACATTTGTCCTGCCTTTCCTATATGAATTCAAGATAACCAAATGGTTGATGAGAAATTTCTCTGTATAGGAATATTCTGGCTAATAAAATGAAGAAGGAATGAGAGAATTGGACAATCAACGTTTTGCAACCTCTAATGCAATCAAGAACCTGAGCAATGGTCACTAGCAGCTGTGGATATTGATTGATTGATTGATTGATTGAGACAGGGTCTCACTCTGTCACCTGGGCTGGAGTGCAGTGCCATTGTCATGGCTCACTAGAGCCTGGAACTCCTGGGCTCAAATGATCCTCCTGCCTCATCCTCTCAAATAGATGGGATTACAGGTGCGAGCCACTGTATCCAGCTTTTTTTTTTAATTTCTTTTAAATTTCATGGCTTATTTTTTAAAGTTTTTGTTCAGAGATGAGAGTCTCACTATGTTGCTCAGGCTGGTCTCGAACTCTTGGGCTCAAATGATCCTCTGGCATCAGTGTCCCAAACTGGTGGGATTACAGGCATGAGCCACCGTGCCTGGCCAGCTGTGGACATTACAAAAAGAGAGACAACCAGGCATCTGGAGCCTCATGATGGAAGTGTGTGTCACCGCTGGCAAAATATTCTTGCCAACAAACGGAACCTGAATCAGATCAAGCCTCTGGATTTACCACCAGTTTACAGGGGATACAGAACGTCCGAAAATATGTTAAATGGCACTCTAAGGAGGCAATCTGCAAAATCCAGGCTGTAGGACTGTAGGCAAATGACTTAGTTTCTTCAACAACAACAAAAGCAAGGAAAAAGAGATGGCAGAACCTAGATTACAACAGACTCAGAGGCCAGGTGCGGTAGCTCACACCTGTAATCCCAGCACTTCGGGAGGCTGAGGTGGACGGATCACTTGAGGTCAGGAGTTCAAGACCAGCCTGGCCAACATGGTAAAACCCCGTCTCCGCAAAAAATACAAAAATTAGCTAGGCGTGGTGGCACGTGCCTGTAATCCCAGCTACTTAGGCGGCTGAGGCAGGAGAGTCACTTGAACCCAGAAAGTGGAAGTTGCAGCAGTTGCAGTGAGCTGAGACTGCCACTGCACTCCAGCCTGGGTAGCAGAGTGAAAAAAAAAAAAAAAAAAACAGACTCAGAGACAACCAACCAGTTAGAAAGTACAGACCTTCCAAATCGTGATTCAAACAAACACCTTTTAAAATATTTAAACTACATGTAAAAATTGGATATTTGAACTTAAATGTCTGATGATAAGGAAACACTGTTAGTTGCTGTATGTGTAAAAATGATTGTGATTATGGTTTTGAAAAGAGTCCTTATCTTTACAAAATATATGCTGAAACACTTCCGGATTGTTAAAATGCTCTACATGTGCAAGTAGAAGAATAATGTCCTACACTGAACTGAAAACATGCAAATCTTTATGCTGGCGTAACTCTAGCTGGTGTAATCACTATTTCACAAATGATTCAGCTGACCATGCTGGGCATAGCAATGCACCTGGAAAGGAAGATGGGGGTTTTAAAGGCAACAAAATATTAAATGTGTGTATTGTATACATATGTATGTTTCAATATTTGAATTTGTTATAAAGGGTACTGGGCATCTATAATTTTTTTTTCTTTTAGAGACAGAGTCTTGCTCTGTCTCCCAGGCTGGAGTGCAGAGGTGCGATCTCAGCTCACTGCAACCTCTGCCCCTGGGTTCAAGTGATTCTCATGTCTCAGCCTACTGCATAGCTAGGATTACAGGCACGCGCCACCATGCCTGGCTAATTTTTGTATTTTTAGTAGAGACGGGGTTTTACCATGTTGGCCAGGCTGGTCCCGAACTCCTGAACTCAAGTGATCTGCCCGCCTCGACCTCCCAAAGTGCTGGGATATATAAGCTACTTAAAAAATACATATAAGCTACTTAAAAATGAGTAAGTAGCACAATCAAAAGTGTGTTCTACACCAGATCTATGAGTGTGGACAAGGCCACCTCTGCCAACATTCTGAATTTGAGTTTCTTGAGATGTGTTTTACATAAGGAAGGCTGTTGTTTGCGTTGTTTAGGTGTAAAAGTGATATTGTGATTATGGTTTTTAGCAGAGTAATTATCTGTAAGAATTGCGTGCTGAAACATGACAGAAATCTGGTAGCTCACCTGGCTAGCCCTCAGCACCCTAACTCTCTGAGAACTGGCCCTTTCGTCAGGGTGCAGCAAACTTCCACAGGCATCTCTATCTGTACCCGCCTGGTACTCCACATACCCTCACTACTCAGAGGCATCCCCCAGCCTCCCCGAGACCTACTGAATCTGAGGCTGCATCATAAGATCCCCAGGACACTCACATGCATGGGATGGTTTGGGAAGCGCTGGCCCATCTCACACTGGGTTCCTCACCCAGAGATGTTAGAATCCCCTGTGAAACTTTCTCATGCCTGTCTCCTCCACACCCTGGTTCCCATCAGAATGGGGCGGGGGGCAGGGTGGGTCATGTCTAGGCTGAAGATGATCTCCCAGGTGACTCTATGTACCCCTACTACTCTCCTAAATCCCTTTTGCAGAAAGAGAAACATAAGTCTGAAGCTGAACAAAAGGGTCAGGGGGTGCTTGCAGACCTCAAGCCTGACAAGGCACCTTTCAGTGCTATGAGCCTCCAGATCTGTAGAAGTATCAAAACAAAACAAACAGCAGCAAGAGGTTCCACATTAACAATGGGCAGATCCCCTTCCTCATCATTCACTGGGGAAAAAAAAGAAAAACACTTAAAATGCAACACACGAATCCAGATGTTTCACCAGCCCCTGTCCAGAAAAGGAGGAGGAATTTCCAGATCTAATTACATGTGATTACTGCCTGTGTCCGCCACTAGACTGAAAGCTACAGGAGGACAGACAGCATGTCTGCTTTGTTTGCCTCTGTAGACCCAGGACCGGCCTGATATATAGTAGGAACTTCATAAATGTTTACCAAATGAAAATATACTCTTTTGAGACAGGGTCTCACTCTGTCACCGAGGATGGAGTGCAGTGGCACGATCATGGCTCACTACAGCCTCAACCTCCTGGCCTCAAGAGATCCTCCCACCTCAGCCTCCTGAGTAGCTGGGACTACTGGCACCTGCCACCATGCCCAGATAATTATTTTATTTTTTGTAGAGAAGGGGTCTCACTATGTTGCCCAGGCTGATCTAGAGCTCCTGGCCTCTACTGATCCTCCTGCCTCGACGCCCTGAGTAGCTGGGATTACAGGCATGAGCCACCATGCCCGGCAGAAAATATACTCTTAAAATCTTGTGTCAGGTGCCTTTATCCTCCTCACTGTATCATTTAACTGTAACGATCACTCTGTGGCCAATTGTGTTTTCCAAGATGGCTACAGCAACATCTCCTGTCCCTTGAGCTCTTCTAGAATGTGATCCAGCTGTCAACAGGAGAAATCTAATCTTCCTCCCCGGGCTTTGGAACCTGGGCAGGCTGGTGACCACTTTGACCAACAGAGTGGAGGAAAGTGATGCTGTGTGACTTCTAGGCCATATTATGCAGTTTCCAACTCACTTGCTGGAATACCCCAAGACAGCCATGCTGTAAGGAAGCCAATTTGCACTGAGACACACCAGCTGGCATGCCTAGTTACTGAGTCATCCCAGCCTGGCCCAACATGTGAGGGACCCAGCCTTCAGATCGTTCCAGCCCCCAGCTGTCATGTCCACTCCAAACCTCAGGCCTTTCCAGCCGAGGCCCCAGACACTGTAGAGCTGAAACAAGCCCTCCCTACCACGCCCTGTACAAATGCTTGACCCACAAAACTGGTAAGCATAAAATGGCTTTTTGAAGGTGCTAAATTTTGGAGTAATTTGTCACACAGCAACAGGAACTGGAATACGCTCTACAAGGTGCCTATTATTGTTCCTGGTTTAGGAAAGAATCCAACTCCCAGAGAGATCAGATAATATTCCAGCCGCCAGCCAGTCTGGACTCAAAGTCCGTCTTCTTGCCCCTGTTCCTGCTCATATTTTTTTCAATCAATAAAGATTTTCTGAGACATATGTTCCAGATACTGTAGCTGCACAGAAAAAAAAAAAAAAAAAAAAATCCACGAACATACCCAATTGCACACATGAATATAGGCAGTAGGTTCAAATATGAAACCAGGCCAAATTAGGCCTGCTGCCCTTCTACATTCTTAGCTGACATTTTCTCAGACAGAATGGCTCTTTGATCCAGTAAGTACTTACTGACGGTCTGCGGGGACAGGGTCACCATGCTGGACAACAGGCAGATGAGTCAGGAATGCATGATCGGAGAGAAGTCAGAGAACAATAAAAAAAAGAAGGAAGGGTATCTTTCTCTGGCATTGGATAAAAGTGGATCAACATTACAACAGTGATATAAAGCCATGAAGATGAGAGTACACAAGCGAGTTGACGCCTTCTCTTAAACAGGAATCAAGGTCATCTCTTGGTTAGGGTCAGGTGAGAAGAGAATTTGAGGAGCTTGAGGAGAGAAAGTCTGGAATAAACTCACTGCAAAATGCACTACAGAATTTTCTTTTATCTCTGTCTCTGTGTATGTGTGTGTATGTGCGTGTGCACGTGTGTGTGTGTGTTTTAATTTACAAAAGAAAAAAGAGTGAGAGAGAAGTAAATGGAAGCATTAATGGGTGACAATGAGGACCACTGCAGGGCCAGAGACAAGCAGGGCCCAGGTGCCCCAGGGCTGTGTCCAGGTAGGAGAGAAAGGATTTTGAGGTGAGCTCAGTGGCCTGTGGCAGGACTGATCTAGGGAAAGTGGGGAAGCTCAGTGCCTAACAGATGCCAAGACAGCAGGATACAGGCTTGGAGGGGGTGGTCAGGGAGTAGGGGAGATGGTGGCATGTGGAAACATTATGATGTCTCACCAACTGCATAGGGCTGGGTACCTAAAGGGTGGAAGCACACCCTGCGAGGATATGTGCAGGGAGCTTTGCAGACCCAGAAAAAAAATGGTAGACAGCACAGAAGCCCTAAAAGGAAGGAAGGACAATACAGTGTCTAAGGATGGGTGGGGGTTCTCCTCCTCCCTTCCCCCTGGCACATCTCTCACCTACACAACATTCCTTTTCAGAAGTCCCTTCTCGCCCAGATGCAGTGGCTCACGCCTGTAATCCCAGCACTTTGGGAGGCCAAGGCGGGCAGCTCACCTGAGGTCAGGAGTTCGAGACCAGCCTGGCCAACATAGTGAAATCCCATCTTTACTAAAAATACAAAATTAGCCGGGCGTGGTGGTGGGCGCCTGTAGTCCCAGCTACTTGGGAGGCTGAGGCAGAAGAATCGCTTGAATCCGGGAGGCAGACGTTGCAGTGAGCCAAGATCGCACCACTGCACTCCAGCCTGGGCAAGAGAGAACGAAACTCCATCTAAAAAAAAAAACAACAGCCAGAAGTCCCTTCTCAAAGACTCTCTCTAGAACACTGTCCTCACAGAATGGGAGACTACCTGTCCATACAAGTCTCCTGGTATTAGCAGCCTTTGGAGGGTCTTGAGGTTAAACCTCTCTTCTAAATGACAATTTTTCTTTCTTTCTTTTTTTGAGATGGAGTCTTGCTCTATTGCCCAGGCTGGAGTGCAGTGGTATGATCTCGGCTCACTGCAACCTCTGCCTCCTGGGTTCAAGCAATTCTCCTGCCTCAGCCTCCTGAGTAGCTGGGACTACAGGCATGTGCCATCACGCCCGGTTAATTTTTAGTATTTTTAGTAGAGACGGAGTTTCACCATGTTGGCCAATCTAGTCTCAAACTCCTGACCTCCAGCAATCTGCCCGCCTCACCTCCCAAAGTGCTGGGATTACTGGTGTGAGCCACCACGCCCAGCCGGCAGCTATTTCTTTAAACATACCTAGAACTAGCACTGAGTCAAACAAGCTGGACTCACCAGTCTACGAGAGCGATGTGCCTACATGTATGTTAACATCCCCTTGGAGTCAACCACATAATAGGTCTGGAATGAATATTGATTGTGTAAATGAGTGTTGCCTTTGAAAGATATTATGGGTTTGAGGAAGTTCCCAGTCTTGATCCTGGAACTCAAAGGCCGCTTCAATATGGTACAGGTTTGACATTAACAACGTCACCTGCATTTATACCTGGCTCTAAGTCCAGCTGGATAGTCCTGGTCCCCATCTCCCCACACGATCTTCCCCCAAGAGCCCCATGGATGCTCCCATCCATGAAATCTCCTTCCCAACTCTTTACATCACAAAGTGCCCTCCAATCTCTTGGTCTGAGGTCACCTTCAAAACCCTTTTTCAAGCCACCTGTCATTCCATCATTCTCAGACTTACTAACTATAGCGTTCACTAAATCACTTTTACTCCTCATACACTGCTTTGTAACATCTTTTGAATTATTATCCCAGACAAGGAGTTGGTAAGCTTTTTCTTTTTCTTTTTTTCAGATGAAATGTCACTCTGTCACCCAGGCTGGAGTGCAGTGGTGCGATGTCGGCTCACTGCAACCTCTGCCTCCTGGGTTCAAGCAATTAGCGATTCTTCTGCCTCGGCCTCCTGAGTAGCTGGGATTACAGGTGCGCACCACCATGCCCAGCTAACTTTTTGTATTTTTAGTAGAGAGGGGGTTTCACCATGTTGGCCAGGCTGGTCTCGAACTCCTGACCTCAGGTGATCCACCCACCTCAGCCTCCCAAAGTGCTGGGATTACAGGCATAAGCTACCATGCCCCGCCGGTAAGCTTTTTCTTAAAGAGTCAGATAGTAAGTATTTCAGCTTTGGTGGGACCAATGTTCCACTCTAACACCTCAAATCTGCCTTTACAGCACTAAAGCAGCCACAGACAACAAACATAAATGAGTGAGGCTGTGTTCCATAAAGCTTTATTTACAAAAATAATCAGAAGGCCAGATTTTAGCTGTAGGCTATAGTTTGCTGATCCCTGTCTCAGACTGTTATTTTAACCCTTTCATTATCTTTTACATTCTATGTCTTGCTACCTCCAAACAGATTTAAGCTCCTTAAGAGAAAGGACCAGGTATTATATATTTTCATTTACTCTTAGCCTCTACCTGGCTCAGTGCTACACATAGCCTCTACCTGGCTCAGTGCTACACATAGCCTCTACCTGGCTCAGTGCTACACATACAAGAAATACAGATCTATACTTTTTAAATAAACATCTGAGTATATGTTTAATGATGTGCCACATACTGCAACTGAGTTTCTTTTTTGTCGTTTAAGTGTGCTCACTGACACCGCAAACATTAATTTCTAACAACTCATACTAATCTAATTGAACTGCGTGCCAGAAAGGATTTTTTTTTTAAACTTTCCTGGTCTGCTCCTTTGCCAGATTTTTTTCTTCTAATTGTTTCCACAGATGACCTAATACATTCATTCCACTGGCTACTTAACAGACTAACACATTCCACAAGCTATTTAACACCAGTAGAAGGAACTTAGGGTTTCTGCAGATAGAAATGCCCATTTGGGTGTTCAGTGTCTCCCCCATCGCATCATGGGAGCATGGGGAGACTGAGAGGTTTGCACAGGTAAAAGGAAAGCTTTTAAAAAAAAAAAGGAGAGGAAATCTATCACTGCTGTTCCCCACAGAAGTAGACATGAAACTATTACCTGTAACCAAAACAAAATTAACTTCAGAGTGGGTTACTGACAGTTTCTGTCATATGCTCCTAGCTTGCTTCTAAATCAATAACTGCAACAGAGAGAAGAAAGTAGATATCTTCTGAAGAATTACAAAAATGCAATAAACTACACTACCCTCCCCCAAAAAGCCCTGCTTTGGAGTATCTTAAAGTAGATCTCATATAAGGAGCTAAAAAGTAACTATTGGGTTATTTTAGAATGAAATGATAAACGGGCCTCAGAAAGCCCAAGACTTCACTTCTTGTCAGTAGCGACCTTTAAGGCCGATAACATCCCCACTTCCTTTTCTCACCTCGAATGAAGGCAAGAGCAGCTCGGTGCAGGCGGCACAGGCTATGCTGACCCAGGTCACCCAAGTCACCCTCACACTCAGTTAAAGTTTCAAATAGCTGTAAAGGTCTCTTATGGAAAAAAAGCATTCTTCATTCTCCCCAACTTCCCCTCCCCAGAGGCAACTACAGCCTTCGAAAGGAACCTCATGGCCCTCAAAAGGAACCAACCCCACCAACACCTTGATCACAGACTTCCAGCCTCCCGGACCGTGAGACAACACATTTCTGTTGTTGAAGGTGCCCAATCCATGGTACTTTGTTCTGGCAGCCCTACAAAACTAACACAAGTATTTACATCCTTATGACTACACAAACATTACTAAAAGCCTAGCCACATGGTACACTAAGATTATGTTTCTTTCCTATCACTAGTTTCTTTTCCCCTAGAGCTAATACTAGTCTTTTTTTTTTTTTTTTTTTTTTTTTTTTTTTTTTTGCTTAGTGGAGAGTTCACTTAAAAATGGATTCAACTCCAAACTCATCCTCCCTGGTCTAAATCATCTCTCAAGAGGTCCATATGCATCAGATGGTCTGTCCATTTCATCCTCTCTCAGAGCTTTCCAACCTAAGGACTGGAGGCGGGGAGGGCAGGGTGAAAGCTGGGGTGCTCTAATCAATTGGCAAGATGGGCTCTGTCCTTGATACAAGCTCAAAAGACTGCATTATCCGCAAGTCTGGGGAGTAACTGGAGGTTTGGGAGCAGAGAGGAAGTATAACTATAAATATGTGTTCTCTGATGACACCTGCGGCAGAAGGACTCATGGGCAGAGGCTGCAGGTGGCAGGAACACACTAGTTAGACAGCAAACATGGTAAATCAAGTAGGGGAATGGGAACTTGAGATGAGGCAGGGGAATAGAAGCAAGGAGCTTGATTAAGAGACATTCCTGTGGCTGGGCCCAGTGGCTCACACCTGTAATCTCAGCACTTTGGGAGGCCAAGATGGGTGGATCGCTTGAGGTCAGGAGTTTGAGACCAGCGTGGCCAAGATGGTGAAACCCCATCTCTTTAAAAATACACAAATTAGCCAGGTATGGTGGCATGCGCCTATAATCCCAGATACTCGGGAGGCTGAAGCAGGAGAATCGCTTGAACCTGGGAGGCGGAGGTTGCAGTGAACTGAGATTGTGTCACTGCATTCCAGCCTGGACGACAGAGCAAGATTCTGTTAAAAAAACAAACAAACAAACAAAAACACCTGCGTAAACAGAATTCTATGCAATGTGAGTACAAGTAAAAACGGCCTTAATTAAAGATGAAATGACACCTTCCCTCCACACTAATTCCAAACTTCCTTGAATTCTACCTTTGCCACTATGATAAATTCCTTTTTTTAAAAAGGAAAGGGGCTGGGCACAGTGGCTCACACCTGTAATCCTACCATTTCAGGAGGCCGAGGCGGGTGGATCACTTGAGGTCAGGAGTTCGAGACCAGCCTGGCCAACATGGCGAAACCCTGTCTCTACTAAAAACACAAAAATTAGCTGGGTGTGGTGGTGCACGCCTGTAATCCCAGCTACTCAGGAAACTGAGACAGGAGAATCACTTGAACCCAGGAGGCAGAGGTTGCAGTGAGCCAAGATTGTGCCGCTACACTCCAGGATAGTTGACAGAGCAAGACTCCATCTTAAAAAATAAAATAAAAATAAAATAAATAAAATTAAATTAAAAAGGAAGAGGTTGCTTTCTAGGTAATCTGAAACAAAAGCCAGAAAAGTAAACCGGAGAATCATAAAGCTAAAAGAAAATCATATCGCCCAGACCGTGCTTCACAAAAAAAATAAAATCTCACCAGGTGCAGTGGCTTACACCTGTAATACCAGCACTTTGGGAGGACAAGGCAGGAGGATCACTTGAGGTCAGGAGTTCAAGACCAGCCTGGCCAACATAGTGAGATCCCATCTCTACAAAAAGAAAAACTGTTTTTAATTGGCTAGGTGTGGTGGTACACACCTGTAGTCCCAACTACTCCAAAGGCTGAGGCAGGAGGATGGCTTGAACCCAGGAGTTCGAGGCTGCAGTGAGCCATGATCATGCCACTATACTCCGGCCTGGGCAACACAGCAAAGCCCTGTCTCAAAAACAAAATCTCTAAAGATGCAGACTTTACTCAACAATTTATCTCAGTCAAGATCAAAAGTTCTCCATGATTTGTTATATATTCCATCATCACACTCCATATAGATTTGTGGCAGCTCCCAAGAATTCAACAAAACAAAAATATATGACCAATTAGAATCAGGAAAAATATAGCTAGAAGGTCAAGAGCTAGGAAAAGTTAAGGCATCAGTATGTACAGTATATGACCGCCATATAGAAACCTATCGCTTGGTCAAGCCAAGGTTTGTGTTGCCTCATAGCCAAAACAAAAAGAGAAACGTGATCAATTACATGGTTTACATTTTCCAACTGGAAAGGGACAAAAACTTGATAGAGAAAGAAAAGTAACTGGCAGAAAGAACTTCGCATATGAGGCTTTGTGTAGTACAGTGTTTTCAAGATGAAGGCAACCCAGGAACCCAGGTCACAAGAAGCATTTTTTAATGAAACAGAACTGCATAGAAAATATGAGAGCACATCAAATGTTTGTTGTGAAATTACTATTTTTTTTTTTTTTGAGACAGAGTCTTGCTCTGTTGCCCAGGCTGGAGTACAATGGTGCAATCTCGGCTCACTGCAACCTCTGCCTCCTGGGTTCAAGCTATTCTCCTGCCTCAGCCTCCTGAGTAGCTGGGATTACAGGCACCTGCCATCATGCCCAGCTAATTTTTGTATTTTTGTAGCAACGGGGTTTCACCATGTTGGCCAGACTGGTCTTGAACTCCTGACCTCAGGTGATCCACCCGCCTCAGCCTCCCAAAGTTCTGGGACTACAGGCATGAGCCACCATGCCCAGCCTGAAATTACTATTTCAATCATAACTAAAGACAGGTGTGTTTACAAGGCTGCAAGGTAAGATATATTTCTTACTGGAAGATAGTCCCCCAAATTTGAAAAACATCAAGAAGAAATATTAAGTGGACTTAATTTTCAACCCAACCCATGCCTATACCATCCTGCCTGGCTCTGGGTGGTGTGGAGCAAACTGTGCTTTCTGCAGCAAATCGTGGTCTTAACCCATTCTCCTACTGGTTCCTAGGCCTTTGACCCTGTCCAGTGGGCTTGTTTGCACCTTCTGGGCATTCCCCTAGTGGCAGCACCTTTGGACAAGTATAATAGGTTGGGCTCCCTGTCCCCTCCTGGCCTCTCAACCATCTGGCACCTGTCTCTGAGTCCACTTGCCATCTCCCTGCCCCACTGCATCTCAATCTCCCTTGCTTCTGTGAAAGCCTCAGTCAGGGATGGGAAACACAAAATAGTGCCTTTTTCTGCCTGCTCCAAACTGTCTCTTCTCCAGTTTCTCCAAGTTCCTTTTAAAATGTGAACCAAGTATTCATACATCCATTTTCATGGCAGCATAAATGACACTAGCCAAAAGGTAGAAACAACCCAAGTGTCCAAGAGATGAATGGCTAAACAAAATGTACTCTATCCATACTATGGAATATTATTCCCAGCCTTAAAAAGGAACAGGCCAGGCACAGTGGCACACACCTGTAGCCCCGGCAACTCGGGAAGCTGGGGCAGGAGGATCACTTGAGCCCAGGAGTTCAAGACTGTAATGCACTATGATCCCACCTGTGAACAGTGACTGCACTCCAGCCTAGGCAACACAGTGAGATCCCACCTCTAAAAAAAAAAAAAAAAAAAAAAAGAAGTACTGATACATGCTACAACATGGATGAGCCTCAAAAGCTAAGTCAAAGAAGCCAGACACAAAAGGATAAATATTGTATAATTCTACTTATATGAGGTACCCATAACAGCAAAATCATAGAGACAGAAAGTACAAGTGTGATTACCAGGGACTGGGGGGAGGGGGAATGAAAAGTAACTGCTTCATGGGTACAGAGTTTCTGTTTAAGATGATGAAAAAGTTCTGGAAACAGATAATGGTTACACAACCTTGAGAATGTACGTGATGCCACTGAATTGTACACTTAAAACGGTTAAAATCGTACATTTTATGTTATGTATATTTTACCATGATTTTTAAAAGGCATAACCCCAGTCCAATCCAATTTGAGGGATACTCAACAAAATAACTCTTCAAAAGCATCAAGGTCATGAAAATCAAGAAAGACTGGGGAACTGTTACAGACTGCAGGAGACTAGGAGAAATAACTAAATGCAACACGGATTCTGAAGAGGAACCTAGAACAACCACAAAAAAAGGACCTTAGTGGAAACCCTGATGAAATTAAGCAAGATCTATAGTACAGTATTAGATATAGTATAGCATAGTATAGTATTTAGCATATAGCATTTAGATATATAGTATGATAGCAATGTTGATTTCCTGATTCTAATAATAGTACTATGATTATATAATATGTTAACATTATGGGACGCTGGGAAAGGGATATATGGAAACTATACCATTTTTGCATCTTTTCCATAAGTCTAAAGTTTGTTCAAAATAAAAAGTTAAAAATAAAAACAGCAGGCCAGGCGCGGTGGCTCACGCCTGTAATCCCAGCACTTTGAGAGGCCAAGGCGGGTAGATCACGAGGTCAGGAGATCGAGACCATCCTGGTTAACACGGTGAAACCCCGTCTCTACTAAAAAATACAAAAAATTAGCCAGGCGTGGTGGCAGGCACCTGTAGTCCCAGCTACTCGGGAGGCTGAGGCAGAAGAATGGCATGAACCCAGGAGGCAGAACTTGCAGTGAGCCGAGATCCCGCCACTGCACTCCAGCCTGGGCGACAGAGCAAGACTCTGTCTCAAAAAAATAAATAAAAAATAAATAAAAATAAATAATAAAAAAAATAGCAATCCACACTAAAAAAGAAACAGTGTACTATATGAGGACTTCAAAAAGTTCATGGAAAATAGAATTAAAAGATAAAATTATAAATTTTATTTCTCAACATAATCTCCATCAAGGTTAAGGCACTTTTGCAAGTGATGACACCAGCCACTTAGTTCATCCCTAAAGAACTGAGGGTCTTGGGAATTTAACCATGTCAATGCAGTCTTTTTCACATTATTAACTGAAGGAAAATAGGTGATCTTTACAGATTTTTTTTAAAGATTAGGACAAAAAAGGAGTCAGAGCCAAATACAGACTGTGAAGTGGATGCCTAATGATTTCCCCTCAAAATTCTCACAAGATTGCCCTTGTTTGATACGAGGAATGAGAATGAGCAGGAGCATTGTCATGGTGAAGAACTCTCTGGTGAACTGTTCCTGGATGTTCTTCTGCTCATGCTCTGACTTTCTCAAAACACTGTCATAATAAACAGATTTTATTGTTCTTTGGCCCTCCAAGAAGTCAACAAGCAACATGCCTGGAGCATCCCCAAAAACTGTTGCCCTGACCTTTGCTCTTGACCGCTTTTGCTTTGACTGGACCACTTCCGCCTCTTGGTAGCCACTGCTCTGATTGTGCTTTGTCTTCAGGATGGCACTGGGAAAGCCGTGTTTCATCTCCTGTTACAGTTCTTCCAATAAATTCTTCATGATCTTGATCTCACCTGTTTAGAATTTCCACTGGAAGCTCCGCTCTTGTTTGCACCTGATCTGGGAGCAATGGTTTTGCCACCCATTGAATTTGCTCGGTTTTAATTTTTCAGTCAGAATTGTGTGAGCTGAACCAATTGAGATGTCTGTGGTGTTGGCTATTGTTTCTGTTGTTAATTGTCAGTCCTCTTCTATTAGGGCATAAACAAGATAAATTTTTTCCTCGAAAATTGATATGGATAGTCTGCCGCTGCAGACCTTATCTTCAACATTGTTTTGTCCTTTCTTAAAATGAGCTATCTATTTGTAAACTGCTAATTTCTTTGGAATATTGTCCCCATAAATTTTGTGTAAAGCATCAGTTATTTCACCATTCTTCCACTCAAGCTTCACTATAAGTTTGGTGTTTGTTCTTGCTTCAATTTTAGCAGAATTCATGTTGCTCTGATAGGGGCTCTTTCCAAACTGGTGTCTTATCTTTCTTAGTGCCTCAAACTAGATACTATTCAGACATGTTACAGCCAAGTTAGTGTGAGTTTATTTTGGTGCAAAAAAAAAAAAATTTAAATCCATGAATAGTTTTTTCATAATACCCATTTTCCATGAACTTGTTGAAGTCTCCTCATATAGCTCTGTATTACTTGGCTTTGATCCTTATCCTAAAAGAGGTCAGCTCACAATTGAAGTATCCAAATGAAAAACAAGCACTCCAGGGATGGTGGATCAGCATTTGAAAGACTAATCAGAGTCCATTTGCACCAGAGTTGGTTAATTAGCATGATGAAAACAAGCAGTGGCCCTCTGCTCTAGGAATTGGGTGAAAATATTGTGCCACCATCTCCATCCTCAGAAGAACCGCACAAAAGAATCTAGAAATAACAGCAGTCTGCCCCCTTCAGAGAAGAGGCCCAGGACTGTCAGGGGCCATTGTCAACCACTAAAGGAGGACCCTGTCCCCTCCCTGGGGGTTAGCTGAATCCCGGCACTGGAATACAGTGGCATCTGCCTTGAATGTCTCTTTCCCAAAAGGGGCCCGGCCAGAGGGCTCAAGCTTTGCTGAGCTTACAAAACAGACTGCAGTGTGCTCTCTTTTTTTTTTAAAGAGACAGGGTCTTGCTCTGTTGCCCAGGCTGGAGTACAGTGACAGGATCATAGCTCACTACAGCCTTGAACTCCTGAGCTCAAGTAATCCTTCCACCTCAGCCTCCCAAGTAACAGGGACTATAGGTATGTGCCACCACGCCCAGCTAAAGCAGGGCTCTCTTCATGCCTGCTTACTAACAAGTGTCTGAATGAGTGGCCAAAACGTGTCTGAGACTTGCTTTCACTGTAACATACCTCCCAGTCATGGGACCGTGGGAAAGGATGCACAAAGCTCCCACGTACTATTTCTCAAAAGAACTTGTCAGTTCTTCAAAGTCCAAACCAGTTTAAGTTCACAACAGATTATTTGTTAGAATTCTTGAGAACACATTTAAGGCTCTGTGAGCCTGTACCAGACCGGTTTACATTCTCCAGAGCAGAGCCCTCCTGGGACGGGGTCCCCAGCTGGGCTGCTGCTCTCTCCAGAGAGAGTTGTTTGGACAGTGACACCCAACACCCCCCAACCTCCCTCGGGACACCAAGTGGCCACAATGAACCCCTGAGGCTTTTAGTGGCAAGAGTGCACTGGATGTCCAAAAAGTAAGCAAATAAATTTGTTTAGCCCAGCGTCTAAGTTGACTCAACAGTAGAATCAATCACAAAGCCTACAAACAAAAAAGCCCATGCTTTTATTTTCTTTGGGGCCAGATGTAATCAACCCCATCTTCTATTTTCTCTCTCCCAAGGGGCAGACTCGTCTATCATTTCCTGTCCTCATCCCCCTGCTTCCTCATTCCTCGCTCGCTGGCCAGCCCAGCTGCTACCAGTCATCCTAACTCCCTGCTCCCCTTCACAGCCATCCATCCCCAGGCTCTAGCAGCCCCTGGTAAGAGTCTCAGCTGGGATCATCAAAACTCCAGGACCACCCTACAGAGAAACAAGGTATCTGACAAACTTCACAGTCTAGTGGTCTAAGAGAAACCCTCTCAACTTCCTGAAACTCTGCAAATATAGAAGCCATCTTCCACGTAGGCTGCCACCAAAATGATTGCCCCTTTGGCCCTACCCGACATGGAGATTTAGGAAAACAAAGTCCCTGGTGTGGATTGGCAGAACAACACCCCCCCACCCCCTGCAAAGATTTCCACATCCCAATCCCAAGCAAAAGGGAATGAAAGTTGCAGATGGAATTAAGGTTGCTCATCAGCTGGCCTTACAAAAGGAAGAGTCGCCTGGATTATCCAGGTGGACCCAATGTACCCACAAGGGTTCTTAAAAAGAGAGCGGGGGCACAGGAGAGAAGATCAAGTGACACAACCTGAAAAGGACCTGGGTCACTGTTGGTGGCTTTGAAGATGGAGGAAGGGGTCATGAGCCAAGGAATACGGGCTGCCTCTAGAAGATGGGAAATGGAAGGGAACGGGATTTTCCTTAGAGTTTCCAAAAAGGAATGCAGCCCAGTCAGCACTTTGATTTTAGCCCAGTGAGACCCACATCAAACTTCTGACCACAGAACTGTAAGACAGTAAAATCTGTGTTGTTTTAAGCCACTCATTTTATGGTAATTTGTTAGGGCAACAATAGGAAACGAATATACCTGGTTACCAGTACCACCGCTGCGTCTTTTGGACCTGACGGATAAGCGACTGTTAATGAAGTAAAACTCTCTATGCGGAGCCCACAGCACTTTCAAGTCACTTCCCCCGGAAGGCCGGCACCATGCCCCTAGCACTTATGTCCAAAGAAACCAGTGCCCAAGGACTGAAAACACACTGTGGTTTTGTGTCACAGGGCAACTTCTAAATAGAACACTTTGCCTGTGCCATTTTTGTGAGATATCTGCTTGACACAGATCTTTAAAAAGCAAACCCACTCAGAGTTATTTCTGTAACTGAAGGTGGGCAAGAATGGGGATAGTAAAATGAGACTATTACTTATGAAATGAGCAATGGAAGTTAGGCCTATTCTTATTTATCATTTAATGCATTAATCTGCACCTAAGTATGGTGATGACAATTTCCATTTCAGACCACCCAAAACCCACAGTGCATGGGTCTCGGCCTTGGTGGTGTTCTTTAATGGCCTCAAAGCTGTTTTATGCCAGTCTGTTCTTCTGGTTGTTTGGCTGGTGCCATAAACTCACAGCCAGAATTCATTCTTTGCAACGTATTTTTCTTGTGGTAAGTACCCTAAACCCACAGTGAAACAGAATCCTGCTTAATAGAGGGTGGAGGTGGAGGAGGGGAGCCATGTGAAGGTCAGCACTCCCTATTTCAATAGATTTGGATTCTCCTTCCAACTAGCTGGGAGTGGAGGTTCAAACCTTAACAGTGTTCAACTGACAAAGGTCTTGCTCAGTGATTCTTATTGCCCAAGCTTGAAAGTAGCTACGGATCACACAAGCTGGCCTAAAAATAAAAAGCAACGATTTCCAATGCCAGAACAGTGGGGCCATTTAAGCTCTATTTTTAGCAAGTCTCGGTTACCTGGGAAGCAGCATATGGCTCCTATAATTCTTCAAAGAGTGAGAGCATTAAAAGATTGAAGTGCCTGCGATGAATGGGCTGGTCCCCAAATGACTGTACACACACTGACCAAAGGAGACAGCCAACACCCCAGTTGACCCAACAGGCTTCCAAAGGGACCCACCTTCATGCTGCAATCTCTTAGCCATTAGCAACAGTTCAAATATTAAGCCAGATGACGGAGGAGTTTCCACTACCAATTTATGACATTGAAGACTTTGTGTTTTTGACAGGAGGGCATTTTCTAAGCAATTACTCCCTAGGGAGGAAGAAAAGAATCCTGAAGCAAAACACCAGGGACTGGTTCAAGCTAACATAAAGCAAGAGGAAAAAAGAAGAAAAACATCCCGCATTGCAGGGGGCCAGAGACACTTCCCTAAAATGCAGGATGAGAGCCCTGCTGCAGAAATGAGCACTCTGGCTCCCTTACCTCAAATCTACTGTGCCCAACCCAGGGCACCCAAATGTGCCTCTTTACTCACCCAGGAGGAAGTGTGGCAAGCCTGAAAGCTGACCACAACTAAGGAAGATAAAGGAGAAGATTTCTTCTATGGTAGAACCATGGCAGGGAAACTTTGGAGGGGACAGTAAAACAAGCTAGCCCCTCAGCTACCCTGAAGACAGGGCACGCGCTTTACAAGGGGCTGATCATATAAATGGGTCTTTTCTTGGCAAGTTCAATGCAAAAGAAACTTCTGAGGGCTGGATGCGGTGGCTCATGCCTGTAATTGCAGCACTTTGGGAGGCCGAGATGCCAGGAGTTTGAGACCAGCCTGGGCAACATAACGAGACCTCCATCCCTACAAAAAAATTAAAATATTAGGCAGGTATGGTGGTGCACACCTGTGGTCCCAGCTACTCGGGAGGCTGAGGCAGGAAGATCGCTTGAGCCCAGGAGTTTGAGGGTACAATGAGCCATGATCACACCACTGCACTCTAGCCTGCGCAACAGAGCGAGACCCTGTCTCTTTAAAAAAAAAAAAAGAAAAGAAAAAAAAGAAATTTCTGTTAACGGCTAATCAAAGGCCACAGGAAGATTCTCATACATACAGCAGAAGTGGTCTAGGCACAAATGCTGTTGTGTTGCCAAAATTCTCCCATGGATGGCGTCACTGATGATTTTACCTATATTTTAGGCCTCTTGAGAGAAATACTATCCAAACGTAAACAGACCTTACAACACGACAAGGCCAAGAGCAGGGAAAACTGAGTAGTGCTGGCTTTCTCGGTCGCCTCAACCATAGCCAACATGCACTCGAGCAGAAGTCAATATGCGATCCCATTAAATTTCTGAACTGGTTGGGGAAAATGAGGCTCTGGCTTTAAAGTCACATGTTGTTTTCACTCTTTCAACAAAATTTTTCTTTCGCTGCCTGTTGGTGAGACACTGTGCCAGGCATAGTGATACCGGCATAGACAAGAAGACCTGAGAAGGCTGTGGTCTTGGCCTGGGCGCCAGGGAAACTAGTGCTCACAGAGCATAATTTTTGGAGTCCTTGCAGGAACCCACTGGGGCTTCCTGAACCAGCATGTGCCTTCTCCTCAAGTGGTGACCCTTCTCCTGTGCTTCAGGAAGCAGCCAAGTTAGGGGTGGGGAGGGAGGAAAGGGAAGAGGGAATTATGTCTGGCTACAACAAATCGGATTTCCTTGCATTTTCCAGCAGACCAAGTAAAACAAAGATAAATAAGATGTCTCACGAACCCCCCTCAAAAATAAATAACTCATCCCCAATTGGTGGTGTCTTCCTGTTTATAAACCCCAGGAAAGTGAAATTGCAACTGCAGTGTGTATGAATTATTTTAGTCAGACATGCGATTCTCTTCCACCTCCTAAGCAAGAATTTGTCAGCTCCAGGCTAAGAGCCAAGATTTCTCAAGACAGGGCCTAGGACAACATGGAGGGAAGGAAGGAAGGGTCCAAGCACAGTCTTAGTGAAGCCCAGGGAGGCAATGAAAAGGGGCCGAGGATGGTGCTGCTGGATCCAGGAAAGGACAAATGAGTCTTGCTGGCCCCTGCAGACTCCTAAGTTATCACCACAGAAAGTTTGTCCTATCTTATATACAAAAATGAGTGCACATAAATTTGACAAATTAGCGACTTAACCTCCCCCATTATCAGAAGAAAGTGACTGATGAAAGAAAAAAAAATTGATGAAAGAAAAAAGAAAAAGACTTCTAAATCGAGCTGCCTAAAGGAGTAGGGACCTGTAATGACTTCCCAAAGACCCCATCTCCAAATAACACAACATGAGGGATTAGGGCTGCAACACAGGAATGAATAGGAGGGGGATGCAAACGTCCAGTCCACAGCAAGCTGGAGGGCCAGAGGGTATTAGGAAAGGAGGGTTTGATTTGTCTACCTACTATGTGCATGCAATGTATGATGAGGTGATTATTGCACACAAGGCGGCTCTGGCCACGATGTGCTAGTGTGGGCTTTTGTTATTGTTTATTTGTAACACATCTGGGCCCCTACTGTGCGCCGGGATCTTAATACGCACCTTGTCATTTAATCCTAGGGATGCTAGCTGCTCTGTTAGCTTCGCTGAGGAAGCTACAAGTACAACAGTGGATGGGAATGCCCTCCGCAAAAGGACTGTGGCAAACAGAAGACTGATGGATGAAATTGTCACTCATGAGAAAGACCTCAAAAATATGCTTTGTTTTTTAGGATTACTTCAACATTTGAATCCCGACAATCACAAAGTATCAGAAAACAAAGTCCTCTCTTCAGCAAATTCACCAGTTCTGACAACTTAACACTTAAAATATATCCACAGCCATGTGATTGGCAAAAATGCGATGGTATGATATGGCAGAAACTGATCATTCTCTCTAGTACCCATTATCCCCTTCCTCTTTTAAAAAATACAGATGCTTCTCAACTAACCACAGGGCTACATCTGCATAAACCCATCGTGAGTTGAAAATATCCTAAGTTGTAAATGCACTTTTGACTTAGGATATTTTCAACTCACGATGGGTTTATGGGGACATGATGAGGAATGTGCTGAATGCATGTCATTTTTCCACCACTGTAAAATCAGAAAACCATTCAATCAACCCATTATAAGTCAGGGACTGTCTGTAGAACCCATCCCTTCCCCTACGGTAGACAGAATAATGCTCCCCAATCCCCACAAAGTATGTCCATGCCCTAATTCCCCGAACCTGTGAATATGCCACCTAAAGTGGCTAAAGGGACTTCACAGATTTGATTAAGGATCTTGACATGAGGACAGTATCCTGGATTAACTGGCTGATCCCAGTGTAATCACACGGATCTTTAAAAGATGGAAGAGCCGGAAAAGGAAATGAGATGAAGGGAGGAGGGGTCAGGGTGATGTGAGGAAGAGGCCAGAAGCCAAGGCATGCAGTTGACCTCTAGAAGCTGCAAAAGGTAAGGAAAGGAATCCTCCCCTAGAGCCTCCAGAAGGCACTCAGCCCTGCCCACCCATTCTGGACTTCTGATTTCACAAACTAGAATACAATAAATTATGCTGTTTGCAGCCATTACATTTGTGGTAATTTATTACAGCAGGAATAGGAAATTAATACTCCTCTGCCTTCAGATTTTGCTGGGCACATGGTTACACAGCTGGAGCCTGTTTCCTCAGACTCACCTGCAGCTGGGTGTGAGACTGTAGCTAAGTTCTTTGCAATGGGGTGTGGGTGGAAGTGATGTAAGCAGTTTCCATGTCATGTCCTTAACGAAGAGAAGCTACTCCCCGTCTACTTCCCTCTGCCATGGGCTGAAAGGTGGACACAGTGCTGGTGAGCCAGCTCCGACCATGTCCACAAGAGAGAAGGAATCTGAGCAAAGCAATTCACTCACCCTGACCAGTCCAGTGGTCAGGAGGCAGTAGCCTGAGAAGGAAACAGCTATGCTGTCTTGGGGTCTCTGTGATGGCAGTTTAGCCTATATCCCAATATATCTGGGATACCAAATATTGGCGAGAACAGGGAGTAGCAGAGATGTTTACACTCTAGGAACACATATTTTGAAAATCAATTAGGCATTCTCTTCTAAAGCTGAATATTCATATACTCTCTCCTTCCATGAATATGTTATCTTCTTCATTCATTAGTTTGTTCATTCACTCAGTTCTTGAGAACATATACTGGCACAACACTTTGGAAATCCAGCAACTTAAAACCCAGCAAAACCACTCCTTGCTATGCACATTTAAAAAAATACACTTCACACATACACCAGAGACATTCATTCAAATGGTGATGGGAAGTCTGTACATAGCAGCAAAAAACTGGAAGCAAAGCAAAAGTCCATCGGGGAGAAAGGGTAAGTATACAGTGGCATGTTCAAACAATGGAATACCAGACAGGAAAAACACATGAACTGCAAAATCAGAGACAACAAGCAAATCACAAGTCTCTGCAGTTTCGGTCCCAGTTTTATAAAACTAAAAACAAGCAAAACCAGACAATATGTTTGTTTTTAAGAGATACATATGGAAATGATAAAATTATTTCTTAAAAAAGAAGAAAGATGATTTTAAAAAGACTTAGGGTGGTTGCTTCCTCTAGGGAAAGAGGAGGGAGGGGACAGAGCTGGAGCAGTGTTTTAGTTCTTACATCAAGAGATGAGTCCACAACTACACATTTCTTTTTTTTTTTTTCTGAGCTGGGGTCTCACTCTGTTGCCCAGGCTGGAGTGCAGTGGCACGATCATGGCTCACTGCAGCCTCAACCTGCCAGGCTCAGGTGATCCTCCCACCTCAGTGTCCTGGGTGGCTAGGACTACAGGCATATGCCGCCATGCCTGGCTAATTTTCTGTATTTTTTAAATAGAGACAGGGTATCGCCATGTTGCCCAGGCTGGTCTCGAACTCCTGGGCTCACGTGATCCGCTGACCTTGTCCTACCAAAGTGCTGGGATTAGAAGCGTGAGCCACCATGCCCAGCCCACTACTATACATTTTATAATGATGTTTGATGTCATAGACATGACATCAACTATCATATCAGCTTCCAGAACTGATTTTATTGTGTAGCACCACATGAGAAGGCCTCAGAGAGAACTGTGTGAAGGGATTCTCACAGTGGTTTGAAGAGAGAAAAGAGATGGGATAAGCAAGTGAACACAAAAGACCGCACCAGAGCAAGCAGTATGTGCCTGTCACATCACCAAGCAACAACCTCACGGCCGAAGCACACCGCCGTGTCTCCTGTTACTGCTGATCTTCATGGTAGTGGGTTTAAGGCAAAGCAGGAATTATTGGGAAATGTTTTCCTTGTGAGGGGAACTTTAGCACTCATTTGAGAAACCCCATTCTGTTTTGTTTCTCTCTAAACTACCAGTGAGGAGGGAGTTTCAGAGACTGACTAGACATTTTTCTATCTCACAAAGCTGTCTTCTAATTTGATGTGTTTTGCTAAAATTTATATCTTTCCTTCTTTCTGGATAAATAGAACTTTCTCAAACAAACACCCTTTGGTTTAACTGCTTATTTTGTTGGGCGATTCATAAAATGACCACATCACAATCTTCACCCAATTAGGGAAATGAAAGTTAAGAAAAATGAACAATTGAGGGAAACTCTAGATATGTTTGAGGAGTTCCCCTGGTTATCAGATCTTATGCTTAACAGGCACTCAATAAACACTTCTAGAATTTAATTGAATTCCAATACACAGCAGTATTGAGTCAACTGTTTTGTTTGTCCTACAAATTCAAGTCAGGTTATGTTCACAATTTGAAAAGGTAACAAAGGGATAAAGTATATGGTACATATTAGCACCAATGCTTTCTAACATTTATTATCATGAACTTTAGAACTTTCACTGAAACTTGCCCCTGAGATGGCATCATAAATATTCAACTTATTTTTTTAACAGGTACATGAGCTGACATTTGACGTACACTTGGTGGCTGAAGAATGAATACTTTCCACAATCCTGTCCATTACTGAAAGTGATGAATTAAAAAGGCCAAGGCGTTGAGATGGTTCATCCAGCCTGGCTCCTGGGGGTTCTAGCCACCCTTACGTGGTGCCCTTTAAAGCTAAGAGCACAATTTTTTCAGAGGAGTGCATGATGACACAAAGCTAAGCTAGAAACCACAAGGGGATTATTACAGCCACGACCTTTCCCTTGCCAGCAAGGGACTTGGACCCCTATCTCAGCCAAACATGAAGTCACATGGATGGCTCAGGGCCTTCAGGACACAGTTTTCCCTATGGTTCTGGGAAACAAAATTCCCTTAAATATCAGTCAGGTAAAAGAATGGTGGCCGGGCACGGTGGCTCACGCCTGTAATCCCAGCACTTTGGGAGGCTGAGGTGGGTGGATCCCCTGAGGTCAGGAGTTCGAGACCATCCTGGCCAATATGGTGAAACCCTGTCTCTACTAAAAATACAATAATTAGCCGGGCATGGTGACGCATGGCTGTAATCCCAGCTACTTAGGAGGCTGAGGCGGGAGAATCGCTTGAACCCAGGAGGTGGAGGTTGCAGTGAGCTGAGATCGCGCCATTGCACTCCAGCCTGGACAACAAGAGTGAAACTTCATCTCAAAAAAAAAAAAAAAAAAAAAGAAAGAAAGAAAGAAAGAAAGAAAAAGAATGGCAAAAAGCGGGAGAGAAAACAAAGGAACCAAACCCCCAAGGATTTCACCTTTCACTGTGTATCCTCTAATCTTACACCTGAACTCGAGACCAGGATTAATTGCCCCACAGTGGTGCAGTGAAATAGGGACAGTGCTGTGGAACATAAAAGCCCACATGCAGTTGCTTTTAGAAGTATCAGTTGGGGCCGGGTGCGGTAGCTCACGCCTGTAATCCCAGTACTTTGGGAGGCCGAGGCGGGCGGATCACGAGGTCAGGAGATAGAGACCATCCTGGCTAACACGGTGAAACCTCATCTCTGCTAAAAAAAAAATACAAAAAATTAGCTGGACATGGTGGCGGGCGCCTGTAGTCCCAGCTACTCGGGAGGCTGAGGCAGGAGAATGGCGTGAACCCGGGAGGCGGAGCTTGCAGTGAGCCGAGATCGCACCACTGCACTCCAGCCTGGGCGACAGAGCAAGACTGTCTCAAAAAAAAGAAGTATCAGTTGATCTGTCTCCATCTCTCTTCTCTCTCTCTCTCTCTCTCTCACACACACACACACACACACACACACACACAGAGCACATATAAAAGGGATGATAAGCCATATGAACACAGAGTTTCTAGAACTAAAACTGAAAGCAAACACATGGAGGACAAGTACCCTGCCAATTCCCATGTGCCAATTCCCTTGGACTGAACTCTTCTTCCTTCTCATCATCAGGGGCCAGTCCAGTCATTTGGGCATCTATGGAGATAAAGAATGGATATAAAATGCCACACTGCCTACAGTGTGATTTCCTTACAGGATAGAAAGGGGACATATGTCCATCACATCCTCGTCTATATAATATCAAGATCATAGAAGCTACCTAAATGCTCAAATGACAGGGAAATAGTTACATAAATTAAGATGCATGAACTCAAATATTCAGCTACTAAAAACACTGGCTTCAAAGATGACTATGAAGTGGAAAAAACAAGGACATATATATATATATATGTATATATATATATATATATATACATATACATATATATACATGTATATATAAAATACATGTACATATAGCAACAAGTATATATTAATAGTAAAAACCCTGGCTGGGCATGGTAGCTCACACCTGTAATCTCAGCACTTTGGGAGGCCAAGGTGGGTGGATCACCCGAGGTCAGGAGTTTGAGACCAGCCTGGCTAACATGGTGAGACCCTGTCTCTACTAAAAATGCAAAAAATTAGCCGGGCGAGGTGGCAGGCACCTGTAATCCCAGCTACTCGAGAGGCTAAGGCAGGAGAATCGTTTGAACCCAGGAGGCAGAGGTTGCAGTGAGCCGAGATCATGCCACTGCACTCCAGCCTGGGGGATAGAGCAAGACTCTATCAAAAAAAATAAAAATAAAAATAAAGAAAACCTAAAAAGAAATACACCAAAATATTTGGGAATGATAGTAAGAGGAGTTCATAAGAAAAAAGAAATAGTGCCAGGCACAGTGGCTCACACCTGTAATCCCAGCACTTTGGGAGGCTGAGGTGGGTGGATCACTTGAGGCCAGGAGTTCGAGACCAGCCTGGATAACACAATGAAACCCTGTCCCTGCTAAAAATACAAAAATTAGCCAGGCATGGTGGTGTGCGCCTGTAATCCCAGCTACTCGGGAGGCTGAGGCGGGGGGATCCCTTGAACTGGGGAGGTAGAGGTTGCAGTGAGCCAAGATCATGCCATTGCACTCCAGCCGGGGCAACAGAGTGAGAGTCCATCTCAAAAAAAAAAAAAAAAAAAAATATATATATATATATATAAAACTCTAAAAGAAGTACACTAAAATAAAAATCACAGTTATTCTAGAGTAGGGACCCATGGCTGGCTGTGGGATGGAGAAGGCCAGTAACCCTGTCCCTGGCTCTTCCTGCCCTGTGGGATTGAAAATCTGAGGCACGCAGCAATACTGGGTTTGAAGGAAGAAATGGGAGAATGTGGGAAGGAGGAGGAAGTGCAAGAGAGAAGAGGGGTTGAGGGAGAGTGGGCACTGGGGCCAGAGTGGGGTTCCGGGGAGAGAACTGGGGTCGGGGGAGAAAGAAGTGGGCAGAGAGACAGAAAAGGGGGCTTGGGGGCAGATGAGAGGATGGGAGAGAGGAGAGGAAGAGTTGGGGGGGCAAAGTGGGGGGGTGTGGAGGTGTTGAGGGGTGAGAGAAGAGAGGCAGGAGGGGGAAGAAGAAAGGAAGAAGGGCTTAGTAAGAACAGGAGAGGAAGTGTGGAGAAGGGGGCAGTGGAGAAGGGATGTGGGCAATGAGAAGGGTAAGACACAGGGGCCAGGAGAGGAGGGGTGAGGAAGAGAGAAAATAAGAGGAACGGGCTGGGAAGAAAGGGGCAAAACACAGAGGGGCTGAGAGGAAGGGAGAGCAGAAGTGGGGAGGGTCAGGAGGCTGGGGGTGGACAGTGAGGATGCGGGGAGAGAGACTAAGAGGGAAAGAGAAGGTGTGGGGAGAAGGGGTGTGGAAAAGAGGGTGGAAGGGGAGAGGGGGTGCAGGGGAATGGGAGAGAGATGCGGGGACAAAGAGCGTAGGGGAGATGGATCTGGATGAGAGAAAGTGAGGGAGACAGGGTGAAGAGGAGTGAGGGATGAGAGAAAGGGTGAGGGGATGAAGAAAGAGCAGAGAGAGAAAAGGTAGGGGGAGAGAGAGGAGAAAAAGAGGGGGAGAAGGCAGGAGGGAGGAGATAGGCATTAGGGCGAGAGCCCCCTGCCCGCTTTCTGGAGCGCATCTCTACCTCAGGGGTTAACTCGTCAGGCGGTGGCTGTTTTTTACAATGTCTACATCTCTTCCTCCATTTAAAAACCCACAGGTTCCCTAAAAGCGCCAGACGATGTCACAACTGTACCCTTCCCCCATGGCATGCTATCACCAACCCATCCAAGGGCCCCCAGAGGCACAGACACACTTTTTAACGGCCGCCAACTCAATAGGTGACATGGAGCTTAGTCACACAGTTCAGGAGCTCAAAGGATTAAAATAGCCCCATTACTCTGAAGCACAACTGTTCTCGGCTCCGACAAGGGCCCTTCCTCAGGGAGCCTCATAGAAGGGACTCTGTGAGGATGGAATGAACATCCTGGATGGCTAGAGCACAGAAGAGGCCACACGGCCTCACATCAGTCACTCCTTTGTCAAGAGGAGGGCAGGGAAAATGAATGCCAACACTGGCAGGCGGTCTAGCATCCTCACTGAGAGTGCCTGGCCCGAGGGCAGCCCCGTAGCACCCACTCCTCCACAGGGCAGGGCTTCATTTGGGTCCTCCATGCGCCCTCCTTCAACATTTACACCAGGACTGGAACTGAGCACCTCCCGCCCACCATGGATGTGGGCATGGAGCAGCCACCTGTGTATATGGAGGGTGGAGGTGGGAGGAGACAGAAGCTCCGGTGGGCTCAGTCTCACTAACAAAAATGTGGAACTGGGACCAAATCAAGTCACACTTAACAGGCATTTGGAACTGTGGCATGTGCCCCATGAACAAGTCACACAGAAGAAAGGGGACAGGGAGGAAGCATGGCCAGAGGGCACACTGGGCAGCTGGCCCACACCTAGCTCCAGCTGCTGCTTCTTGGGGTCCGGCTCCTCCAGCAGGCACCCTTGGGTTGCATGAGAGGTCCCTGTGGCCCCAGAATAAGCATCCCTTTTGCTCAGGTTAGCGGGCCCTGCTTGGCTTCTATCATTTGAAGAAAGTCCTTACTATATATACAACATGAAAGTGGGAAGACTGTTCCTGAGTTCAAAACCCAGATGGGTTAAGGCCGGGCGTGGTGGCTCACGCCTGTAATCCTAGCGCTTTGGGAGGCTGAGGTAGACAGATCACCTGAGGTCGGGAGTTCCAGACCAGCCTGGCCAACATGGTGAAACCCCATCTCCACTAAAAATACAAAAAAATTAGCTGGGCATAGTGGCAGATGCCTGTAATCCCAGCTACTCGGGAGGCCGAGGCAGGAGAATCGCTTGAACCCGGGAGACACAGGTTGCAGTGAGCGGAGATCACACCACTGCACTCCAGGCTGGGCAACAGAGTGAGACTCTGTCAAGAAAACAAAAACAAACAAACAAAAAAAACACCTAGATGGGTTAAGATCCAGGACAAAGTTTCTGTCAATTAATAACCCAGATCAGCTGAGCCTCAGGACAATAGAGCAGTCTCCTGGAGAACTTTTCCGAAGTCCACCTATCCCTCCATCAAAACTAGATGGAAGGACTAGGCATAGCGTTCCAATGCACATCTCCGGGGGGGAGAAAATCCCCAGCTAGACAGAAGTTCACCCATCATCAATTAATCAGGACGTTAAAAAAGGAGGGGAAAATAACAGAAATGCCTCTGTGTTGGTATACATATGAAAGCTCCCTGGAAGAAAACTTGAGAAACAAAATAGCAGCAGCCTATGGGGAGGGTCACTGCATAGCTGAAGGACAGAGATGGGAGGGAGACTTTTTCCCGTAAACACTTTTTCACCTTTTGAATTTCGAATCCTGGGGATATATAACCTATTCCAAAAACTAACTTTAAAAATGTCTCAAGCAAGCAGCTGTAGTCATTATGCCCCAGAAAACAGATGAAGACAGTGTGAACTGCTTCCCCCTTTCCAATTTTTTCTTCAATTGGTGAAATCTTCCACCTCACTTTTCCCCCCACAATCCACCCTCCGCAAGCCAATTACTTTCATTTGTTTCCTGACAGCCAAAAGCAGCAATTAAGCTTTAAAAAAATCACCATCAATTAACAAACACTTACTCTGTCCATCCTGCTTCATGGATCACAGATGAGCTCATTGACCTACTGTATTTGAGTTGACACCTCTCTTTGCCATCTAATAGTTTGTTGAGAACAAAGGGGTAATTAGAAATCACTGGCTAAGTGGTTTAAAACTGTCCCATTTCGGTCAAGTTGTGAAGAGATGTTTTTGCTGGTTTTGTTTTGATGATCAAAACAGGAGAAAGGCAAAGTTCATTTACGAAGTCACTTCTGTCAAGTGAATTTGAGAAGCTATTATGTAAAATGCTCATCAAAAGACAGCACCCAGAACACCCTGGTGAAGAAAATTGAGGTCCATGAAGATGCTGGCTAAGAGGAGGGGGCAGCAGAGCAAGAATGGCCTTTCCCAGTCTTCATCCAAAATGAGGGCCAAGCGTCTCCGTCTAGCTCCAGGCACAAACCTAAGAACTAGCTGGAATAATTAGACAGGACACTAAGCTAATTAAAGACTTTTCACATGGGGAGGTAACATGTGATGGCTAAAACTGGTGCAGCCCCAGAGGACCAGACCTAGAACATGGCCCCAAGTCTTCTAAGTCTAGAACAGTCCAGAAAAATCTGGCAAAAACACAAGGGCTGGTGTTTGCATACTGGCTGGTAAGAAGCTCAAGTGTAAGGAGATGGTTGTTTAAACTGTCTATACATGCTGTACTTGGGTGCTCAAGGACTTAAATTTATTATGCCAAATGAGTCATTAATAAGCATTGAAATGTTTATAGTATTTTATCCAAGATAGAAATAACAGTATGAACTGAACTGCACTTCATCTTGCCACTCTGTCACCCACACCTGGAGATGGACCAGCCTCCAGCAGTGCCCCCACCACTTCCGTGGCCACAGAAAGGAAGTAAGCAGAGGCCTTTTCTGGTCTTTTCTTGCCAACTGGATAGTATTCCGTTAGGACAAGTATCACAGGATTTTTGTTATTAGTGTTTTTTCTTTGTAAGGCTAAATATAAGCACAGTTGACCACAGAGTTAAGACCCATGAGCTACCTTTTGCCTTAAGCATCCCCTAATGAAAACTACAGAACTGCCTGCAAGATATTTATCCATAAGATAATGATCAAGTTGAAAACCAAGTGCTCATGATCACAGGTTGCTGGTGGACCTTTGCCAGCTGAAGGAATTTAAGTGAAGAAACGTGGAATGATATCAACCATGTGTGTGAATTCGAGGGATCTGTTTGGCACTGCAGTGTTTTCTCCCATGATGTAGACCTTTTTTTTTTTTTTTTCCTTGAGACACGGTCTCACTCTGTTGCCCAGACTGGAGTGCAGTGGTGCGATGTCGGCTCACTGTAGCCTCCTGCTCCCAGGTTCAAGTGATTCTCCTGCCCCAGCCTCCTGAGTAGCTAGGACTACAGGTATGTGCCACCACGCCTGGCTAATTTGTGTGTGTGTGTGTGTGTGTGTGTGTGTGTGTGAGAGAGAGAGAGAGAGAGAGAGAGAGAAAATAAAGGGCCTCCCAAGGAAATATCAACCAAAAACACACACACACACAAAAAGCCACGCTTTCCCTTTTCCTATCTTCCTTTGGAATCTCAACTGGGATCCTTGGGCTTCCAAGTGTTCTCCAAATTGGCTGGCTGGTCCAGGAACCCCCAGGGGACATGGATTCTGACCTTCAAGTTAGAAACTTACTAGGGAGGGGTGATTTTAAAAAAAGAAAGTTTTGGAACTAGATAGTGGTGATGGTTGCAAAGCATTGTGAATATACCCAGTATAACTATACACTTAAAAGTGGTGAAAATTGCAAATTTTGTTACATGTTTTAGCATAAAATTAATAATGTACCAAAACCCATTGAATTGCACACCTTAAATGGATAAATTGTATGGTATGCAAATTATACATCAATAAATCTGTTTAAAAAAAACTTACACCCTGGTGTGATGGCTCATGCCTAATCCCAATGCTTTGGGAAGCCAAGGCAGGTGGATCACTTGAGCCCAGGAGTTCGAGACCAGCCTGGGCAACATGGCGAAGCCCCATCTCTACAAAAAAATACAAAAATTAGCTGGGCGTGGTGGCACGCACATGTAGTCCCACCTACTTGGGTGGCTGAGGTGGGAGGATCGCTTGAGCCTGGGAGGTCGAGGCTGCAGTGAGCCTTGATTGCGCCACTGCACTCCAGCCTGAGCAACAGAGTGAGACCCTGTCTCAAAAAATAAAAAATAAAAAACTTACTACGGAAAGAGACTGTAGCAAGAGCCTCACGAGGGGAAGCAGGAGCCTGACATTTTCTGAGCACCTACAGAAATTGGGCGGGGCTGGTTCTTCCATACTGGAAGGCAGTTGGGTTCTACCACTAGGGGACCATTGTCACTCTGCCTCTCTGAGGCTCAGTCTCATCATCTGATGTCATGGGCCATGACTGCCAAGGCTCCTTCCAGCACTTCAATGCCAGGGACCAATATGTGAGTAGCAGAGGACCCATCGCCTGTCCCCCCACATAAAAGCACATCCCAATAGAAAGACAAAACATTACAGGGGCCAAACACTACCAGAAGCAAGTTTAACAACTTCGTGCCCCAAAGCCCTTGCCTCTCCCCAGCTTAACTACCTAGGTATCAACGGAAGAGAGGCAAGAGTTGTGTTAAGACACTCTCCATTCAAAGAACAAAATGGTGAAAGTCCCAAAGAGTCCTGTTCTCTAGTGACTTGTAGGTTCGTGCATAAAACGAAGACTGTGGTTACATACAAAGCCTTATGTTCCAGAAGGACTGATAATGAAGTAAGGAAATGGTGCTCCAGCCATCTGTGTTAATAAGCCCCCGGGGTTCCCCCAGAGCAGGCTTCCTTAACCTCAGCATGACTGACATTTGGGGTCAGATAACTCTTTGTTGTGGTGGTGCGGGGGGCGGCTGGCCTGTGCATCGTAGGATGTTTAGCAGCACCCCTGACCTCCACCTAGTAGATGCCAGTAGAATGACTCTCCACTCCCCTGACCCCCGCCACCAGCTGTGACAACCAAAAGTGTCTCCAGATAGTGCTGTGTCCCCCTGGTGGGGAGAATTGCCCCCAGTTCAGAACCACTGCCAGAGAGAATTTTCTATCTTAAAATGTGCAGTTCTTTGTTAAAGCCATGTAATACATGTGGCATCACCCTTCTCACCCACTACAGTGTGGGCCACCAGGAACTGTCAGCAAACAGACCTTGTCAACATGCTCTGCCCAGGGGACTTTACAGAATTGCACACTCACTCCTGGTGGTCCATAGTCGTGGAGAATTGCAAGTTGTAACCGTATTTGGGTGAAAGGGTTACATGTTCATTCATTAACATATGGCACTTACTGTATGCCAGGCAATGTGCCAGGGCAATGGAGCTGAGCAGATCCAGTTGGAGATGGAGACTTAATACAAGAGGAAATGTTGTATCACTTTACATTGCATGCCTGTATCAAAACATCTCATGTACCCCACAACTTTATACACCTGCTATGGACCCACAAAAATTAAAAATAAAAAATGTTTTAAACAAAGTATGGTACAGCACACCTTTGGAGCAGGCTCCCACAGATGCACAAGCGGTGTGGGAGGCTGAACAATGACTTCCCAAAGATGGCCATATCCTAATCCCCAGAACCTGTGACTATGTTCCCTTCCATGGCAACAGGAACTTTGCAGGTGTGATTCACCAGGCATCCTGAGAAGGGGAGGGGATCCTGGATTATCCAGGTGGGCCCAGTGTCAAACAATGGTCCTCATAAAAGGCAGGCAGGTGGCTCGGTGAAAGATAGGAGATGCCAGGACTGAAGCAGAGGTTGGAGGGCTGGGGTACGAGTGAAGGAGGTAAAGGCACTGCAGGCAGCCTCTAGAAGCCGGGCAAGGCAGGGAAATGAATTCCTCCAGAAAGAACGCAACCCTGCTGACACCTTGATATCGACCCGGTAAGATCCATTTTGAACTTCCGACCTCTAGAACTATAAGATTACACATTTGTGCTGTTTCAAGCCACTAGGTTCACAGTGATTTGTTACTGCAGCAATAGGAAACTGATACAGGGAGTCTACAAGGCAGAGGAGAGAGTGACATCTGTTCCCCATGAAGGGAAATACGTGGGCAAAGTCTCAGAGACCTGAATGAGCTTAGAATAAGCGAAAGCATTGGTGGCTGCCGAGCTTCACGAAGGCTTCACTAAGGCATTCAGGATCTAAAGCATTTGCAGAAGGGTAGACACATAGGGTCAATTCCAGAGCCACTTAGGGCTTGACTGTACATCAGAAGGGGCAGGGAAAGGGGAAGGAACAAGAGGCAAGGAACAATAGCAGCGTCCCTGTGGAAGTGACAGGAAAGATGGTGATACCCTCAATGAAATGGGAAGTAAAAAGAGGCAGGGCAGGCATTACAGAGGAGAAATGCTGTGCTTAGTTTGCAACATGCTCAGTCTGAGGCGTCTAAGACACACCTGGGTGAAGTTAGCTAGGAGAGGATACCAATGATAATCAGCTCAACCAATGTTAATCTTAGGCTTACAGTGTACCAGGCACAGGAACACAATGACCAAACTGACGAGGTTCCTGCCCTTGTGGTGCTTATAGTGGGTGGGTCCTGAGCTCAGAACAGAGACCAAGACTGGGGACAGATGTGGGCATCGTCAATAGGCGACACCTGAATTGGCAAAGTGGCTGCAATCACTCAAGGACACACTAAACATAAGGGGACCAGAGATGACAGCATTCCACAGGTGGACAGGGGTGGAAGAAAAGAAGGGAGGACTGTAGGAGAAATCAGGAAAAAATAGGGTGTTCTAGAAGACAAAGACTTCCAGTCTTCAATCTCAAGCTTCAGTGAAGTCAAACATGGTGAGGCCTGAGACCATGTACTTCGTGATTGGAGAAGGATCATTCAGGATAACCTCAGCATGATCAGTTTCTAGAACACAATCAAGGCAGTGCCAGAGTCCTGGTAGGTGTAGGGCAGGCTATGTGAGGAAAGGGGAAGAGTGGGACAAGCTGTCTCAAAAAAACAGCAGTGAAGAGGAAAGGTGAATGCAAGATGTAACTTTAAGGCGGCTTTATTAATAAACTGTAAAAATCTAAATAGAACCAAAGATGGAATCTTCCCAAGGAGGGACAGGGCAGTTGACTATGAACACACAGTTATCCAAGAGAAACCAGGAAACGTCAGGTCCACCACAGGGCAGTGTAGTGGTCAGAATAACATTCCCTCCCCGCCCCCAGATGCCCACATCCTAAAGCCCAGGATGTGTGAATATTAGGTTACAAGGCAAAGGGGAGTTAAACTTACTGATCAGCTGACCTGGAGATGAGGAGATGAGCCTGGAATATCCAGGTGGACCCAATGTCATCACAGGAGTCCATACACATGGAAAAGAGGGGCAGAAGAGTCAGTAACAATGATGTGATGGGAGAGAGAGCTGCCCAGCCGTTGCTGGCTTTGGAGAGAGGAAGAGGCCACAAGCAAAGGAATGCCAATTCTGGAAGCTGGAAAAGGCAAGGAAAGGGATTCCCTCCTACAGCCTCCAGAAGGAATGCAGCTCTGCTGACTTCGTGATTGTCGCCCAGTGACGGATGATAAACATGTGATGTCTCCAGGCACTAAGTCTGTGGTAGGTACAGCAGCAATCAGAAACGAATACAGGTACCAGGTATAGAAAATCATGAACAAATATTACACCCTGGAATAATGCAAACAGTGTAACTTAAAGTCCCCTTTAAAGAGGATGGAGGGTAAAGGATGCTGGGAAGTGCCTGTGTGATACTCTGGTAAAAGTCTCAGAGACTAACACTGAGATCGGCTGCCTAGTGTCACTAATGCCTAGGTGTTGGAGGTCTGGGTTGGACTGGATTCGTGGAAGAATCCACACTGTACTGTCTTAACACAAGAAGTGTGTTTTGAAGTAGGAGTATGTCTTTCTCCTCTAAGGTAATGAGTCACTTATAACAGTACTTATAACATAAGACTTATAATAGTCTTATGAACAGAGTGCCTTGTGTACCCCAGTGAACCACGAGCTCCGGATGTCAGCTTTCTCAACTGTAAGGCAAGGAGGGGTTCTACACTGGACTATGATCAGAACCACCTGGAGGACTCATGAAAATGCAGATTGCTGGGCCCCATCCCCAGCATTCCTGATTCAGGAGGTCTGCTGGAATGAAGCCAGAGAATCTGTATCTCTAACGGGTTGCAGGGGAGGCTGTGCTACTGGCCTGGGGCCACCCTCTGAGAAGCGCTGCATTAGAGGCTCTCCTTCTCTAACACTAAGTATTTGGGCTATTTTCCTGTTCTGCGTCTTTCCCATTAGCACTGACTTCATGGTTCTCAGCAGCTTGCTCTTTCTCTGTCACTCTCTCTTCCCTTAGTATAGCATTTCAGATGTCCATCGTGCTTAGCATTGAACAACAGTCCAGGCTATACCTGGTTGATATGAAGTAGCCACAGATATACCTAGAAAGCCATTTTCCTCCCCCACTGCCTCCGATTCCCTGCCCCTGCCTGTCACATAGTTAACTCGGAGAAAGAGCAGTTCTTCTGGCTGGGAGCTGGCCAGGCACCCACAGCTGGGCCAGGGTGTCCTGTTGAACAGAAACAATTCCCTAGAAAACCAACATCAGACAAGGCCACTCTGCGACCAGGATGGAATAAGATGAAAACAAGACCACACATTAATCATGTCTGAACACGGACAAAACATGCACCTTGTCCAAACCACACACATGACCAAATATCCCCCAATCCTGGATAATGCAAATGACTGCTGCTGCTTTACCAACCATAGCTGTGGCCTGCCTCCAATGTTCCCTGCTCCTAGAGAACATTTGTTAAAATACCCAATCACAAATTCCCCCTGGTAGCATCCAATCCAAAGTAATGCCCAGCTTCCTTAAACACGCCCTCAAGCCACCTGACACAGGTGCAAGCCCTCTAAGTCATCCTTCCTTGTACCATCTTACTGAGATGCCCCGCGGTTCCCACGGTGCTCGTTTTCAGTCTCTGCCACAAGAACCAGGTGTGGCTGGAGGGCAGTGATGACTCATACTCAACCAGATTTCTGCTCAAACACAATCTCCTCTAAGACACTGTCCTGGGCACTCTCCAGGCTAAGTCAGATTGGCCTTCTCCACTCATCTTTCATGCGCTCTACTATGGCTTTCAGCTACATACTGCCATGAGAATTGCATTCAAGTCAGCCTTCATTAGACTGAGAAGCCCAAAGTGTCATGTCTCTGTTCTGCACCTGTTCTTAGCACAGTGCCTATGCAAAGAAGATCAACAAACATTGGATGGATGGATGGATGGATAGATGAACAAATACTGCTGTATGCAAAATACATTAAAAACAACTACAAACTCAAGAGTTGATGAGAGAATGTCAGTAACGCCAAAAGAACTGAAGTAGTAAGAGAAGAAACCACCAAGGTTTGTGTAACCAGAGCCACAGCAAGCTTTTGCTCGTGCCAAGATGGATAGAAGTGGGTAAAGCTTATGTACAATTAAGGTGGGAGCCTTTTCTTCCATTTCTAACTCAAGACATTTGTACAGACCAACACATTATGTTCATTTTAGCTTTAGTTTAGCATACAGCAGTCTACCGCCAATACAATAAATACATTGCCAAAGGCTATCCAAACTTTGTTGTTACTCTGGAATTAAACAGAAATCATTTGTGGGCTTGCAAACCCTTCACTACTCACAGATTTGGGTCACCATAATATCTGTTTAATTGTAATTATAAGAGGCTTTCTCTGTGTCTGGCACTGTAGGCATGCATCTCCTAGCAAGTTCAGAGGGCACATTCTGATGGGCTTTTATAAGAGGCCATGTTGCAACTAACCAGCTTCACTTCAGGGTTAGGGATTTGGTTCTTTTCTGTTATTTTTCAGAAAACGAAATATAAGATACAGTTTTACTATGTTATCCATCAAGAGAAAACTCATTATCAGGCCAGGTAAGAATATAAGTGTATCAGAATCAGGCACAGTGGTGTGAGCGTGCAGTCCCAGCTACTTGGGAAGATCTGGAGTCCAGGAGTTCAAATCCATCCTGGGCAACACAGCGAGACCCTCCCTCTTAAAAAAGAATAAAATTGCATCAAATTGATAAACTGGATAAATCTGAAAACCAGAGACTTGGGGGAAAGGGTGGGCCTCTGTCTGCATACACACAACCTCAGCCCATTAGATCACTCCATTGGAAGACATACAGAATGAACCGTTAAATAACTGCACTTCATTACAAATATACTGCTGGAGATGCTTTCAAAAGAGCAGGTGATTTTTAGCCACAAACTACTATAAGCACCTTAAATCCCACTATAAACATGAATTAAATTACATTCGTTTTGACATTATCACCTCTAAGTATTAACTCCTGAAATAAATGAAAATCGATGCCCCCTCCCCCTGCAATAATGGTTGCAGTAAAGATTAAGTACAAAAGGACTAAAAACTACAGGAGCACTCTATTTTTCGTAGGAAGTTCTGAAGAATGAAAACAGTTCAAATCTGAAAAATAGGTCTGATTCTTCTTAAATGAGACTCAGTCCCCTTCTCATTGAGATACAGAAAGCACAGTCTGGCCATGGGAGAAGACATTTGGATTAACTTCTTTTTGTGCATAACCCTCTCGGTGACCCACCCAAAATGAAAGGTGATCAAAACAGAATTTTTGGTTACCTCGGGAGAAATTAACCCATTACTAAAGTGGCCTGTAAGGTTTAAAGTATATACTTCTGCCAATGAACTAAATCATCTTATGGGCCAAAGCAAAACAAGAGTGAGCTAAGTGTTCTGTCCCCAGCAGAGGAGGAGGATTTCATGCCCCTCATTCATTCATTCAACAAATATTTAGGTCCTGCTCTGTGCCACACACCAAAAGTGCTGAGCAAACTATGCAACACTGTGCTGTCCCTATGGTCACAGAGCTTACAGTAGAGGAGATAACTGTTACGCACAAATATGTAATACTGCTACGAAAAAAAAAGGTGTTGTATGAGAAAATGGAACAGGAACCAATTTAGACTACAGGTGGGAGAGAAGGGCACTGTGAAAAAAGTGACATTTAAGCCAAGGGGACAACAGATCACCACTACTTAGAAAAGGAAAACCTTTTTTGGCAAATGACCACAAATGGGATTTTAACTTTGCCTGTCAACAACGGACTGGGTTAAACCTCCTCTTTTCCAATCCTTCAGGCTTTCTGAACATCCTGACTAGTGTACTGGAATCCTATTACCTGAACACAGAAAGGTCTCACTTTATTATGATTTATTATTATCTGCAGCCTTCCTATGCCTGGCCTAGGAACATCCAAAAATAATCTGCCAGAGGCTGAAAAACAGAAGCTGGCTGTCAGCAAGAACATTACCTGGGTAGACCAAACATTTAATAGCCCAAGTAATCATAAGTGCCTTGCCAATAAAGTGGCAGCTTCTCTGGGCAGCAAGGTGGTTCCAATGCTCCGGGGTCTAAATCAAATGGGACCCAGGGGGTTCAAAGGTTAGTTGGCTACTTCGAACTGATGTTTACTCAGTAAATCAAAGACCGGATCACCATTTCCAGGTCCCAGACCCTGAAGACTTAAAGGACAGTATGGGAAGTGGCCTTTTAGCATCACGGAGCAGAGAGCTCGCCAGGCTGGAGGAAGGCAGCAGCGAAAGGGTCGGGGCCGGGAGGAAGGGGGGCGCAAGGAGAGGAGCGTCAGGTGCTCTGGACCCCGGGACTGCGAGCCAGACCAGGAACTGGGGCGTTTCCCGCCCCACCCCCCAACCCCTGTCAACCCCCAGCAAAGGCAACCCAGCCCCCTCCAAGACCCCGAGGTTCCAGCTTCCCCCGAGACAGGACCAGGAAGACACCAGCAGCCCCGCGCAGGGCCGGAGCCCACCAGGTCCGGGTGCCCGTGTCCGCAGCGCAGAGGAGGGCGCGCTCGGGTGCAAAAATGGCCAAGACAAAACTCTCCCCGCCCACCCGAAAAACCAACCACACCCCCTGCATCCCTCAGCCCGAGCCGCCCGGGGCCAGCCCCCGTGATCGTCTGCTCAGGCCCCCGCGGGTTCCCGTCGGCGCCGCGCGCGGGCTCGGCGGGCACACGGGCGCAAGTGGGAGTGAATGGGGGTGCGCGAGGCAGGCGAGGGCGCCCACCGCGGTGTCCCCCGTCCGGACCCTGCCCCCGGGGCGCCCTCCCGGGCTCCGCGGTTCTGGGACTGGCGCGCCGCCCTCAAGGCTGAAGTGGACGCCCGGACGCGGGCGGCCCCCACTCACCCATTGGCGTCGAGCCGGGCCGGGCCGCCGAGGCAGCGTGAAAGTTGGCGGAGGCGGGCGTGGGGGTTGGGGCGCCGGGATCGGGGCGCTGGGATCCAGGCGCGAGGGTCCGGACGCGGCGGCGGCTGGGCCGGCTTCTTCCTCAGTGGCGGCGGCGGCGGCTCAGCGCCGCCCGCTGCTGCCTCTGCTGCTGCTGCCGCTGCTGCCCCGGGGCGACTCCTGCTGCTGCTGTTGCATCGCGGCCCAATGCGCCCGGCTGCGCCGGGTTTCCTGCTCCCCGCGAGTGGAAATTGCGAAAAAAAAAAAAAAAAAAAAAAAAAAAAAAAAAAAAAAAAAAAAAAAAACAGCGCCGCCCAGCCCAGCGCCCGGCAGCCGCGGCCGCGCCGCCCGCTCTCCCCTCCTCCTCAGCGCTGCCGCGAGGCTCCTGCAGCTCCGCCTGCCGGGGACGCGCGGCCGCCGGGCGGGGGCGGGGCCGGAGAGGGGCGGGGCCGGGGCCGGGGCCGCGTCGGGGCAGGCGCCGGGGGCGTCCCTGCGGCTGAGGGGCTTGGGCGCCCTCCTCACCGCCCGCGCCAGAGGCACCCCTCTCCGCGCGGCTGCCACCCACCCGCAGCGGCTGGGCTGACGCCCCGGGAAGTGCCGCGAGACTCCTCGAGACCGGAGGAGAGGGGCTTCTTGGGGGAGGGGCGTGGGAGTGCAGGGGCACGTGGAGAAGGAGGAGAAGGGGGCTGAGCGGGAGGGGGCGACAAGAGGTGGAGGACGGGCTGGGGATGGAGACCAGGGCAGGCCCGGGGCCAAACGCCTGACCAGGGTGATGGCAGGTGGCCCTGGGGCATCGAGGCAATCTGGAATGAGTTTTCCCGGGGGGCTGTTGGAGGGGAAGGAAAAGGGTCCCTTGGAAGGGAGAGAAACGCGGCGTCCCTTCGGTGGGGCGTGGGAACGCAGGCAGGCCAGGTGCGAGTTCCGCACAGAGGAGGCGGTGGCACTGACGTGGGGAAAAACGGGCGAAGGACGCAGCGGGGCCGAGGGGACGCATCGCCTCGCTGGGACCCGCCTAAGCCCCGCCCCAGTGCCTGGGCCAGGTGCGGTTCGGGTGTTCAGGAATGTTCCCGAGCTCTGACGTTCCCAGGAATCCGCTGAGATGAGGGCTGGCTCCCTCCCTAGCAGGCATTATTGTGCCTTACTGACTCCCAGACCTGGACGGCCGACCCTTGAGTGGGCGCTAAAATGTTAACAGGGAATCCGTGGGCATTCGTGGGCAATTCAGAAGCTCCGTTTTGGGTCCATTCACCACCACACCTTTCGCCATAGATACTCTGCCTGCCACCACATTCCTCTACCGGCCCGTTATTTCCTTTTCCCTTTCCACCATCTGGTGGTAGGAAGCGATAGTGAACTACATGGGAGACATTTAGGCAAAGAGCACGTAAGACAATAGAGAAATTACATCAGTGGCCCCTGGAAATGGAGGAGGCTGAGGGCTAGTGGACTCAAAAGGGACAAATGAAAGCCGACCCCCTACCCAAGAGAGGGGCTGTCTCCATACCTCACCTGTGTTGGCGGGGCAACTCTTGTAAATTGGTTACCGTCCTGGGATTTCTGTAGAAAATTGTTCTTATAACTGTTTCATGAGTTTTTCAAAAAACCTCAAAGTCAGGGTCTTACAAACAAGAGATCAGTAGCATCATCTTTCTAAATACCGTTCATGTGTGTCAAACCGATCGAAATAGGAGACTAATCAAGGGACAAGAGGCCCATCCACACAGAGGCTGCAATTGAAGTCCTAGTGTCATCAATATCAGACTCCTAAAAAAGGGATCAGAGAACACGGAGATTAAGAATGTGAAGGCCGGGCGCGGTGGCTCACGCCTGTAATCCCAGCACTTTGGGAGGCCGAGGCGGGCGGATCACGAGGTCAGGAGATCGAGACCATCCTGGCTAACATGGTGAAACCCGGTCTCTACTAAAAAATACAAAAAATTAGCTGGGTGTTGTGACGGGCGCCTGTAGTCCCAGCTACTCCGGAGGCTGAGGCAAGAGAATGGTGTGAACCCGGGAGGTGGAGCTTGCAGTGAGCCAAGATCGTGCCACTGCACTCCAGACTGGGCGACAGAGCGAGACTCCGTCTCAGAAAAAAAGAAAAGAAAAGAATGTGAAGTGGGCCAGGCACGGTGGCTCACGCCTGTAAACCCAGCACCTTGAGAGGCCGAGGTGGGCGGATCACCTGAGGTCAGGAGTTCAAGACCAGGCTGACCAACATGGCGAGCCCCTCTCTCTACTAAAAATACAAAAATTAGCCAGGCGTGGTGGTGCATGCCTTAGTCCTAACTCCGTGGGAGGCTGAGGCACAAGAATTGTTTGAACCTGGGAGGTGGAGGTTGCAGTGAGCCTAGATGGCGCCACTATACTCCAGCCTGGACGACAGAGCGAAAAACTCCGTCTCAAAAAAAAAAAAAAAAAAAAAGAATGTGAAATGTTGAAGGCAGGGATGATGAATACTCAAATATTCCTCCTCCAGGCACCCTGGTGCCTCACTCATTACATGTCTTGTTATATCATGTTCTAATCAGGGCAATCAAGCCTTCTGATACCATCTTAGAGTTGACAAACACTGAAACTCACAGAGCCTGGATAAACCCTCTGCTACTGGGACATTTTTTTTCCCCCAACCCCAGAAGAACTGGTATGGGGGTCTGCTCAATTCCAGAGGTGGTTCTCTTTGGTAAGGCCGTATCAGTGGGTCATCCTAACCCTCTCTCAAAGAGCCTCAGACCCCTGAAAGTGATGGGGTACATTTCAACATGGCAACAGTTGTGCTGGCCTTGCAGTGGACTGTTATCTGGAGTGCTGAAGATTCTTGGCTGGTTGCCCAGTGCATTCTCACAATGATGAGTCAAAAGTCTTTGAACATTGTTGATGATACCTTCCCATAGCTAAACTTACCCAGGCATCACAGAGGCCACTACACCTAAACCAGCAGATGGGGTGCGGGAACCCTGTCGGCTCAAAGAAAAAGAAAAAATCAGCAGTTTGTCTTATGTCCTGCTTGGTCTCTCTGTCCTATGTGGAGAAGACAGTCTTCTCATGGAATTTTATTTCCAACTTCACACAGGTGAACACAGATCACTTGAAATTTGGGGGGTTTGTTTCGTTTTGTTGTCTTTTTTTTTTTTTTTTCTGAGACAGGGTCTCACGGTCACTCAGGCTGGAGGGTAGTGGCGTGATCATGGCTCACTGCAGCCTCAACCTCCTGGGCTCAAGTGATCCTCCCACCTCAGCCTCCCAAATAGCTGGGACTACAGGCACGTGCCATCTCACCCGGCTAATTTTTGTAGTTTTTGTAGAGATGAGGTCTCACTATGTTGCCCACGCTGGTCTTAAACTCCTGGGCTCAAATGATCCTCCCCCGCCTCGGTGTCCCAAAGTGTTGGGATTACAGGCTGAGCCACTGCGCCCGACTTGCTTGAAGTTTTGAGTCTTGTTTATTCTCTGGTCTATTTCAAGGCATATCTTTTCCTTCTTGGACAGGAATGCGGTGTCGCTCCTCCTTGATCTGCTTCCTGCGTGGTCAAATTTGCGTTACCACAAAAGAAAGACTGATGGCAAGACAATATTTTTGAAAATCCCTGAGCTATGTCCTAATTTTATTTTTTATTTTTTTGTTTTTGAGATGGACTTTCACTCTTGTTGCCCAGGCTGGAGTGCAATGGTGGGATCTTGGCTCACTGCAACCTCCACCTCCCGGGTTTAAGCGATTCTCCTGCCTCAGACTCCCGCGTATCTGGGATTACAGGCATGCGCTACCACGCCCAGCTAATTTTGTATTTTTAGTAGAGATGGGGTTTCACCTTGTTGGCCAGGCTGGTCTTGAACTCCTGACCTCAGGTGATCCACCCGCCTTGGCCTCCCAAAGTGCTGGGATTACAGACGTGAGCCATCGCACCGGGACATGTGCCCTAATTTTAATGCCTTAACTAAACAAAGTTGTGGTGATTCTATCCAAAACACTATAGTTTATTTTTCATTTTAAGTTTCTCTGACTTATGAAAATGAACCTTCCATTTTTTCACTTATTGTTTAGTTCTTCTGAATTGTTCCTATTGTCCTTTCATTTTTCCTTGGAGAAACTTTTGCTGACCAGCACAAGGGAAGTTAATATCAAGATTCAGATCCAGCTGCTGACATGAATAGATGCATAATTTCTCATCCTGCCTCCCTCTTACAAGAGTATCTTTTAACAAAATGGTTATTGCAATATTTCAAATGATGTAAATTCATCTCATGAATATTTCTAGAGAAATAGGATTTTATTTAATACATCTTTGTCCCACTGAACTCCCATTTCCACCAGAGGAGATTATGCAGTTTGGAAATAGAAAGTATCGGAGCTGTTACACTTAAAATGATATCGTATGACTTAAAAGGCACCGCTATGTTGCTCAGTAGTAGTAACATATTTTTGGATAGAAACTGAAGGTGTGGCCGGCCATGGTGGCTCATGCCTGTAATCTCAGCACTTTGGGAGGCCGACGTGGGTAGATCACTTGAACCCAGGAGTTTCAGACCAGCCTGGACAACATAGTGAGATCCTGTCTCTACAAAAAATACAAAAATTAGTCGGATGAGGTGGCGCACACCTGTAGTCCCAGCTACTCAGAAGGTTGAAATGGGAGGATCACTTGAGCCTGGGAGGTTGAGGCTGCAGTGAGCCGTGACTGCACCACTGCATTCCAGCCTGGGTGACAGAGCAAGACCCTGTCTCAAAAAAAAAGAAAAAATTGAAGGTGGGTGAGCTTCTGTCTTTCATACTTGCTATCTCTGAGTACTCGGACTTAACATCTGTAATTTGCCTTTAATGAACAATACTTTGATAACCTTTAATATTGTCTTTACATTAATATAAATTACGTGCTGAGTGCTGTACAAAAGACACTCATTGTATAGTGCTTCTGATGAACTTTATGGAGAAATGTAAAAATCTCACAGTGCCAGAAAGTAAAGATGTACTCAACAAAGGTGACAGGGCACAGCAGAAGGGCACAGGAGCCAACCCCAAAGGGCTCCCAAAGGCCAAAGCTGGAGCAATTCAAGCAACAAAATAATTAATGATTGTATTGGAAGAAAATTAATATCTTTGAGTCTATAGAAATACAACTAAATAACTGACTAGGGGAAAATATCAAGGAGAAGGGACAAGTCTTCCTTACAGAGGAATTCCAATTAAAGTGTAGGAGAAATGAGAGAAAGGGAAAAGCATCATTAGAACATCACAGTAACTGCTAATATAGGCATGATCCAACTACCGTTCACAAATGAGTGGGTGAAACTTTAAGGAGAAACAGAATATTTGCATAGCCTCAAAGTATTTTCCCTGAAATAAATATGTCTTCATATTTAAAATGGGGGAAATAGTAACTTTACTTGGAGAACTCTGGCAAACAGCACTTTTTTTTTTCTTTCTTTCTCTTTTATTATACTTTAAGTTGTGGGATACATGTGCAAAATGTGCAGGTTTGTTACATAGGTATACACGTGCCATGGTGGTTTGCTGCACCCATCAACCCGTCATCTATATTAGGTATTTCTCCTAAGGCTATCCCTCCCCTAGCGCCCCACTACCCAAGAGGCCCTGGTGTGTGATGTTCCCCTCCCTGTGTCCATGTGTTCTCATTGTTCAGCTCCCACTTGTGAGTGAGAACATGCAATGTTTGGTTTTCTGTTCCTATGTTAGTTTGCTGAGAATGATGGTTTCCAGCTTCATCCATGTCCCTGCAAAGACATGAACTCATCCTTTTTATGGCTGCATAGTATTCCATGGTGTATATGTGCCACATTTTCTTTATTCTATCATTGATGGGCATTTGGGTTGGTTCCAAGTCTCTGCTATTGTGAATAGTGCTTCTTTTGAGGAGTGTCTGTTCACTTTAAGCAAGCAGTCATGGCTCTGTGCTGATGGCTTTTTTTTTTTCTTTTTTTAGACAGGGTCTGACTCTGTCGCCCAAGCTGGAGTGAAATGATGTGATCTCCGCTCACTGTAACCTCTGCCTCCTGAGCTCAAGCTCAAGAGATTCATGTACCTCAGGTGTGCACCACCACACCCAGCTGATTTTTGTATTTTTAATAGAGATGGGGTTTTGCCATGTTGACCAGGCTGGTCTCGAACCCCTAGCTGAAGTGATCCACTTGCCTCAGCCTCCCAAAGTGCTGGGATTACAGGTGTGAGCCTGATGGTTTTGAGGCAGGCTTTTCCATTCCTCCTTTGCTTCATGCACACCAGGTTAAAGGTAACTGATGTCTAGATCAAAAGCCACAGAAATATTAATGACAAATGTCTTGCTCTATTATGTTTACCTGGCTTGATAGCCTCTCTTAGAATGACCCACTCCCTTCCCTCTTTTTCCTTTTCAGTAAATCTTTTTCAGCAAATCTAACAGGACTGGGTTCACCTGCTCTATAAAGATGAACAAACGAATCAAATCAGAGAAGTAGATCACTTATGAAACAGCTAAACCATGACCTTCTTTACAAGGTTTGTGGGAACGCCTCGCTTTGTAAACAAAGGAAAACACAAAGGAAGCAACTAGAAGGTGAGACGTGCATGTCCACAATGCTACAAAAATAGGATGTCCTCGTTTAAAAATCCAAAGAATGCCTGAGTAATCAACTCCCAAGCTGACTGGTCACACAAGCTTGTATCCAAAGTGCGCAAAAAGAGCCCTGGTGCACAGATGAACTTGCCAAGAACATTTTTCCATCCTTTTCCACAGCACTGCTTTGTCTAAGAAAATAGTAAATTGGGAGAATGGTCCCAGGAGATTAACAAAAAACATGGTTTCTACTGTTTTCTACCCATCCTGCTGGTTTCCTCCCCCACCAAAATCACAAGGGGTCATGTGTAAGGAACTACATTTTCACAATTAAAAGGCAAATCAAATGATAATCAAAAAAGTTCCCAAAGCACCAGACATTAAGATCATATGTGTGATATATATATTGTAATAAATGTTAACATTAAGCCAGGCATGGTGGCTCACGCCTGGAATCTCAGCACTTTGGGAGGCCTACCCAGGCAGATCACTTGAGGCCAGGAGTTCAAGACCAGCCTGGCCAACATGGTGAAACCCCGTCTTTACTAAAAATATGAAAATTAGCCGGATGTGGTGGTGCACGCACGTTAATTCCAGCTGCTGGGGAGGCTGAGGCAGAAGACTCGTTTGAACCCGGGAGGTACAGGTTGCAGTGAGCCGAGATTGTGCCACTGCACTCCAACCTGGGCAACAGAGCAAGACTCCGTCTAAATAAATAAATGTTAACATTAAATAGAACAATGGCATTTAACATAGGAATAAACTGTATCAACAGGCCAATTTTTAAAAATGGAAACTGATAAATTACTATGGGAGGCTTTTGATCTCATCGGTAATGAAAATTTAAAAGTAGGAATTGACTTGCAAACATAGTTTCTCTTTTTGTCCCAGAACCTTCGGGAGAAGCTAAGCTCAGGGGCTCCTTCACAGGCTGGGTTCCTTTGGAGCTCAGCCTCCAGGCTGCACAGACATTGGCCCGTGTTCCTGACAGAGGGAAGAACAAGTGAGGATGTGCAGAGTCTGCAGAACAGATGGCATTTTCAAGGGGTCTCCTGTGGAAGGGGCAGGAGTGTAGTGAAATGTCTGATTCTAAATGGTTTCTATGTCAGGGCCAGATCAAACAAGACCCTGCAGGCAATGGGTAGGAGCACAGGTTTCTTTTTTCTTTTCTTTTCTTTTCTTTTTTTTTTTTTTTTTGAGACAGAGTCTCACTCTGTTGTCCAGGCTGGAGTGAAGTGGCACAATCTCGGTTCACTGCAACCTCTGCCTCCTGGGTTGAAGCAATTCTCCTGCCTCAACCTCCCGAGTAGCTGGGATTACAGGTGTGCACCACCACACCTGGCTAATTTTCGTATTTTTAGTAGAGATGGGGTTTCACCATGTTGGCCAAGTTGGTCTCAAACTCCTGGCCTCAAGTGATCCACACACCTCGGCCTCACAAATGCTGGGATTACCAGTATGAGCCGCCGTGCCTGGCCTGGAGCACAGATTTCTAAGCAGGCTGTTTTTAGGGAGGTAACTGGTGAGCTCTGTGGAGAAAGGACTGGAGGAAGAGCTTGCAGGTGGGAGGCCAGCAACAGGCCAGAGGTGGTAAAGGCAAGAAATATGATGGCAATGATACTAACAAAGAGGAGAGGTTACATTCTAGAGCCATTTTTGAAATACATTTGACAGGCTCTGATGAGGCAGTGGATTTGACGAGAGGATAGGGAGCAAAGATGGAGGATTCAATAGAGATATTTTGTTAGTTGGCTTGGAAGTTGGATAGATAATGGAGTTTCAACTAAGTGGAGAAATCCACTAAGTGGAGAAGGAAGTTTTTGTTGGGGTAGGGATGTGGAGGAGATAATGAATTCAAATTTGAATGTTATTAAGAGCGAATACAGCCAGGCTCGGTAGCTCATGCCTGTAATCTCAACACTTTGGGAGGGCAAGGTGGGTGGATCGCTTGAGTCCAGGAATTCAAGACCAGCCTGGGCAACACAGCGAAACCCTGTCTCTACAAAAACAAAAACAAAAAAATGCAAAAATTAGCCAGGCATGCTGGCGTGTGCCTGTAGTCCCAGCTACATGGGAGGCTGAGGTGGGAGGATCACTTGAGCCTGGGAGTTTGAGGCTGCAGTGAGCCAAGATTGCACCACTGCACTCCAGCCTGGGTGACCGAGCAAGACTTTGTCTCAAAAAAAAAAAAAAAAATGAATACAAAAGGGAATGAAGTACTGATTTATGCCACAACATGGTTGACCCTTGAAAATATGATGCTAAGTGACAGAAGCCAGTTGTCGAAAGCCACCTATTATATGGTTCCATGTATATGAGATTTCTGGAACAGGCAAATCCATAGAGACAGAAAGTAGGCTAGTGGTTGTCAGGGGCTGGGGGAATTGAGGAGTGACAGCTAATGGGTACAGGGTTTCATTTTGCGGTGACAAAACGTTCTAAAATTGATTGTGTTGATGGTTCCACAACTCTGTGAATATACTAAAAACTGTTGAATTATACATTTTAAAATGGGTGAATTGCCAGGCACAGTGGCTCACACCTATAATCCTAGCACTTTGGGAGGCCGAGACGGGTGGATTGCCTGAGGTCAGGAGTTTGAGACCAGTCTGGCCAACATGGTGAAACCCTGTCTCTACCAAAAATACAAAAATTAGCTGGGCATGGTGGTGTGCGCCTGTAGTCCCAGCTACTCGGGAGGCTGAGGCAGAAGAATCACTTGAACCCAGGAGGCAGAGGTTGCAGCAAGCCGAGATTGCACCACTGCACTCCAGCCAGGCAAAAGAGCGAGACTCCGTCTCAAAAAAAAAAAAAAAAAAAGTTAATTATGTGATATGCAAATTATATCTCAATAAAAGCTGTTAAAGATTTTAAAAGAGTGATCATGGTTACAGCATTTCAGTATGGGAAGATGCAAATGTTCTGGAGATGGATGGTTGTGATGGTCGCACAACAATGTGAATGTATTTAATGCCACTGAACTGTACATTAATAAATGGTTAAAATGGCAAATTTTGTTATGTATATTTTAGTACCAAAAGAGAATGAATACATATGTGATTGGTGGGTTATATGGGGCTGGGTGGGGACGATATTCCCTGTGTTTTAACTCCTCCAATAATACCCCCACACTGCTTCCCAAACAGGAAATCAGAATTACAATAACCACCACCCCATCACCTCGGGGTTCAGAGAAACCAAGACCAGTGGCCTGAGCTGACGGTGAAACGCCACAGCCATCCCCTAGATTGTGAAGGCCCCAAAGCAGACAGCCAACCTCAGATGCATCCTCAAGCCCGAGGCTATGGGACTTAATTGAAAAGTCTCTGAACCAGGCGGTCACTTAATAAGAGATGGCACAACCCTTTTCTAGCACGACTTCTTATTAAATAGAGTCAGTCAAATCAAGTTCCTCTTCTCAAAAATAATTACAGACCAGCCAGAGGCAAAAGTGGGAAGTAAGTCAAGTTCATCTTCTTTGTTTTGCTTGCCAGCCCTGGGTTAAGGATTCTATTCCCCAGCTGAAGTTTTCTTTTCTGGACCACAGAAGCTCTCAAAGTGTGGTCCCCAGCCCAGCAGCAGCAGCATGTGGGAACCTGTTAGAGATGCACGCTGGGGACCCCGCCCCAGGCCTTCCGGGTCAGGAACTCTGGGGCTGGGACCCAGTAACCTGTGTTTTGATCAGCAGCTCAAGTGTGAGAATCCCCGCTGTACCTCAACTCCTCAGAGCCAAGGTGAACGCTCTGTCATCTGATGAACTGCTTGGTCCTTGGCAATGAAAACGGGCTCAAGGGAGCTACCAGTGAGGCATAGCCCTGAACTGGTAAAACTGACTTGATGTTTTGCGATATATATTCATATCATTATCATTAGAAAAGTAATCTCTGCTCAGTATTTTAAAAAATAAAACAGGCCAGGCACAGTGGCTCATGCCTGCAATCCAAGCACTTTGGGAGACTGAGGCAGGAGGATTGCTTAAGCCTAGGAGTTTAAGACCAGCCAGGACAACATAGTGAGATCCCATCTCTACAAAAATAAAATAATAAAAAATCAGCCAAGCATGGTGGCACGCACCTGCAGTCCCAGCTACTCGGGAGGCTGAGGTGGGAGGACTGCTTGCGCCTAGGAGGTCGAGGCTGCAGTGAACCATGATCACATCACTGTCCTCCAGCTTGAGTGACAGAACAAGACCCTGTCCCAAAAATAAACTAAACTAAAATAAAATATTAAGGATACAGTGTATAAGGTGAAAATCTTCCATCATCTCACAATTACCAATTACTGCAGAGATAATTGATAATCACTGTTAACTCTTGAAGGAATATTCTTCCAGACATTTTTTAAAGTGTGTAATGATACTAAGATATATGATGATTTCCACCTATTATCACTGTAATTTTTTGGAGCTAGTAATTCCTCTTTAGTGCTCTAATGATGGAAATTGAGAACACTGAAGAGGGGGTACTATTTTCCCTGGAGGACTCTCAAATCACCTTTTTCTTTTTTCCTAAATTTGAATGCATTTCATAATCTTCTTCTGGGAAGAAATTAGAATTCCTGAAAAAATGCTAAAGCAATTCTCTGATACTCTTTAATGAGATTAAGCCCTTGTCGGGGAGACTGCTCCCTCCACCCCCTGCCCCCGTCTCAGCTGACCTAAGGTCAGAAGTCTAGTGATGTTTAGCCAGACATTCTTTCACCTTGTGTCCAGTCTGACAATGATCATCTAACCATTCACTTCCCAGAAAATGTCCCAACCAAGGGGGAATAAGAGGGAATCTTGGGGCTGGGTGCGGTAGCTCATGCCTGTAACCTCAGCACTTTGGGAGGCCAAGGCGGGTAGATCCCCTGAGGTCAGGGGTTCAAGACCAACCTGGCCAACACGGCGAATCCCTGTATCTACTAAAAATACAAAAAAACTAGCCAGGCATGGTGGTGGGCACCTGTAATCCCAGCTACTTGGGAGGCTGAGGCAGGAGAATTGCTTGAACCCGGGAGGCGGAGGTTGCAGTGAGCTGAGATCGTGCTACTGCACTCCAGCCTGGGCGATAGAGACTCTGTCTCAAGAAAAGAAAAAAAAAAAAAGGGGGGGAATCTTGAAACAAAACTTTGACTTTGACATGTGTTCATAATTAAATTTTCTGAAAAGTTTTATATACGCCTCAGTCTTTCATAACTATAAACAACACACACAAAAACTATCAGATATGGACTAGACCTTTTCTCAGTGCCTGAATAAAGGAATGAAAAGGTTTGACCTGCCACAAAATAGTGTTATGGGTCTTTTGAAAGTCTCTCTGGGCAAAAAGGATAATCTTAAGATAACAATCGCTACCATTTATGGAGGAGGGGGCTGCGATACTCTTATCTGCTTTTAAATTCTCACAACAGTGTCAGTTATATGTTAGTATTAACATTGTACAAGGGAAGGAACTCAGGTTCCGAGAGGCTAAATGTCATGCCCAATCAATGTTCTTTAGCAGGAGAGAGCAGGCTTGGGAATGTAAAGTCAGCTGTGTCTGATTCCATTAGAAATGATGACATCGTCTGAAATTGGACAAAACAGCTCATTTGTTTTCATGGTTTAGAACTCTATTCAATGGTCTTAATATAAAATGTCAATGGATCTTCGTGAGTGTTTTGCTTGGTATGAAATCTGTATACACATAAAATGCTCATGGTATAACACTAAGTGATAAAACGGCTACACACACATCCCCAGTTGCTTTTTTTTGTTTGTTTGTTTGAGACAAGGTCTCACTCTGTCACCCAGACTGGAGTACAGTGGTATGATCTTGGCTCACTGCAACCTCTGCCTCCCGATTTCAAGCAATTCTCCCGCCTCAGCCTGCCAAGTAGCTGGGATTATAGGCGCATGCCACTACCGCCCGGCTAATTTTTGTGTTTTTAGTAGAGACAGGGTTTCACCATGTTGGCCAGGTTGGTCTTGAACTCCTGACCTCAAATGATCCACCTGCCTTAGCCGCCCAAAGTGCTGGGATTACAGGCATGAGCCGCCCGCCCCCCAGTTGCCTTTTTTTTTTTTTTTTGAGACGGAGTCTCACTCTGTCGCCCAGGTTGGAGTGCAATGGCGTGATCTCGGCTCACTACAACCTCCTCCTCTCAGGTTCACGCCATTCTCCTGCCTCAGCCTCCCCAGTAGCTGGGACTACAGGTGCCCGCCACCAGGCCTGGCTAATTTTTTTATTTTTACTTTTAGTAGAGACGGGGTTTCACTGTGTTACCCAGAATGGTCTCGATCTCCTGACCTCATAATCGGCCCACCTCAGCCTCCCACAATGCTGGGATGACAGGTGTGAGCCACCGCGCCCAGCTCCCAGTTGCCTTTTAACTTAAAAAATACATTAAAAGCTTTGCAAGCAAATACTCCAAAAGGTTAAAAGGTCATCCTAAAGCCATGCGGCTGTTGTTGATCCGTTTTCCTTCTATTTTCTGAGCCAGCAGAGCATAGAGGTGTCTATGCCACCAGCCTGGGCATGATGAGTTTAGGCTTCACCTGGTACTAGCTGCTGTGCAACCTTGGTAGGTTTCTTTTTTTTATTGCTGTTGTTGTTATTGAGATAGGGCCTCACTCTGTCACCCAGGCTGGAGTGCAGTGGTGCAATCATGGCTCACTGCAGCCTCCACCTCCTGGGCTTAAGCAATCCTCCCACTTCAGCCTCCCAAGTAGCTGGGACTACAGGCACCCGCCACCATGCCTGGCTAATTTTCATATTTCTTTGTAGAGACGGAGATCTTACTATGTTGCCCAGGCTGGTCTCGAACTCCTAGGCTCAAGCGATCCTCCTACCTGGACCTCCCAAAGTGTTGGGATTACAGGTGTGAGCCACTGCATCTGGCCAGGAGGTTTCTTAACCTGTGACTCAGGTTCCCCATCTGTAAAATGGGGAGAATAGTGCCTACTTCATAGGGTTGTCTTGAGGCAATAATGTGCTAATGCTTGTAAAGTGCCCAGGATAGTGACCGGCACTGTTCCAGGTTTTCTTTAAAGAGCATAATTTTAATAATGGGAAAGGTTGCTTTCAAAGGTTATTGTACCTTTACTAATTTATGACTTTCCTTTTTTGAATACCTTAGAATAAGTAATGAATATAATTGAACAAATAAACACTTAAAAATTATCGCAGGACTTTGAAGTGAGCATCTAATTTGACAATTCATAGCAAAGTCTTAAAAAATACACACTTCTGCTCAATCCTAGCACATTGATCACTTGTGTTTATCATCTCTTCCTCTCAAATCCTGGTAAAGTGATAGTAAATAAAAGGGAGGCCAGGCACGGTGGCTCACGCTTATAATCCTAGCACTTTTGGGAGGCCGAGGCAGGCAGATCACTTGAGGTCAGGAGTTTGAGACCAGTCCGGACAACATGGTGAAACCCCATGTCTACTAAAATAAAACTACAGAAGTTAGCCAGGCGTGGTGGTGGGCGCCTGTAATTCCAGCTACTGGGGAGGCTGAGGCAGCAGAATCGCTGGAACCTGGGAGGCGGAGGTTGCAGTGAGCCAAGATTGCACCACTGCACTCCAGCCTGGCGACAGAGCAAGACTCCGTCTCCAAAAATAATAATAATAATAAATTAATTAATTAAAGGGAAATCCTCCAACCAGGACAAGGAGAACAGGAGAGGAAGCATCAAAGTGCTCGGCATCTCAAGGTACTGTTGGGGTTCAAACGGCAGCCCGGGAGGGTAACAGGCTTAGTAGGAAACCACCAAAGTGGGCTCTTCAACCTAGAAGTCTATACTCAGCCAAACCATCAATCAAATATAAACATGGAATAATGACATTTTCAGACATGTAAGGACTCCAAATACATACCTCCCATGTCCTCGTTTTACAGAACGTCAGAAGTATGTGCTCCAGCCAAAAAAAAAAAAAAAAAAGGAGTATGTTAAGACAGCAGAAACATGAGACTTACGAAACGAGGGATCCCATACACAAATGCAGTGAGAGAGAAATCCCTGGATGGCACTGTCTGGCAGGTCAGTTCAGCTTGAACTGAATGGAGTCTCTAGGAGGGAAGTCTGGTTTAACTGAGTGTTTGGAACATGCTATTGATAAGCCTCGGGCAGATTTAATGGAGGATCTAGATGTTGGGTGGAATAATGGGCCTCCCAAACATGTTCACACCCTAATCTGTGGAGCCTGTGAATATGTTGTTACATGAAAAAAACTAAGGTTGCAATTGAAATTAAGGTTGCCAATTAGCTGCTCTTGGGATGGGAAATTTATCCTGGGTTGCGCAGGTAGACTCAATGTAATCACAAGGACCTTTCAATATAGAACAGGGAAGAAGAGAGTGTGGGAGTCATGACGCAGCATGAGGAAGACTTGACTGGCCATGGCCGGCTTTGAAGATGGAAGGTGGCCACCAGCCAAGGAATGCAGAAGCCTCTCGAAGCTGGAAAAAGCAAGAGATTGAATTCTCCTCTAGAGCTTCCAGAAGGAATGCAGCCCTGTCAACACTTTGATTTTAGCCCAGTCAGACCCACTTTGAACTTCTGGCCTAGTTATAGCAGCCATAGGGAACTAACACAGAGGATTTGAATGAGTGTCCAAAACCAAGCAAGTAAGAAAATGCAAGGCAGTTATTGACATTGGGAAAAACTAAGTTGTAAAAAAGGAAACAATCTGTATAATCCACCTGGTTCAGCAAAATAAATAAAAAGAAAGAAAGAAAGAAAAAAAAACACAGCAAAAAAAAAAGAGAGAGAGAAACCAATATTTATGTGGCTGTATAATGTCAAGCAATTAATATTAACCAAAAAATATGATAATAATAAATTGGCAGACTTTGGGGTTGGAAGGCAGGGGAGTAAGAAAGCAAAATCCTTATCTATTACTGGAGAAACTCAATAGATAGTGCCTAAAATTCATAAATCAAGACAGCAGGCCAGGCATGGTGGCTCACGCCTGTAATCCCAGCACTTTGGGAGGCCAAGGTGGGCAGATCACTTGAGGTCAGGAGTTTGAGACCAGCCTGGCCAACATGGCAAAACCCCGTCTCTACTAAAAATACAAAAATTAGCCGGGCATGGTGGCACACACCTGTAATCCCAGCTACTTGGGAGGCTGAGGCAGGAGAATCGGTTGAACCTGGGAGGCGGAGGTTGCAGTAAGCTGAAATCGCACCACTGCACTCCAGCCTGGGTGACAGAGCGAGACTCTGTCTCAAAATAAATAAATAAGTAAATAAAATAACAAAATAAAATAAAAGATTACTATGTAACAAACGTTTTGCTATAGAGCTTTTCTTGAGACAGGGTCTGGCTCTGTCATCCAGGCTGGAGTGCAGTGGTGTGATCTCGGCTCACTGCAGCCTCAGCCTCCCAGGTTCAAGCAATTCTCATGCTTCAGCCTCCCGAGTAGCTGGAATTACAGGCGTGAGCCACTACACCCGGATAATTTTTAAATTTTTATTAGAGATGCGGTTTTGCCATATTGGCCAGGCTGGTCTCCAAATCCTGGCCTCAAGTGATCCTCCCCACTCGGCCTCCCAAAGTGATGGGATTACAGGTGCGAGTTACTGTGCATGGCCATAGGGCTTTTTAATGAATGGAAAAAGTGACAACAGCAAATTACAAAATGGTATGTTAACAACCATTCAATTTTTTTTTTTTTTTGACAGGGTCTGGCTCTGTCACCAGGCTGGAGTGCAGTGGCGCAATCTTGGCTCACTGCAAGCTCCACCTCCCAGGCTCAAGCGATTCTCCCACCTCAGCCTCCCAAGTAGCTGGGACTACAGGCGCACATCACCACATCCAACTAATTTTTTTGTATTTTTGGTAGAGACAGGGTTTTGCCATGTCACCCAGGCTGGTCTCAAACTCCTGGGCTCAAGTGATCCACCTGCCTCAGCCTCCCAAAGTGCTGGGATTAGAGGCATGGGCCACTGCACCTGGCCAACAACTATTCAATTTTTGTTTACAAAGTGTGCATGTATAATGTGTAGGAAAATGAGTTTTTTGTTTTTTGTTTCTGAGACAGGGTCTTGCTCTGTCGCCCAGGCTGGAGTGCAGTGGCATGATCATGGTTCACTGCAACCTCAACCTCCTTACCAGGCTCAAGCAATCCTCCCATCTCAGGCTCCAGAGTAGGTGGGACTACAGGTGTGCCACCACACCCGGATGAAAAATGAGCATTTTTGTATATGTAGGTATGTACACCTATATGTGTATATATACATATATAGAGACAGAAACAGAGTAGAAAAGTGTATGTGTGTGCATGCAAAGTGGGTATATATGTGCCAAAAGTACACAAGGATTTTTTTCTCCAGAGACAGGGTCTCACTGTGTCGCCCAAGCTGGAGTGGTATGATCACGGTTCACTGCAGCCTTGACCTCCTGGGTTCAAGTGATCCTCCCACCTCAGCCTTCTGAATAGCTGGGACCACAGGTGCGCACCACCATGCCCAGCTAATTTTTTTTTCTAATGTTTTGTAGAGACAGGGTCTCACTATGTTGCCCAGGCTGGTCTCAAACTCCTGGACTCAAATGATCCTCCCCCTCCTCAGCCTCCCAAAGTGCTGGGATTACAGGCGTGAGCCACTGTGCCTGAACACAAGGACTAAGACCAAACTGTTAACCATGCTTACCACTGAGTAGTAGGCATACAGGTCATTTTAATGTTCTTCTTTATACTTTCCCATATTTTCTAGGATTTCTTTCCCGTATCAAGCATGCATTACTCATAACCAGAAAATAATTACTTCCATTTCGTGTAAAGAAGTAACTTTTTAAAATGAGCATCTGAGACCTTAGGGGCTAACTGCAGCAAGCAGCTGTCACCAAAATTTACACATGTAGGAGTTAGAACGGCTAAGAAAAAATATGTCAACTATCTTTATTAACTAACGCTCTCCAGAATGTGGTTTAGGTATACATGTTCTAGAAGTATGTTGGAGCCATTGCTATAAATCTACATATCGTGTTCTCTTTAGATTCTTGTTTTGAACTAAGGTCTATGAGGCCAGAACATCTTGGCGGGCGCTGCATGTCATCTGGTTTCTAGGCAGTATTTTAGAAAGGCAGCTCAATTCCCCTTCTTGCCCAATAGGTGGGGCAAGAAAGCTTTAGAAGAGTCCCCACCTGCTAAAACATGAACAGGAAGAGACCAAATTGCAGAAAAACCAGTTAGAGCGGTTCAGAAGTCATCCCCATCCAGTTGGGTGGGATGTATGCTAAAATTTTCCTAGGGTGAAAACTGTTTCCAGAGAGTTTTCTAGAGAATACCAAGTTGAGAGTCTATAAAATCTGTTTCAATACCTGACAATCACACTGTAACCAGGACTTTTTTCTAGCGTTTGAAATTAAAATAGCTCAGGTTGAAATGCTGAGATATCATTTTTCATGGGTCAGATTGGCAAAATTCAAAAGCTTGTCAATACACTGCTGGCCAGACTGTGGGGTAAGTGGCACTCTCATCCACTGCTGGGGGAAATGCACCCTGGTCCAACTCCCATGGAGAAGGGCTGGCAATATCTAACAACATTCCATATACATTTTACCCTTCGGCCCAGCAATCTCACTTTTTTTTTTTTTTTTTTGGAATTTACTCTGAAGATTCACTTCCAACAATATGAAAATAAATATGCACAAGGTTATTGATTACAGCATGATTTGTAATTGCAAAATGTCAAACTACCTAAATGTCCAAATATAAGAGTGTGGTTGAATAAGTTATGATAACAGCTACACAGTGGAGTACTATGCAGCTATAAGGAAGAATGAGGCCAGGCATGGTGGCTCACGCCCATAATCCCAGCACTTTGGAAGGCCAAGGCAGGCAGATCACCTGAGGTCAAGAGTTTGAGACCAGCCTGGCTAACATGGTGAAACCCTCTCTCTACTAAAAATACAAAATTAGCTGGGTGTGGTGGCAGGCGCCTGTAATCCTAGCTACTTGGGAGGCCCAGGCAGGAGAATCGCTTGAACCCAGGAGGTGGAGGTTGCAGTGAGCCAAGATTGTGCCACTGCACTCCAGCCTGGGCGACAGAGCAAGACTCCGTGTCAAAAAAAAAAGACAATCGCACAAACTGGTATGGAACAATTTCCAAGATTTCTTAAGTGAAAAAAGCAAAGTGCAAAAGAGAATATAGAAGATGCTGCTTTCTGTATATGGAAAAAAACGGGGAGGGGGGGCGGAATAAGAAAACATACATATATCTGCTTGTCTATACCAAAAAATACACAGGAATGAGAAACCCGAAGTTGGTCACCTACAAGGAGTGGGAAGGAATAGTATTGAAGGAATACAGGAGGAAGTGACACTTCCCTGAGCATACCTTTTGGTATAGTTTGATTTGAGGAAGTATGTTAATGTTCTACATATTGAAAAAAATCAAATCAAATAAACATGGATGGTGGGGAGAGCTACCACTGAAAACAAGTTGGAAAAAACAACTGTATTTCTAATGAAGAACATGACCATATCACAGGGGTAGGAGTGGAGGAGACTAATGCAAGTAATTTATGTACACAGTATTTGTCCATATACCTTCTGTCTTTGGGGCATGGCACTGAAGAACCGCAAACAAATCCTGAACTATTTTTAGTAGGTTTGTTTCCTGCTGTGGTATAAGTGAAGCAATTCCGAAACTACTTTAGATGTATTATGGGATTGAGCAAATGATTAAATCGTTTGATGTTGGGAGCCAGGGTTCTCACTGTGGAGGAAGGGACATACAAATATCAAACAGGAGAAGGCAAGGAAGAATCCTATGGAGATGGATGGTAGGTGCCAGTGTGACCTCATCATTTCTAAAATATGTATATATATGCATGTATGTGTGTGTGTGTGTTTCCTAGATATGGCTGCTGAAAATGCTTATAAGCAAAGACACTCCAGTAGCAATGGGCACTAGGGCCCAAGTCTTGGACTCTAATACCATCCCCCACTAAAAGGAACCAGGACTCCTTAGAAAAATGAATGATTTCAAGCCTGGGGCAGGGAATGTCCAAGATAAAGACCAAAACATTTTGTTATGCATCAGAGCAAAGAAGTGCTAAAAAGAAATGATAGGTGCATATCACAATTTGCAATTGCAAAAATATGGAACCAGCTCAAATGCCCATCAGTCAACGAGTGGATGAAGAAAATGTGGTACACACACACACACACACACACACACACACACACACACAATGGAATACTACTGAGTCATAAAAAGGAATGAAATAACGAAAAAGGAATGAAATAATGGCATTCGTAGCAACCTGGATGGAATTGGAGACTTTTTTTTTTTGAGACAGAGTCTCACTCTGTCACCCAGGCTGGAGTGCAGTGGTGTGATCTCACCTCACTGCAACCTCCACCTTCTGGGTTCCAGTGATCCTCCTGCCTCAGCTTCCCAAGTAGCTGGGATTACAGGCATGAGCCACCACGCCCAGCTAATTTTTTTTTTTTTTTTTTGTATTTTTAGTAGAGACGGTGTTTCTCCATGTTGTCCAGGATGGTCTCGAACTCCTGGCCTCAGGTGATCCACCCACCTCAGCCTCCCAAAGTGCTGGGATTACAGGCATGAGCCACTGCACCTGGCTGGAGACTATTACTCTAAGTGAAGTAACTCAGGAATGGAAAACCAATATTGTATGTTCTTACTCATGCGTGGGAGCTAAGCTATGAGGATGCAAAGGCATAAGAATGATACAATGGACTTTGGGGACTTGAGGCAAAGGGTGGGGGGTGGCAAGGGATACTGTAGATTGGTTACAGTGTACACTGCTTGGTGATGGGTGCGCCAAAATCTCAGAAATCACCACTAAAGAACTTATTCACGTAACCAAACACCACCTGTTTCCCAAAAACCTACTGAAATAAAAAAGATAAAGTCAAAAAAGGAATGATAGGTCCATATCAAGAGGACACAGCAATCAGCTTAAAGGGGCTCCCACTGGCCAAAGCTAGGATCATTTGAGCTCCCAAATAATCAAGGACAATAATGAATTATAAGCCACTGAAAAAGTAGAAATGAATCCATATCAATAATAAATAGACAAATAAGCAGGGAAGAAGGGAGGAGTCTTGCTTACAGCAGAATGCCAATGCCAGCTGGTAAGTGTAGAGGGAGCACTGGAGTTAGAAAATCATCATTTTGCCACCATAGCCATGAAGATTGGTTTGGACCAAAATCATCAACATGCCTGGGCATGATGGCTCGCACCTGTAATCTCAGCACTTTGGGAGGCCAAGGTAGGAGGATTGCTTGAGGTCAGGAGTTCAAGACCAGCCTGGACAACATAAGGAGACCCCCCCACCGCCCCCCACCATCTCTTAAAAAAAAAAAAAGCCAGGTGCAGTGGCATGCACCTGTGGTCCCAACTACTCGGGAGGCTGATGTGGGAAGATCGTTTGAGCCCAGGAGGTTGAGATTGCAGTCAGCCATGATTGTGCCACTGCACTCCAGCCTGGGCAACAGACGGAGACTCTGTCTCAAAAAAAAAAAAAAAAAAGAAAAGAAAAGAAAAGAAAAGAAAGAAAGAATGGAGGCCCTCTTTAAAAACCAGAATGGTCTTCATTTTGGGTTTGTCTGATGATTCTTTATGATTATATTCAAGTGCTGCATTCCCAGCCAACATACCATATTAGTGATGCTGTGTTATCTATTGTTAGCAGTGGAGAATCCATATCCGTGTCACACGGCACCAAAATATCTTCCGGCAATGAACCTGTACGGGTCTGCAGCAACCTCAATTACTGCCTCCTCAGAAGAAAAAATTGGACTGAGAGGCATAAGGCAGAAGGAGAGATGGAGGCAAGTTTTAGAGCAGGAATGAAAGTTTATTTAAAAAGTTTAGAGCAGGAATGAAATGAAGTATACTTGGAAGAAAGCCAAGCAGTCGACCTGAAAAGCAAGTGCACGGTTTGACCTTTTGACTTGGGGTTTTATAGGTTGGCATACTTCTGGGGTCTTGCGTTACTCCTCCCAACTCCTGAGATCTTATCGGGAAGCTGCTGATCACCATTATTTTAGAGAGACAGTTAACCACCGCCTGACTATCACCTGATGGTTGCCTGACACTCCTGGTATGTGGGTCGGGGGAGCCCTCTCCTGCCCTGCTCATACCAGACTAGCTACCCACTGTAACAGTATCACACTGATGTCCATCTGCTCCTCCTTGGTGATGTTAATTTCCATCCCCTAGTCAAGGAGTTGTCTGTTCTTTCCACTGTATAATTGCTGTTTTTCCTTCCTGCCTTGCAATAAATAAGCGATCTGTGAGAAGACACTTTTACACATTGAAATGTCCTGCTCATCAAAATTGCCTCATATATTTAGTATCTATTGATGACTCTATTTTTTTTTTTTTTTTTTTGCCTTAAGTGATCTTCCTGCCTCAGCTTTCCTAAGTGCTGGGATTACAGGCATGAGCCACCATGCCTGGCCAAAATATATATATATTTAATTATCATGGATACATAATAGTTGTATATATTTGTAGGCAACATGTGATATTTTGATATAAGCATACAATGTGTAATGATCACATCAGGGTAATTGGGATATGCATCACCTTAAGCATTTATTATTTGTGTTAGAAACATTCCAGTTCCAGCTGGGTGCCGTGGCTCACGCCTGTAATCCCAGCACTTTGGGAGGCCAAGGCGGGTGGATCACTTGAGGTCAGGAGTTTGAGACCAGCCTGGCTAATATGGTGAAACTCCATCTCTACTAAAAATACAAAAATTAGCTGGGCATGGTGGTGCATGCCTGTAATCCCAGCTACTCCAACAGCTGAGGCAGGAGAATCACTGGAACCTGGAAGGCGGAGGTTGCAGTGAGCCAAGATTGCCACTGCACTCTAGCCTGGGCGACAAGGGGAGACTCCGTCTCAAAAAAAAAAAGAAAAGAAAAAAAAAAGAAACATTCCAGTTCCACTCTTTCCTTTTGAATGGATAAAGGAAACATGGTGCATATACACAATGGACTATTATTCAGCCATAAAAATAATGAAATCCTGTCATTTGCAACAACATGGATAGAAACTGGAGGACTTATGTGAAGTCAAATAAGCCAGGCACAGAAAGACAAATATCACATGGTCTCACTCATATGTGAGAGCTAAAAAAAAAACACACACACACAAAACCTGAATTCATGGAGCTAGAGTAGCATGGTTACGAGGCTGGGAAGGGTGGTGGGGAGGGGCGGGTAAGGAGGAGATGATTAATGGGTACAAAAATAGGTTGATACATGGAGTAAGACCTAGTGTTCCATAGCATAATAGGGTGACTATAATTCACCTCCAAGCCTCTTAGTGAAAAGGAAAATTACAAGACCTCTGTTCTCGAAATGCTAAGAATTTGAAGTGGAAAAAGGTGAACTAAAGTATTGGTAGAAATGCCCATACGGAAAAATAGGTAGAATGTGGATCAATGGCAGGGAGGGAAGAGGCTGGGGAGGTGAATGAATACGCCAAGGCTTGGGGTCAGAAGGAAGCCCACCGAGGGTGGCCAATGACACGTCTTCTCACATAGCACCTGGCCCAGAGCAGATGCACAGAGCCTGATGGTTCATCCCTGCATCTTCAGGAAACCATGAAACAAAGGTCTCCTGGGAGAGCTGCTGGGAGACAAGGTTGGGTAGTAGAAAACCTGAAGGGCAGCCCACCTCCCCACCTTTCTCTTCAAGCAGTTCATAAGCCAGGTGCTAGAATTTGAACTTTTTTTTTTTTTTTTTCTGTGGGTACCAGGAAGCCACTATAAGATTTTGCTTAAGAAGGTGGCTTTTGGTAGCCACAGTGGCTCAGGCCGGTTGTCTTGGCGCACACGGAGGTGAGGCTACACATTCGAGGCCAACCTGGTCAACGTTGACCAAAAAAAAAAAAAAAAAAAAAAAAAAAAGAAGCTGGCCCTTTAGCCATTCAGCAAGTATCTTTCTTTCTTAGTTCTGAGTCAGGCACTGATCTAGATAGAGGGGGAGAGATAGACAGGTCCTTATTTGACGTGCTTAATCTTAAGCAGGGGTGTGTTTGGGTATTCTGGGAACCCAGAGGAGGGGCAGCTAACTCAGCGAGGCTAGGTTGGGAAGGCCACCAATCTGAGTCTTGTTTATCCAGATGGTCACCTGAGTTGTTGACACCTTTTGGCTATTGTGAATAATGCTGCAATTAAAGTTGCCATACAAGTGTCTGAGTCCCTGTCTTCGATTCTTTGGGGGAACACACCCATGAGAGGAATCGCTGGGCCACATGGTAATCCTATGTTTAGCTTTTTGAACATTATTTTGGGAACTTTTTTTCACCATAGTTGTTAAGAGACTATTAAGTTAGTGGCATTGTGTTCCCTGCAATCACTTGCAGAAACTGTCATCAGGGAGAACTCAACATTAAAGTCTATTTCTTCTTTACTAAATATTATAATGAGTATCATTAGAAGGGATTAGAATTTGGGATGAGAATTTACATTAGAAAATTATTTGTAAAGTTCTATCTACTTTTTAACATCTTAAATGATGTGTACATCAAAACAAACAAAACCCTTAAATTTTATTTATTTATTTGAGACAGAGTCTCACTCTGTTGTCTAGGCTGGAGTGCAGTGGTGCGATCTGGGCTCACTGCAACCTCCACCTCCCTGGTTGAAGCAATTCTCCTGCCTCAGCCTCCTGAGTGGCTGGGATTACAGGCACGCACCACCACACCCAGCTAATTTTTGTATTTTTAGTAGAGACGGGGTTTCACCATGTTGGCCAGCCTGGTCTCAAACTCCTGACCTCAGGTGATCCGCCCACCTCTGCCTCCCAAAGTGCTGGGATTATAGGCATGAGCCACTGTGCCCAGCCAAAACCCCTAAATTTTAATATAATTCAGGATTTCATAAAACATTTTTAAGGCCGGACAAGGTGGCCTTAAAAATGTAATAAAGTATAATCTCAACTACCAAAACAATAAAGCCCAGAAAAAAGACTAATGAGAAAATACCAAAATGTTAGTCTGCACTAAATATTTATGAGCAGTGGGATTATAGACAAATTTTTCTCCCTTTTACATACTATTCTATCTACTTTGTCAAGGACAAAAATTCAACAAACTGAGTTTCAAAGATCTGATTGGCTTTTATTAGTGATTCATGAACCAGGCAGCATCCAATCTACAAATTAGAAAGGAGCTCCAATGAGCTAAACAAAGTGGGTGAGTTTTATAGGCAGAAAAAAGTGGAGGAAAGCAGGAACAAGGAACAAATAGAGAACTGGCCATTTCAAGGTTACTTTCCTCACAGGGATATAAGTGAAATCTTGCTGGCTTAATGGAATTTGGCTACTGTCTCTTCTGATTTGTTGGAAGGTCACATCTTCCAAATAAACAACTTAGGTTTCTGTTTGGTGATATGGAACCTTAGCATGAGTGACACCATTTTGGGCCTGTTGTCTTTTAACAACTTTTGATCAGGAAAAAAAAGTTGTTTTTCTTTTTAAAAAGAAAAGCAGTAAGATGAATTTTTTTTTTTTTTTTTGAGATAGGGTCTCACTCTGTCACCCAGGCTGTCACAGCTCACTGCAGCCTTGATCTCCCAGGCTCAAGAGATCCTCCCACCTCAGCCTCCCAAATAGGTGGGACTACAGGTGCACGCCCCTACACCCAGCTAATATTTGTATTTTTTGTAGAGATGGAGTTTCACCATGTTGCCCAGGCTGGTCTCAAACTCCTGAGCTCAAACAATCTACCCACCTCAGCCTCCTTAAGTGTTGGCATTACACCGTGCCTGGCCAAATTTAATTTTTTATATATTATTGTTAAATATTACAAATCAATAATTTGTACTTAAAACTCAACACAATACATACTTAAAATAAGCCTACCTACTTTTTATGATGTGGGAGGAATGGCCGGGAATAAAACCCCAATGGACTATAGTGAAGTAGCCAGCCTATAACGTAAAAGCTTGTTTACCTGGATTTTGGTAGCAGATATATAATGGATAGGATGAAATGTTCTTACCACTGTTTTAAAAAAGAAAGACTTTATTTTATAAAAATGATACAACATTCATTATATTTGATAGATACAGAAGAGTACAGTCACTCATAATCCCACCATTTAAAAAAATCAACAGTGTTAACAGTGGGTGGGTATGTTTCCAGACCTCTCAATTCACTCATATGTACAGACAGGATTGACGGGGGGAATCCCTAAACTTTTTATTCTAACAAGTTTTATTTATTTATTTTCTTTTTTGACATGGAGTCTCGCTCTGTCGCCCAGGCTGGAGTGCAATGGCGTGGCCTCGGTTCACTGCAACCTTCGCCTCCCGGGTTTAAGCAATTCTCCTGCCTCAGCCTCCCAGGTAGCTGGGATTACAGGTGCATGCTACTGCGCCCGGCTAATTTATGTATTTTTATTAGAGATGGGGTTTCACCATATTGGCCAGGCTGGTCTCAAACTCCTGACCTCAAGTGATCCACTCGCCTCGGCCTCCCAAAGTGCTGGGATTACAGGCGTGACTCACTGTGCCCGGCCAGCAAACAAGTTTTAGATTTAACTTTATTTGAATGCAATAGAAAAAAAATTAGGCATTAAATTGAAGGGGCTGCTGAACTTCAGATAAATGTTTCTTCATTGGTTCCTAAAAGGGATAAATAAGCCAGTTATTCTCAAACTCAAGTATGTGCCAGAATCCCCTGGAGGACTTGTTAAATCACAGATTGCTTGGCCCCACCCCCAGGGTTTCTGATTCAGGAGGTCTGGGGTGGGGCCAAGAATCTGCATTTTTAACAAGTTCTCAGGTGATGCTGATGTTGCTGGTCTGGGACCACACTTTGAGAACCACTGTATTAAGGTCAAGGAAAAAAAAGATTGTGGAAAAACTTAAGGTTGGTCACTAGCGTTTTTCCCCATATTATAATTTTAAGACATGACGTGACATGACACCTGGCCATGAATGATGAGACGGTTAGTTCTTAAGTCTTTATCCCACTTTACCTCCTCCATGTCTGAATTTGTCAATGTACATTAATTTTTCTTTGTCAAGATTTATAACATTTACATACTATTCTACATCTATGATTCCTCAGTTCTTAAATGTTCATTCTGTATTTTAATGGACTCAGAGCTCATAATCATCCTATTTGACGGAACTTTGTTGGGGAACCTGGTATCCCCTCTCTTCTAGGTTCCCATTAAATGTCCAGAACCAGAACTCACTAGACACAGTCAAAGGTGTCTCTGACTTCTGCAGGATTTGGCTTTCCCAGGCTGCTCTGAGACCTGGGAAATGCCTAGTCCTGGTGAATCTTACCCCTTCTGCTGAGGTCCTGAGATGGAAGCAAAGACTTCGTTGTCCCAAGAGTTTTCCTTGACTCTCCTCCACGTGGCCTGGTCACCTCGTCAGTGCCTTTGTCCATACTGGGGCCCACTGTTACCAATATTTTTGTCATCTCCATTGTTTTACTCAGTGCTACTTCTGGGGATGGGCGAGGGATGAAGTCATACCACACCTTGTTGCATCAGCTTCTTCTTCCTTCCTTGCTTGGTTGTTCCTGGTGAATTTGTGCCTGGTGGTTACTGAATTTGCTGGGTAATAAAGACAATAAGAGTTTCTCATCCAGCTTTACTTTTCTTGCTTCTGCCTGGAAGTATCCCCGTCTTTTTTTTAAAAAAAAAACTATTCAAAAATGTAGGATTTATTAGGTAAAATGTGGTACATAGTATACATCTACATAAATTGTTACACATAAATGTAGCGAGTTTTTTTCCAATAGAAAAAAATGAAAATGTATCATCTAAAATATTTATAATAGTGTTCTCTGTGATAAGACTATGGGCAATTCTTCAAATTGAAATTTATGTTGAAGTAACTCTAGATTCACATGCAGCTATAAAAGAAATAATACAGAGAGATCCCGCGTACAATTTACCCAGTTTCCCCCAATGCATCAATTTTTAAAACCAGTAAAACCACCAACAGAATAGTGCCTTCTGAGGTTGGTGAAACCAATAGGAAAGAAACATGACGAGGGGATGCTGAATCAGAAATGTCAACTTTCCTCTCAACCTTTTGTATATATGTCCACTAAAGTACTTACTCTACATTGTGATTCTTTGTTTTTGTGAATCTCTTCTTCAGCAGTGCATGAGCTTCCTCACAGCAGGGACTGTGTCTTATTATCTTTGTCTTCCCAGTACCAGCGAAGGGCCTAGCACGTAGTGGAGGAAGGTGAGGAGGCAATGGTAGGGGACTTATCAAAAAAAAGAAAAAAAAAAAAAACTTCTCTTCTCAAGTCTTATGCATTCAAGAAGTCAAATTCTTTCCAGTCAATAAAAAATGCTATGGATAACCTTTTGTTCAATCTCCATATGAAAATTACACATGTAGTTCCTAATAAACATATTCTATTATTCCCTATTTATTCATTCATTATTCAACTAATATTTAATGAACTCTTACCACACGTCAAATAGGAAGCTGGGTGCTGGGGATACTATGGTGGACAAGACAGACACGGTCCCTGTCCTTATTTTATACTCTAAATTATAAAGTTGGTTTTTCCTTTTAGGCTTTAGATCTTATACACACAATGTTTTCTGCACAGGTATTTTGCAGATAACACGCTTTGCATATTGAGACAGTGCCAAAAGAATATCCAAATAGGGAATCAGTTGTGGAATGAATAATAGTAAATCAGCCATCTTACCTTTATGTGTTACAATAAATAAAAAGCGAGCTATAAAGGCGATTTACCAAGTTATATTTCTGTTTAATGTCCATTTTTCCTATTAGACTCTTCGTACCATAAAGGCAGGGTCCATGTGTCTTGTCTTCTTGTTCATTGCTGTAATTTTAGTACAGTATCTGTGCAATACATAGTTGTCAATCAAATGATTAAATATTCAAAGCTCATTACTGTCCCCTAGAATATGGGAGTAAATGAAATCAATTATTTTAAAATTTAAGACAGATTTTATAAGTACCTAACACAATATAAAGTTGCCATACTACCTGTGTGCATGCATTTCTTTCTTACCATAAGTGGAATGCTAAATATGTTTGGAAAACCTGACCTATAGAGATTGTACACAGTACAAGACAGGCCATCTACCCAAATTTATTACCTGCTTAGCAATGAATCAAGTGCACTTGCCCCCCTTATCATGAACTCACTTAAGGAAAAGGCTGCCCTCTCTTTTAAAGATATGGACAAGAAAACTGAATGTACTAAGATTTTTCACATCCAGTCATGAAAAACCAAGTTCTTATCAACCTTCACATTTTAATTTTGAAAGCTCTGTCTTTGTAAGCACAGAACAGTGCTTTAAACACTGTTTAAACAGAGGTGCTATCCAAGGCTATAAGTCTCAAACAAAATTAAAATAATGCTCTCACAAACTGGCAAGTAACTTATTTAAGCAGAAAGAGCAACAACATTTTATTTTATTACAAATAAACATTTCACAAAAATGTAATTGGGAATGTATATGTACTGTTAAGCAGAACACAGAAAACATAAAGAAATAAGGTATTGGGGCCTAAAAATTTCATTTAAAAATCCCATCCATTTGCTCTTACACATAGTAGGTATGCAATACATATCAACTGAACTAAAAGTAAACACTCTATAAGATGTGCTTGCAAAATGTGTAATGCTGTAGTAGTAAAGTACAATTTTCAAATATGAGATTTTGTTTGTCAGATTTTTAAAAAGCCTTTAAAAATATGATATGCACAAGCTTGCCCTGAGGGAAAAATAAGATGGACTATAGATTACAAAATCTTTACATATTTTCCACAATAGCATTTTGAAATTGGAAAAGAGCAAATAGTTGTGGAAAAAAACTGAATGAACATATTACTAAAAATTCAGTGCACTCACAACTACCTGATGGAATATTTGAAGCACCTTGTCTCTTGCCTTCTTATAATATGAAATGTATGAATTATATAGGCCTTGATCTTCAGAAACTTAAGAAAACTTCGAGTTATAAGCCAAAATGTCATCAGAAAAAGAAAAATCTGGTATAAAATTTTCTACCATAAGGCCACTGTTTAAAGTTCTTTCATGTAAAGACACTATACAATTCAGACACTTGTTTTTGTTTTTATTATGTAAGCAAAACTTTCAACATATAAACGTCTGAATATTACTTGGTGAAGTTCTCTCTATGAAACCATGCTCAGAGAAAAATGCATCAACAAATAATGCCCTTCAAGTGATTCTTTTGAGACTTTTTGCAAAGGAAACTGTAGTTAATACAACTTTTAAATTGAATACTGTAATTTAAAAGCAATTGTTAGGTGTAAAAAAGTTGCAGCATTCCACTACTAAAAAATAAAGTTATTTTATCAAGAAGTTACAGTATTAGTGCCTTAGTGTCACTTCTAACTCCTGACAAAAAGAGAGAGATGCTCCCAAACATCCTCCTGTAGCGTCATTTCCATTTGTACGATTTCAGATTAGATTCCTGTGGCAACATCTGTATATTCCTATTGAGAGAAAACAAGAGAAATAAAGACTTCAAACAAAGTGTCAAACATCTGAGCTAGTTTTGTTTACACTGCAATTTTCAAAGTATTTTCGTTTATACAGTGTTACTTGCACCCCGAGATTCCCACGAAGGCATGTGGAACCCCAAAGGCGCAAAGTAACAACAGAACACATCAAAGCAATATCGCATGATAAATCAATAGGACAAAGAAAACATGTGGTGCTAGATAACATTGATATTAGTAAATTGATGAAAACAGTCTTCTGCTATTTGGGTGAGTTTCAGTGAAGGCATCCCTGGCATAAAATCAAGACTCTTAAACCTTTGGCTCTCAAGTACGGAGCCTGACACTACACACGCACACCTCAAATTAGTATTTTATCTTTTCCACCCTATATCTCTAATTCTAAAACTACATGGGCTCTTTTAACTGACTGATAACTGCAGAGAAAGTTATTAGAGGGGGAAATGCCTTCTTACTTTTGGATGGTTGACTACAGTATAAAAAGGTGTAAGGCTTCAATAAATACAGGAAGAAGAATTTACAAGAACAATGAGACTATGATTAGAGAATAATGAACGTGGATTCTATACTGTGATACTATGCACAATATTCAATTACTAACCACAAACTGGACATAAGACCATGCAAGTAATAACGGAGCAAACATGGTAAAATGGCACATTTTTTAGGGACATTAAAAAATAAAAATTTATTAATATACATATCCTTACCTTTCACTAGGATCTTACACTATTAAAACTGAAAGAAATGTAAAAGTTGATTTATTTTTTGGCATTTATATTAGTATGGAAATGTTTAATTCCAAACAAAAACAGTGCTGATAGAAAATTCTTATTCTTCTATTTTGGTTAATGAAATCTTCAAAATACATGCACGTATATATTTGTCAACATCATTCCTTTAAATAGAGGTAGACTTCATTGTATCCTAGTTCTTTACTCATTATACAATATAAAAATCATATAAATTTATCTTCAAATAAAATGTTACCTACTTACAACTTTAAAAGGAAATTCTAACTACAATAATTCTAAAATAAGATTCAGTTGAAGTATCTTGTTAAATGTGTGATTATTTTGAGTTACATTCACCCTTGACATAGCTTCTTTCATAACCTATCTCCACTTGATCCCTCCACCCTTCCAATGATTTAAAAGCCCCCCCAACCCGGCCTTTTTTTTTTTTTTTTTTTTTTTTTTTTGAGATGGAGTCTCCGTTGCCCAGGCTGGAGTGCAGTGGTGCGATCTTGGCTCACTGCAACCTCTGCCTCCTGGGTTCAAGCAATTCTCCTGCCTCAGCCTTCTGAGTAGCTGGGACTACAGGCACATGCTACCACGCTCAGCTGATTTTTGTATTTTTTGTAGAGACAAGGTTTTACCATGTTGCCCAGGCTGGTCTTGAATCCTGGCCTCAAGTGATCCACCCACCACAGCCTCCCAAAATGCTGGGATTACAGGTGTGAGCCACTGCACCTGGCCATAAAAGCCCATTTTAAGCAGAATGCTGAACTAGATATATGAGCACTTCTTATCTAGGTTTTCATAACATGTCATCTGGGTCACCACACGTTCCCTTGTTGGTCTTCCTGCACCTCATTTCTTCTCCCCAGAACCTCCCCACCCACTGCTAACTACATAGCCATCCTAAAGTACCACTTTCTCCTCAGTCTAGGAAGATGTTCTAGTGCCACCACATCAAACCCTAAATATCCTCCTGCCCAGCTTTTGGGGCCATCTATAATTTGCACACCTCCATTTCTCCCCAACCTCACATCCTCCTGCCAAACATGGGTCTTTGGCTTTAGCCCTTTCTATGTCTTGCTCTTCTCCAGGCCTCAGCTTATAATCTACCTCCTGTAAGAAGAGTGTATCAATGGAAGTACTTAGCATGTATCTCCTGACCATTCCTACCATATTGATTTTCTCTTCCCTTTAGGCATTAACCATCTGTGAAGTTAAGCTCTTAAAAAATATGATTGTTTGCAACCAGCCTGGCCAACATGGTGAAACCCCGCCTCTACTAAAAATACAAAAAAATTAGCTGAGCGTCATAGTGGGTGTCTGTAATCCCAGCTACTTGGGAGGCTGAGGCAGGAGAATCACTTGAACCTGGGAGGCGGAGGTTGCAGTGAGCTGAGATCGTGCCATTGCACTCCAGCCTGGGCAATAACAGTGAAACTCCATTCAAAAACAAAACAAAAATATGGTTGCGTTGGCCAGGTGTGGTGGCTCACACCTGTAATCCCAGCACTTTGGGAGGCTGAGGTGGGCGGATCACTTGAGGCCAGGAGTTTGAGACCAGCCCGGACAACATGGTGAAACCGTATTTCTACCAAAAATACAAAAATTAGCTGGGTGTAGTGGTGCATACCTGTAATCCCAGCTACTCAGGAGGCTAAGACAGGAGAATCGCTTGAGCCTGGGAGGCGGAGGTTGCAGTGAGCTGAGATGGCGCCACTGCACTCCAGCCTGGATGACAGAGTGAGACTTCGTCTCAAAAAAAAAAAAAAAAAAAAAAAGGTTGTACAGAAAAGGGTTAACACAGCAGATCTGACTGCTGTCCTTGGAAAGGCCTGCTTACAAAATGGCCCTTGGCCAGCATCTGGGAACTTAGATTTCAAGAGGGTCCCCACCATTAACTGATGGGTGCTGAAACTGTTTGTGTAAATAAGATGGTTTACGCTGAGCACTCCCTTTCCTCCTGGCAGTCTGGAATTTGGGTATGTGCTTGGCAGGGGACGCCTACATGATCAGCCCCCAGTAGAAACTCTTGGTACTGAGACTCTAGCAAACTTCCCAGGGTGGTAATGTATCGCATGTGTTGTCACAACTCATTGATGAGGAAATTAAGTATGTTCTGTGAGACTCCACTGGGAGAGAACCCTTGGAAACTTGCACCTGGTTTCCTCTGGACTTCGCCCTATATGCCTTTTCCTTTTGCTGATTTTGCTCTCTATTCTTTTATGAGAAAGACTATATGCTAAGTCGTCTGAGTCCTAGCAAAACCTGGGGATGGTCTTAGGGACCCCTGACACAATGGCTTTTGTTCACTAACATTTTAGAGCATATGGATGGATGTGTGTGTGTGTGTGCATGAATAAATTCAACTCCATTCAATAAGCATTTTCTGAAGACTGACTATATGAAAGGTAATAAGGTAAGATAAAAGACTAACGAGGCCAGGTGCAGTGGCTCACACCTGTAGTCCCAGCACTTTGGGAGGCCGAGGTGGGTGGATCGCTTGAGCCCAGGAGTTCGAGACCAGCCTGGCCAACATGGCGAGACCCCGTACCTACAAGAAAATACAAAAATTAGCCGGATGTGGTGGCACACATCTGTAGTCCCAGCTACTTGGGAGGCTGAGGTGGGAGGATCACTTAAGCCCGGGAGGTGGAGGCTGCAGTGAGCTGTGATCACACCATTGCATTCCAGCCTGGGCGACAGAGTGAGACCCTGTCTAAAAAAAAAAAAAAAAAATGCTTAGCGAGGCACCCTCAAGAATTTGATAATCTATTTGGGGAAATACAAAGGCAAATGACAATAATTAGAGACTAAATGAAACACAAGTTATAGTGGGGGCTTTGATATGATTTACAGTGGGTCCTAAAAGGAAAGTAGGGTTTAATAAGAAAAGAATGGGGCTCAGGAGGCTATTTCTAGCTAAGAGAACAGTAGGAACAAAGGTACAAATACATGAAAATACAGTATGCTCCAAAAAGCAGAGAGTCTATGGGGAAATGCAGCTAGTAAGATAGCTTAGGGTTAGACCTGGCTAACAAGTTTGGTCTCTTTTCTTGTAGGCAATAAAATACTTGGAAGGTGTTTGTGCAAGAGGGGTATGATATGATCTGTGTTTCAGGACAATGACTGTGATCAAAGAGACTAAATTAGAATATCACAAGAAGCAATGAAACAAGCGAGAAGACTCCAAAGCTTCCAAAAACAGATCAGGGATACATAAGAATGCAGAATATAGTAAAAGCAGCATTTTCAATTAGCAGGGAAAGGACAAATTTTCAATAAACAGTGTTAAAAAACTATTTATTGGGGAAAAAAGTTAGATCCTGACTTTACACTATATCATAAAAATAAAATAAATTCTAGAGGCCAAGGCAGGCAGATCACTTGATGTCAGGAGTTCAAGACCAGCCTGGCCAACATGGTGAAACCCTGTCTCCACCAAAAATACAAAAATTAGCCAGGAGGGTGGCGCATGCCTGTAGTCCCAGCTACTCGGGAGGCTGAGATAGGAGGATCGCTTGAACTCGGGAGGCGGAGGCTGCAGTGAGCTGAGGTCATGCCACTGCACTCCAGCCTGGACGCCAGAGTGAGACTCCACCTCAAAAAAATAAAAAATTGGCCAGGCGTGGTAGCTCATGCCTAATAAATCCCAGAACTTTGGGAGGTCAAGACAGGCAGATCACCTGAGGTCAGGAGTTCGAGACCAGCCTGGCCAACATGGTGAAATCCCACCTCTACTAAAAACAAAAAAATTAGCTGGGCATGGTAGTGGGTGCCTGTAATCCCAGCTACTCAGGAGGCTGAAGCAGGAGAATCACTTGAATCTGGGAGGTGGAGGTTGCAGTGAGCCGAGATCATGCCATTACACTCCAGCCTGGGCAACAGAGCAAAACTCCGTCTCAGAATAAATAAATAAATAATAAAAATAATAAAATGAATAATAAAATAAATTCTAAATGGATTAAATATTAATATGTTTAAAAGTTAACCATAGGCCGGGAATGGTGGCTCACACCTGTAATCCTAGCCCTTTGGAGGCTGAGGTGGGCGAATCACCTGAGGTCAGGAGTTCGAGACCTGGACAAAATCAAGCTATCAGTGATAGAACATTCAAAATACTTTTTGATAATAGATTAGTACATGATTTGTTTGGCCTAAAATTCAGAGTGAGTCCAGAGAACTGAGTGGCATTCCTATAAATAGAAGTCCCTTCATTCCCATCTATGTAATCATATAAATAGGGTTTCTCAGCACTTATATCTATAAAAAGAAAAAAAATAGAATACTTGAATACTATATTATTCTACTAGCAACAGTATATATGAATACATAAACTAATTAAAAAAATGCATTTGCAGTAAGACTTCTTTTGTTTCATCAATACTTCAACTGTAATATTAACTCAATCCAGAGGAAATATTTAACACTTAATAGTCACAGAAATCTAATAACATTATGCACCAAATAGATTTGGTGATCAACAAAATACTTTTAAAGATAAAATTCTATGGAGGGGCCAGGTGCAGTGGCTCATGCCTGTAATCCCAGCACTTTGGGAGGCTGAGGTGGGCAGATCACTTGAGGTCAGGGGTTCAAGACCAGCCTGGCCAACATGGTGAAACCCCATCTCTACCAAAAAATATAAAAACTTAGCCGGGCATTGTGGCATGCGCCTGTTGTACCAGCTACTTGGGAGGCTGAAGCAGGAGAATTGCTTGAACCCAGGAGGTGGAGGTTGCAGTAAGCCGAGATCGCGCCACTGCACTCCAGCCTGGGTGACAGAGACTCCATCTCAAAAAAAAAAAATTATATGGAGAAAGTGGAATGAAGTCCAAATTCAAGGCAAAAAAAGGAACAATGCAAAATTTCTCACTGTTAAAAGAATTTGTGTATTAAAAAAAATTGATGGTATTAGTTATCGAGTTCCTGTGGTATGTAGGTTCCTCCAAAGAGATTTAAAAATATAATGCAACAGTTTTAAGACTGTCAGTGTTTATAATATGCCAGAAATTGTATCCTATACAATAATTTACGATAAAAATATTAGATAACCTACCAATGTGCAAGAAGGTAGATAACTTTTCAAAACTTTACAGTATGGAGCAAAAAGGTTGAAGACCACTGAAATAATTCATATATCCACAGAGTGGAATAATATGCAGCCATTAAAATGGATGAAACAAATGTAGTAATGAATGAGTGATGGAAATGAGAAGACTTGAAACCATTAAAGTTGGAAAGAGAACTGGGAGAATTAGTAGGACACGTTTCCAGCTTGGCTTGTCTAGCTTTGAGAGCTAGGGGACCTGAGGGAAAACAAGTGGTTGGGGGAGGACAGCAAGTCTGACATAATTTTTAACAGCTTTACTGAGATGTAATCCATAGACTATACAGTTCACCCATTTCAAGTGTATAATTCAGTAGCTTTTTAGTATATTCACAGAGTTGTGCAACCATCAATCACCACAATCAGCTTTAGAATATTTTTCTTCCCCTAAAAAGAAATCCCATACCCATTAGCAATAACCCATACCTGCTCTCAATTTTCCCCTCATCCCCGAGTCACTGGCAACCACTAATTTACTTTATGTCCCTACAGATTTGCCCATTTTGGACGTTTCATATAAACTGAATCATACAATATGTGGTCTTTTGTGTCTGGCTTCTGTCACTTAGCATCATATTTTTAAGGGTCTTTCATGCTGTAGCATGTTTCAATGCAAGTTTGATTATTTATTTATTTATTTTTTTTTTTTTTGAGACAGAATCTCACTCTGTCACCCAGGCTGGAGTCCTGTGATGTGATCTCGTCTCACTGCTACCTCCACCTCCTGGGTTCAAGCAAATCTCATGCCTCAGCCTCCTGAGAAGCTGGGATTGTAGAGATAGGGTTTCACCATGTTGGCCAGGCTGGTCTCGAACTCCTGAGCTCAGGTGATCCGCCTGCCTCGGCCTCCCAAAGCGCTGGGATTACAGGCGTGAGCCACCGCACCCAGCTGCAAGTTTGATTTTAAACATGCTAAATTTGAGGTGCTTTTAGGACATCCATGTGAGGGCATCTGGGAGGCAGCTGACAATCTGGAGGTCTGGAGAGTAGTCAGGGTTGAAGACATCAACAGAGGTGATGGCTGAAATCTTGGGAGGAGGTAAGGGCAATCAAGACAAGAAGGAGGACTGAAAAAAGAGAATAATATCACATCACACTAGGAAATGCTTACATTTTAAAAGAATGCATGGAGGAAGAGAAAACCAAATAAGACAGAGAAGGCAGAGAGGTAGGTAGTGAAACTGGAGCCTCCAGATCCTAAGTGCTTGAAAGTGATGATGCCCTTATGCAACACTTCCTTTGCACCCTGGCACACTTCAGCTCAAGGGACCTGGCAAGTGTATACTAGATTTCTGTTGATTCAGCTAATCTTGGTTCCTGTTCTATTTTCGTACTCCATGACTTTCAAGGTTTCTTTCAACCCCCAAAACCACGAATCCCAGTCTCTAACTTCCTTTCTGCACTGTCATTATGCCCTCTTCTCTCTTCCTTTCCTATCCCTGGACAGAGCTCTGGTAAGCACCACAGCACCTGAGGACTGCTGGAGAATGCTCCTCAGATCTCCGCTGCCTTGGAATTCCTTGCCTTCCTGGCCAAATGCGCAATTACTTACAGTTTTTCAGAGGCAATGTTCCCAGAGGTGACTTCATTAATTCTTACTAGCTTCTTTGTTCCAATCTAGTATATAATCAGACTCTCAGGAGTTTCTGAAAACTTTCTATGGTGAGCAGAGGATGCTTCCTGGGGGTACTTCTGAATGCTAGTGGATTAAAGACAAGCCTTATTCCAGGTAGTAACAGACATTCCTCCCACCCCTTTATCTTCCAGCCCAAGCACAGAATCCAAGAGAAAATAAACACAGTAAAAGGGACTTAGGGTGCCACAATGGAATATGACAAGTACATGATGAATGAGGAAGAATTTCCGTTCTGTACTTTTCTACTACTGCTTGGGAATCTGACTACTTTGTAGGCAGCTGGAGAGCCAATGCAGTTTTAGGGAAGCCACTATCATTCTGGTAAGTGGAAGCAGAGGATGTATTAGGAGCACATCTAGGATCCCCACCACCGCCACCACTCCCCAAAGCTGTTTTTTGTTGGAGGCAGGAAGTGCATGGCATAGGATAGCATAATCACCAGACTGTACTACAGATGAGGAAATGCAAGACCTCCCAGCCATGAGTGATCACTCCAGCATTTCAATATGGCAGGGGAGTGAGGAGTCCAGATAAGATCTGTCTAAATATTCTTGGTGGACTTTAAGGCATATGGGAATAAATAGGTTCATATTCAATTTCAGGCTCAAGAAGGTTCCAGGGCATTTAGATTAATGATGCATCCTTAATGAGTCTAGGTGGTGGTCTAATAACTGCCAAAAGAACGAATTCTCCAGGAGGGCAAAAAGCCAAAGCAGTGCAGGGATGCTGTTCAGACTAAGATTTCTCTCTAAGGAAGAACCTTCAAAGTTCCCTCTGATGCTAAAGCTTGGGATGAAGAGTCATATAAATGGTACCTCACCCAGGAACCCTACTTGAGCAAAAATGTCCCTCATTTAAGGGAAACGGAAAGCAACACTGGAAGAAACCAGAGTCTCCAGGCCTTCACTCTTTTTTTGAAGGCACGAAGGCCTGAGATAAAATGGACTAATAGGTCTAAGCCATCAGTTTATACACATGGAATGGGATTTGTTATGACTGGGACAGCTGAAAGGCCAAGTTAGTCTCAGGTATCTTACTTCAGACCCTGGCACAAACAGAACAGCTTCAATGCCTCATTCCTTTCTCTAAAGGTTAGGAGAGTGGAGCCCAGCTGTTCAGTAGGGTGCTAGTAGTAAGGTACCTGAGTTGATGCTGTACTTGTAGAGCTGGGCTTTGTTCAAACACAAATCTATAAAAATTGTGGCTCTGGCTTGCTTGCAGGCACTGACAGTAGCCAGATTGGAAAACTCCATGTCAAAGTGGCTGCAATAGAAAGATATATGAAGCAGCATCCAGAAGGGTGGGCCTAAGAAAAACAGGTAGTAGACACTGCAAGAATAGTAGACACTAATTTAAAAAAAAATCCAGTGTGTTGAGACACTGCTAATGCAGCCAGATGGCAGTGAAGGGCAACAGGAAGGTGAGGTGGTGACCAGCACTGAAACCTAACTATAACTGCTACACTTTAGATGATGCAAAAAGCCTAGGCCTAAAGATTGGAGACCCGTAGCAGGCTGTAGCTTCTTCTAGGATATACTTCTTATGTCCTATGATGAAGGCCTGATTTCTGATTTCTATTTGCTGTGAAGCGGGGCTGGTGAGCAATGTAGTCTGGAAGAATAGGGTGGTCAGCAGGAATTGGGCAAACTGAGGCAAACAAAAGAATAAAAAAATGGAGCAAGATCCAAGATATATAGAAACTATAAGCTGAAGCAGACAGTCAGGTAAGCATTCAGCAGCCCCAAGTCACTGGAAAAGATGGAGCAAAAATAGAGTTAAGCTAAAACTCCAAGTTTAGCACAGAGCTAACAGAAGACAAACAGAAGACACCATGTACCAGAAACCCAACCTTGCGAATGAAGAGAAGGCCTGCCTCAGCCATTTTCCTTGAGTGAAAATCAATGACTAGCTTCCCTGAAAACAGTCAGGCTGCCATCTGTGACTGGGAACAAATATCTGAAAGGTCTGCTGCAAAGAAACTTGCCACACAAGGCAGGAAGAGAAGCAGCATCTCTACCTAAGTCCTGGCACAGCCTGATGGTGGGGAGATATACGAGACGGGAAAATGATTCCATTGACACTTTTTAAAAAAAGAGATGCGGCCGGGTGCGGTGGCTTACACCTGTAATGCCAGCACTTTGGGAGGCCGAGGCAGGTGGATCACATGAGGTCAGGAGTTCGAGACCAACCTGGCCAACATGGTGAAACCTCACCTCTACTAAAAATACAAAAATTAGCTGGGCGTGGTGGCAGGTGCCTATAATCCCAGCTACTCAGGAGACTGAGGCAGGAGAATCACTGGAACCCGGGAGGCGGAGGTTGCAGTGAGCCGAGATGGTGCCATTGTACTCCAGCCTGGGCAACAAGAATGAAACTCCATCTCAAAAATAAATAAATAAATAAAGAGATGGCTTTCCTAAAACCATGAGTGACACACATGGTGAAATTAGAAATCTTCTAAGGTACTCAGTTAAAACTGGGGTTGTATGTGTGACATAAGATATTCTATTTAACTCTAAAACATAAAAAAAATAAGTTGCCAACTTCATTCTACTCATCCGTCTTTTGAAAAGTGTTAAGATTTACTAAAATCATTAAGCAAGCTCAGTGTAAAGGCTTCATAAGTGTAAGTATTTAAGAAAACATTTATGATTATAAAAGTTATAAAACCACAGTTGGGCTATTCAATAGCAATACCAGAGATACACACATTTCTCAGAAGAAAATATTAGCCTAAAATCATGAACTAAAATGAGCCTACGAATTGACAAACATGCCTCACTTACTGATATAATGCTACTGTTCTCATTTCGTTTTTTTCTCTTCCTGTTCTTTTTTTTTTTAATAGTTGGGGGTCTTGCTATGTTGCCCAGGCTGGCATTGAACTCCTGGGCTCAAGCAATCCTCCCATCTCAGCCTCCCAAGTAGCTGGGACTACAGGCATGTACCACTATGCCCAGCAATTCTCATTTAAAATATAATTATTTTGTAGAAGTTAATTTTATGGCATATTTATGCTGCATTTTCTCTTTCTTTCTTTCTTTTTTTTTTTAATAGGTCTCACTCTGTCACCCAGGCTGGAGTGCAGTTGCATGATCATGGCTCACTGCAGCCCTGACCTCCTAGGCTCAAGTGGTCCTTCCACCTCAGCCTTCCAAGTAGCTGGGACTACAGGCACATACCACCATGCCCAGTTTATTATTTTTAAAAAACTTTTTTGTAGAGGTGGGGTCTTGCTATGTTGCCCAGGCTGGTCTCGAACTCCTGGGCTCAAGCGATCCTCTCTCCTCAGCCTCCCAAAGTGCTGGGACTACAGGCATGAGCCACCACTCCTGGCCTTATGCTGAATTTTCAAATACTAACATGGTTAATTCAAACAAAATCAATCTACAACTAAAAGAGTATGCAATTCCAATTACCAAGTAAAGAAACTTTTTATTAACATTAAGAGTTATCGGCCAGGCGTGGTAGCTCACGCCTGTATTCCCAGCACTTTGGGAGGCCGAGGAGGGTGGATCATCTGAGGTCAGGAGCTCGAGACCAGCCTGGCCTACATGGACAAACCCCGTCTCTACTAAAAATACAAAAATTAGCCAGGCGTAGTGGCAGGCGCCTGTAATACCAGCTACTTGGCAGGCTGAGGCAGGAGAATCACTTGAACCCAGGAGGCGGAGGTTGCACTGAGCTGAGATCGTGCCATTGTACTCCAGCCTGGGGAATAAGAGCAAAACTCTGTCTCAAAAAATTAAAAACTTAAAAAATTTAAAAAAGAGTTATTAACAAGTTTGGGGAGTTAGGAATAAAAACATTAAGCATTAGCATAATGGAATCAACCTCAGTATCAACGGCTGAATGGATAAAGAAAATGCATATATATACAATGGAATACCATTCAGCCTTAAAAAGAAGGAAATCCTGTCATTTATGACAACATGGATTAATCTGAAGGATATTATGTTAAGTGAAATAAGCCAGGTACACAAAGACAAATACCACATAATCTCACCTACACGTGGCATCTAAAAAAAAAGTCAAACTTACAGAAACAGAGTAAAATGGTGGTTACCAGAGGCTGGAGGGATTGAGAAGAAGTTGGTCAAAGCATCAACACAAAATTTCAGTCACACAGGAGGAATACGTTCAAAAGATGTATTATACATCATGGTGACTACAGTTAATTACAATATATTGTACACCTGAAAATTGCTAACAGAGTAGATTTTAAGTGTTCTCAATACAAAAAAATAAGTATGTGAGGTAATGGGTATTTTAAATAGCTTGATTTAGCCATTCCACAATGTATACATACATCAAAACATCATGTTGAACACCATAAATATATATAATTTTTACTTGTCAATTAAAAACATAAATTGCAAAAGAACATATAATGGTGATGATTGCATAGCACTGTGAATGAAATTAGTGTCGCTGAACTGTATGTACTTGATGCTACTTAAAAATGGTTAAAATGGCAAATTTTATATTATACATATTTTACCACAACAAAAAAATATATGAATGGGGAAAAGAGTTAGTGTATTTTGCAATTATGCACCCTTTGTATATATTCAATATATTTTTGGCATTCAGATAATTCACTTTGTATAAGATTAAAATACATCAATTAAAAGCCTTTACCTGAGTTTCCATTTCAAAGATTAACCATACAACAGAAATTCTAAAGTCAAAAGTTCAAACAGCTAACATATGCAAAGTATTCAAGGCATAATGCCTAAAAGCATTTTAAGGTTACACAGCCTCACAACTGTATTACCATTACTCCCTGAAGATCTTATTCAACTATCATGCAACAAGAACATTTAAAAACCCAGGTTGTTTCTTAAAATTAAATGAGAAACCAATTTATCTAATGAACATAGATAATCTAGGAGTTTAAAAGTCACTAAACATTTTTAAATCATTTTAATTCAACTAACCTTCTTTTTTCTCATTAATCTTTCTCTGAACTTATGAGTGATAAATCCCCTTGGGCCAGTGAACCGTAAACGCTGATACTTAGCCTGAATGTACAAGCTCTTCTGTACCAGGCCTGATTTATAATTGGGCTGGCATCTGCCACCTCTAAAGTTGCTCTGTGAAGGAAAAAAAAGGAATTAAATGCTAAAACTACACCTTCCAAGTCTACTTTATTAGTAAACAGATGAGTGGGTGGTTGGGTGCAGTAGCTCACGCCTGTAATCCCAGCACTTTGGGAGACTGAGGCAGAACTCCTCAAGCTGATCGCTTGAGGTCAGGAGTTCGAGACCAGCCTGGCCAACATGGTGAAACCCCGTCTCTACTAAAAATACAAAAATTAGCCAGGCGTGGTGGCAGGCGCCTGTAATCCCAGCTACTCAGGAGGCTAAGGCAGGAGAATTGCTTGAACCTGGGAGGCGGACGTTGCAGCGAGTCACTGTTCTCTATGCTTGAAAAGTACAAAAGAGTGCCACTGCGCTCCAGCCTGGGTGACAGAGTGAGACCCTGTCTCAAACAAAACAAAACAAAAAAACAGATGAAAAACTGTCTGGTACTTGGAGCTGTCCTGGATTCTAGGCCTTATAGATGTTAAAACAGAAAGAGTCAATGATGGTGAGAAAGTAGGTTTCTCTCAAGCTGGCTTCCTAGCTCATTTTATATATCAATATATATATTTTTAATTTTTATTCTTAGCTGGGCATGGTGGCTCATGCCTGTAGTCCCAGCTACTCAGGAGGCTGAGGTGGGAGATAGCTTGAGTCTTGGAGGTAGAGGCTGCAGTAAGCTGTGATTGTGACACCACACTCCAGTCTGGGTGACAGAGCGAGACCCTGTCTCAAAAAAACAAAACAAAACTACATCAAACCAAATTTTTAAAACTGTTAAGTTAAAAGAATTTGAGGGCGGGCACAGTGGCTCACACCTAAATCCCAGCACTTTGGGAGACTGAGGTGGGAGGACTGCTTGAGGCCAGGAGTTCAAGACCAGCCTGGGCAACAGAGTGAGACCCTGTCTCTACAAAAAATAAAAAAAGAAAAGAATTTGAAATTAATTATTGAAATTCATCATGCTAACAAAATAAAATGTTCAGAACCTCTAATGAACTAAAATTATTCTTCTGATTCATAGTGAAATGTATCAAACCCCAATGAGGGGGAAAGATATTAAGTATCAATATCTATTTAAGAATCAAAAACTCTTTTAACTTTATTCCTGTTAATACCTTCAAACAAATCTTTCTTTACCACAAAAGATCCATTACTTAAAAAGAACACTTCCTAGGCTGCATATACTGTCCAGCATTACATTAGACATAAGAGGACAACGAATATTTGTGTGTTTCCCATGTGGTTGATAAGAGAAATGGTCCCTTGTTAATCTACTGCTGGAGGTGGAAGAGGAAAACAGTCCTCAGTTTTGTCAGTCGTGAACCAATCCTCTCCAAATCTTCCCAAACAATTCTCCAAGTCTCCCTCCCTCACTCCCCCATATCACACACTGCTTGTGTCTGCCTGCATTTCCAAGCATCCTCCTAGAATAATCTAAAACAGATGGGAGCAGTGGTGCAAAGGTTCATAGATGGAGTCTATCTCTGCCCTGATAAATCTTAAAAACTTAGCTACTTGCCAACTTACTGGAAGAAGCTGCATTAAGCTCTTGACTATGAAAAGGATTTCTCCCCCAAAATCATTCAATTAAATTCTCCTATAGAAAATAAACATGAAGCCATATGAAGAAAAACCCTGGGCTGAACGAAACTTTTAACAAGACCAGTTCAGCATAACTTGAATATTGGAAGATCTAATTCCAAGAAGTAGAGAGAGATATGGTAGAGAAGGAAAGACTTTGGTGACCCAGCGTCCTCTCTCAGGCATAGTAAACTATAAAACTGTTCTGAACTTATTTAACAAAATTCATACCTAACATTATATGCAAGGTACAAAGACTAAACAGATCCACCTCTTTTCCTTTAGGGGCTGACAATTAGTAGAGATGCTGCGTCTGAGCACTGGAGACATAGCTACTCCTGATTTTGCCAATAGGAGTCTACCAAGATCCAGGAAAAAGGCTCTCCACGCTTGAAAAGCACAAAAGAGCATTTAGTTTGAATGGCACAAGCAGGAAGTCTTATTCTTCCATTTGCCTTACCACTCAAGAGCTAAGAACTCAACCAGTGTTCATTTATCAGGCAGGTACAAGGGTCAGAATGAAAGCTATGAATTCTATACCTTTAAAATAGCAGCCAGTGCATACTAAATTTATTCCCAAATGTGTGTTCTTTTTTTTAATAAAATGAGAATTTTACTCAGAAGATTGATATATAAACTTTATTATCTGCAAATTTGTTCTCATCTTCTCAATTTTCTCAAGTAAAAAGGAAAAGACAACCTAGTTACATGTAAATGTTTCATCACAAAGTTACATGGGAAGAGTTTTGTCTTTAAATCAAATTCTTTCTTTGCTTTTCATAAAAAACATCCCTGAGTCACATTCCAACTACTACATGACCGGGGTCCAATCAAATGGGATGAAACTAATAGTGGCCCCTTTTAGAATGTTTCAGGGAAAGAGTTTACTATTTGTAAATGATTAAGGCTGAAAACAGAAGCTAAAATTACAAAAGCAAACAAAAGCACATTTCGTTTATAGAAAGTTAGGATCTGAATAAATATTTATACATCTTTACAGATACAAGTCAAGATTTTTTTTTTTTTTTTTTTTTTTTGAGATAGAGTTCCACTCTGTCACCCAGGCTGAAGTACAGTAGTGCAATCTGGGCTCACTGCAATCTCCGCCTCCTGAGTTCAAGCGATTCTCCTGCCTCAGCCTCCAGAGTAGCTGGGACTACAGGTACATGCCATCACGCCCAGCTAATTTTTGTATTTTTAGTAGAGACAGGGTTTCACTATGTTGGCCAGGCTGGTCTCGAACTCCTGACCTCAAGTGATCTGCCCGCCTCAGCCTCCCAAAGTGTTGGGATTACAGGCGTGAGCCACCATGCCTGGCCGGATATGAGTCAAGATTTTCTCAACATGAAGAGCTAAACAATAATAACTCCTAAATAAACTATTATAAGGTTGAATACACTATTAACCTCTAAAGAAGTCAATAAAATTGTTTACAAACACTACAATGGCTGCATTAAATAACAACCCTCTTTAAACACTATTTGTTTCCTCTTTGATAATAAAGTTCAGATTAACCAGCAACTAAAGCAATGCCAGGAGGAAAAGAGATTGAGTCTTAGACAGGTAGGGTGTTGCTGGAGCTGCTGTTGCTTTTTAACAAGAAGACAGTTATGAAGTTGTGAAAGGGAAGAACTGGCTGTAGCAAGACCCATAACATCAAAAATATTAAGCTACTAATTTAGTGAAAGCCGAAATGTATGCTAGACAGAACTATGGCTTTAAAAGTATGTCCTAATATATAGACATCTAAATAGAACAAGTACAATGTTTAGGTTCTGTAATAATTGTCAAAGACTTGCCCACAGAAATAGATTTTATTCTTTTTGAAATTTAGTGTTTGGTTGACTTAAGTTCCATCCTCAGAGTACTTAATAACAGGAAACAGATCATGAGCCATATTGGGAAAACAAATGCGCAAATGATGTATTACAACGGAATAGTTAACAAAACTAAGCAGATTCTTCTTTTCACAATTATTTCAGAAGTGGATATGTCAGACATAATGAAGCACATAATTTTACAAAAAAAATTTATGCCAGGCCTATTTTTCAATTATTTTCTTAAGGCTACAGAAAATTTCAGGTAAAACAGAATTATAATGAGACACTAATGTTAAGACTATCTGCACAAACTTGATACATCAGAGCTAATCTTGAGACTGATGTGTTCCATTTCTACATGTCCTCTAAGGTTATTACTATGTCGCTTTGAACTAGTCCAATTCATGTAAAAAGTAAATTTTAGCAAAATATTTCCTTTTTTTTTCTTCTTTTGGGACAGGGTCTCTTCACTGTGTCGCCCAGGCTTGAGGGCCGTGGCACAATCTTGGCTCACTGCAACCTCTGCCTCCCAGGCTGAAGCGATCTTCCCACCTCAGCCTCCTGAGTAGCTGGGACTACAGTACAGGTGCACGCCACCATGCCCAGCTAATTTTTGTATTTTTTGTAGAGACGGGGTTTTGCCATGTTGCCCAGGCTCTTCTCGAACTCCTGACCTCAAGTGATCCACCCGTCTCAGCAACCCAAAGTGTTAGGATTACAGGCGTGAGCTACAGTACCCAGCCAAAAGATTTCCTTTTCTTAGGAAGGATTATTTCTGCCCACTATTTTACTACAAAGAATTGTACACTTCTAAGCATTCATGTAATATTATATAACTTTAAATGATTGGTCAAGAGGTAAAGTTATTACATATATCTTGAAAACATTTTTCTATGAATTTATGTTAAAGTATCTTCCCTTAAGGAAAAAAGGTAACAGAAAATAAATCTTATGATGCTGTTAGAAAAATACTATAATCAACTATATCTGACCAATGAGAACAACATGTAGGAAGCACTTAAATCTGAAAGCCCATCTATGTTGTCTGTAAGTTATGCAGACATCACATTTTCAGTTGATGTGATGCCCCATTACTCAAGAGATCAAAAGATGGTATAAAACATGTATATATTCTACGGCCGTAATTATTTTTAAAAACTTCGTGTCACACATGTAATTTTAGGTACATAAACCATTGGCTAAAAATGTAATCTATTCAATGCCTACAAATTATGTTACTCTCATTGAATAAAATCTTTCGACATCTATAAATTCTGACTCTCAAGAAGCCAATATTAATAGATCACTCAATTAACCTTCTAGTCCATAATTTTAGATAGTTTCTACTACTTTTCTGTTCATACTAACTTCCTCCTAATGAGCTAACTACTCTAACAAGCCTGCCTGCCACTTTTACACAAAAAGCTCACATTCTTTCCTTTATTTAGGGGAGGGAGACAATATGAGTGAAAAATATTAATAAAGTATCTATTACAGGCAAGAAACTGTCAAAATTGATTTTAAAAACACCTCAACTTTTGTGAGCAAGGAGACAGAAATATAATACCTTGGGCCAGGTGCAGTGGCTCAAGCCTGTAATCCCAGCACTTTGGAAGGCCAACGTGGGTGATCCTTGAGGTCAGGCATTTGAGACCAGCCTGGCCAACATGATGAAACCCTGTCTCTACTAAAAATACAAAAATTAGCTGGGCATGGTGGCACACGCCTGTAATCCCAGCTACTTGGGAGGCTGAGGCAGGAGAATAGCTTGAACCTGGGAGGCGGAGGTTACAGTGAGCCAGGATGGCACCACTGCACTCCAGCCTGGGCGACAGAGGGAGACTCCATCTCAAAAAAAAAAAAAAATGAAATATAATACCTTGTACTATAATTCTTACTCCATATATTTGGGGGATGAGGTGTTCTGGATAATCAAACATATTGGTTGATTAAAAATTATCATTCATATCAGATATAGATGTACCAATAATTAGAGTGTGATAAAATATGCTTTAACAAAGCTACCTGGACCAGAATCTTCCTGTGATGATCCAGAACGCCTCTAAGGGTTGTGTGTCCATGGCAGGGTTTTTCAATCTGTGAATCTTGGAGAAAGCTCTACAGCTCTGCACGTGTATCTTAGAGGTAAAGGTGCTGGCTTAAAGGGAGGGTCTGCAGCCTTGCCTGTCTCCCCACCTAGAGTCACTCCACCTGCATCTGTTTTATGTATTTGTGTTTCCATGTAATATTTGGAAAAGGAATCTACTGGTAAAAAAAAAAAAATTGAAAATCAAGTCCTAAGGAAAGGGGTCATCAACAAATTGGTTACAGTTAACTATAAATGTCCAGAAATACTAGTTTATAGCTACCATTTGAAAGCATATTACAAAACAGCTCTTGATTTACTAACACTTAAAACATTGTGTCCAAAGCATAAAACCAAAGCTGGAATTAAATGGAAAACAACACTCAATACCTTAAAAGGTCTTACTCTTGTGTTTCGGTGGTTTCCCTCAACCTCAAATGGTTTGTGAGTAATTATGTCTTTTCTCTGCGTAGTATAATTCTGCACGAAAAAAAGTAGTAGTGTGGGTTAACAGACTTTAAAGTTTACTTTAAAAGCTTGTTTTACCATTAGAAAACACATTTTAAATGTACAGGATTAAGAACACAAAGCAGGGAGCAGGGAGCTTAGCTGTAGAGCACATACACATCTCCTCCTTGACCCATGCTAACTTGACCCTCGACTTTGACTAACATGATCCATGCTAGTTTGTGAGGAGCCAGGATCATTTACGCCTGTAACAAGTATAAAACATACTCGTGTATAACATAATGGGTGAATCTGAGAAAATGGATGATACATCTAGCATTTATTCAGGCAGCTAGGAGAGAAATAAACCCATTACTATCAGGAGTTGCTGAAGGGTTCCTACTGCCTAAGAAGAATACAAATCCTCAACATTGCAGGAGGCAGGTTTTCCTGACTCAGGTAACTGATCTGAGGTGATGCTCTTGCCATGGCTAGAAAAGTACCAGAAATAAAAGAAAGAACTACATTAGTAAGTCTGTAACTATGAAGAACCTAAATCCTCTGGTGGAGACAGAAAAGATGGGGCCCATTCTCAAGATGGTTTCCTTTTTCTAAAATCAACAGTCTTATCACCTTCTATTATTTCCACTTTCTGCAGAGTCTGGCCAGAGGGAGGACTGTACTAGGCAACTGCTGACATGGCTCCCAGTGATCCGACCAATTATTCCTCCCTTCGAGTGTCGGCAGGGCCTAGGAACTTGCTTCTTGCAAAAAGAATATGGTAAAGGATGAGATTTTACTTGTGAAATTAGGTTACCGACTCTGGCTTCCATCTTTCTCGCCATTACTTGCCTGTTCTTATGGAACTAGCTGCCATTTTGTGAGCTGCCCTATAAAAAGGCAAATCTTTAAGACAGAAAGTAGATTAGTGTTGGTTGGGGGTGGCAAAGGGGAGTAACGAAACAGGCATGAGGGTTCATATTGGGTAATGAAAATATTCTAAAACTGGACTGTGGTGATGGTTGCACACTTTGGTTAATTTACTAAAAATCATTAAATTGTACACCTAAAATGGGTGAATTTTATGGTATGTGAATTATGCCTTAATAAATATGTTCCAAGAGATCTTAAGTGTTGTTCCCAAAAAATCTTTTTTGAATTTTTTTCTTTTATTATTATTATATTTTTTTGTAGAGATGAGGTCTAGCCACGTTGCCCAGGCAGGTCTTGAACTCCTGGGCTCAAGCAATCCTCCTGCCTTGGCCTCCCAAAGTGCTAGGATTACAAGCATGAGCCACTGCACCTGGCCCCCCAAAAAATCTTAAGAAAGCTAGATTTATTAGCTTTATTTAATGAATCCAATAAAATCCTACTAAATCAAGTAAGAAATGACCATTTCTTCTGTCATAATAACTTTAAGCATCAACGGAATCTTATAACATATACTTAATGAACAATTACAAACGTGAAAAATATTGGTGATCCCTGCACATTTTGATGTATTGGAGAAGAAGAAATTATAAAAATGCAAATTTTGGAACTGCAATCTTACCATGTAAGGTTTTTCAATACATTTTCTAAAATTTGATTTTATAAAATGTGTGGGTTTTTGGAATCCATCAGTATGAACATTCTTTACCTTTGAAAAACTGGAATTCTGATCATCCCTAATAAGGAAACAGAGAAAATAAGAATATTTTATTAGTATACCTTTTTTTCCAAGAAATAAACAAGAATAATTTTAAAAAGCCCCTTCAGAAACAATTAAAGTAGCACACAAGTGAAATCTCAATGATCTATCACTACTAAAATTACAAATGATAGTCATTAGGGCTAAACCCCTCATTTTCCAACAAATGTTATTTATCTAAGTTGGAGGTTAGCAATGCGGAAAAACACTCCTTGAACCAGGTTCTCAATCTGGGGTCTAAGGACAGGCTTTCTGGGGGCTGTAACCCCCTGAAACCATATGTGAAATGTGTGTTTTGAGGAAAGATAATTACTGCTCTAGAACCTTTGGCAGCACTGCCCCCCTCCCCTTCTTGCTGACAGCTCTTACTGGTGGAAGCACCAATGGCTCATGACCCAGCCCATTCAACAGAGGCAAGGTGTATGACTGGCTCAGGGTCCCCTCACTGGCAGAGCTGAGGCCTCTGATACTGTAGGACCACAGCAGCGAAGGACAGCCTCCTCTCTCCCGTCATCATGAGGTACTGAGGCCACAAAGGGCTCTTCTCAGGCAGCCCTATCTGGGAGGGAGGTCCTTCCCTGGGATCTTCCTCTGATCTCCAAAGCCTCATTTCCACAGCCCTTGGGGATTCCTCTCCGTGTCACATCCTGCATCTCTCTACAATGCTTCTCAGCCCCTTCCTGTGTCTTCTGCAGGCCCACCTTCACTCTTTCCCATGGATTCCCCACTGGCAACAAGATAACTTCCACACTCCTCATCGTGACCCCCCAAAGCCCTTTCTGCTCTGGCCCTTGCTACCTCGCTCCAATCTCCCCAACAGGCACACTGAGCTTCAGGATTTTTTGTTTGCTTGTTTTTGAGACAGAGTCTTGCTGTGTTGCCCAGGCTGGAGTGCAGTGGCACAATCTCGGCTCATTGCAACCTGCACCTCCTGAGTTCAACTGATTCTCCTGCCTCAGCCTTCCGAGTAGCTGGGATTACAGGTGCACGCCATCACACCCCGCTAATTTTTTCTATTTTTAGTAGACACGGGGTTTCACCATGTTGGCCAGCCTGGTCTTGAACTCCTGACCTCAAGTAATCCATCCACCTTGGCCTCCCAAAGTGCTGGGATTATAGGCGTGAGCCACCGTGCCCAGCCAGGAATATTGAAGTACATGTGGTTCCTGGCACAAAGCAATCTCTCCTGCTTCTACACCTTTGCATGTGCAGTTCCTTCTGTGACCATTTCCTTCTACTTAGATTAACTTAAAGATTTAGATCCATTTGTACCTCTTCAAGGAAGAGTTTCCTAAACCCTTCTGAGGTGAACTAGGTACTCCCTGCTATGTGCCCATGTAGCATTTTTAGGTCTTAACACCTATCATTCCGTATTTGTAACTACTGGTGTACCTGTCTGTTTAACGGAACAAGTTGCTATTCCTTCAGAGGAAGCAATGTGGATGATTCGTTTTGTGGCCCCAGCTCTGATCCCAGAATCTGACATGAAATAGACACTCGGGGTTTTTTAAATGTTAAAAAGGCCTATGCTTTGTCAAAATGCTCACGACAGTAGATCAAAAGAGTAAAGTGCAAAGTTGTATATTGAGGATAATTTCAATTATTTAAAATATACACATATGTGCCCAGAAAAAATAAATGACAAGAAATGTACTAAATATTAACAGTGGTCATCTCTGACTGGTAAAATTAGGAATGCCTTATATTTTTGATTTTATACTTTATTATATTTTTCCAAATGATTACCATTAGTGTGTATGACTACTTCTACAAACAAAGCAATGGATTTTTTAAAATTCTCTTTGCAAAGCATATATCTGATGAGGGAGCTGTATCCAGAATATATAAAGAACTCCTACACCTCAACAACAAAAATACTTTGATTTTAAAATGGGCAAAGGATTTGAATAGAAATTTCTCCAAAGACATACCAATGGCCAATAAGCACATAGAAAGATGCTCAACATCATTAGTCATTAGAGAAATGCAAATCAAAACCACAATGAGACACCACTTTACACTAACTAGGATGGCTATAACCAAAAAGATGACAATACCAATATGCATAACATCACTATTTACAATAGCCAAAGGGTGAAAGCAATACAAATGTCCACAGAAAAACAGATAAACAAAATGTAGTACAGCCATACAATGGAATATTATTCAGCCTTAAAAGAGAATGAATTTTTTAAAAAAGGAATGAAATTCTGACACATGATACAACATGAATTGACCCTGAAAACACTATGCTAAGTGAAATAAGCCAGAGACAAAACGACAAATATTGTCTGATTCTACTTATATCAGATACCCACAATAGGCAAATTCATATAGACAGAAAGAATAGAGGTTACCAGGGGCTGCAGAGAGGAGAGCATGAGGAGTTACTGTTCAATGGAAACAGACTTTCTGTTTGTGAAGATGAAAAAGTTCTGGAAGTAGATAGTGGTGGTGATTGTACAACACTGTGAATATACTCAATGTCAATGAATTTTACACTTAAAAATGGTTAAAATGGTAAATTTAGGATATGTATATTTTGCCACAATACAAAAATTAAATCCTTTGATATTTGATTTTTGACCAGGCAAATGAATGCTCAGATTAAAGAATCTATTTCCCAGCTGCCCTGCAGCTAGGCATGGCCATGGGACTAAATTTTGGCCAAGTTATCATGTGTAAATTTCAAGAAGTCTTTATTTTTTATTTATTTATTTATTTTTTTTTTTTTATTATACTTTAAGTTTTAGGGTACATGTGCACATTGTGCAGGTTAGTTACATATGTATACATGTGCCATGCTGGTGCGCTGCACCCACTAACTCATCATCTAGCATTAGGTATATCTCCCAATGCTATCCCTCCCCTAACCCCACCACAGACCCCAGAGTGTGATATTCCCCTTCATGTGTCCATGTGATCTCATTGTTCAATTCCCACCTATGAGTGAGAATATGCGGTGTTTGGTTTTTTGTTCTTGCGATAATTTACTGAGAATGATGATTTCCAATTTCATCCATGTCCCTACAAAGAACATGAACTCATCATTTTTTATGGCTGCATAGTATTCCATGGTGTATATGTGCCACATTTTCTTAATCCAGTCTATCATTGTTGGACATTTGGGTTGGTTCCAAGTCTTTGCTATTGTGAATAATGCCGCAATAAACATACGTGTGCATGTGTCTTTATAGCAGCATGATTTATAGTCCTTTGGGTATATACCCAGTAATGGGTTGGCTGGGTCAAATGGTATTTCTAGTTCTAGATCCCTGAGGAATTGCCACACTGACTTCCACTATGGTTGAACTAGTTTACAGTCCCACCAACAGTGTAAAAGTGTTCCTATTTCTCCACATCCTCTCCAGCACCTGTTGTTTCCTGACTTTTTAATGATTGCCATTCTAACTGGTGTGATATGATATCTCATAGTGGTTTTGATTTGCATTTCTCTGATGGCCAGTGATGATGAGCATTTTTTCATGTGTTTTTTGGCTGCATAAATGTCTTCTTTTGAGAAGTGTCTATTCATGTCCTTTGCCCACTTTTTGATGGGGTTGTTTGTTTTTTTCTTGTAAATTTGTTTGAGTTCATTGTAGATTCTGGATATTAGCCCTTTGTCAGATGAGTAGGTTGCGAAAACTTTCTCCCATGTTGTAGGTTGCCTGTTCACTCTGATGGTAGTTTCTTTTGCTGTGCAGAAGCTCTTTAGTTTAATTAGATCCCATTTGTCAATTTTGGCTTTTGTTGCCATTGCTTTTGGTGTTTTGGACATAAAGTCCTTGCCCATGCCTATGTCCTGAATGGTAATGCCTAGGTTATCTTCTAGGGTTTTTATGGTTTTAGGTCTAACGTTTAAATCTTTAATCCATCTTGAATTGATTTTTGTATAAGGTATAAGGAAGGGATCCAGTTTCAGCTTTCTCCATATGGCTAGCCAGTTTTCCCAGCACCATTTATTAAATAGGGAATCCTTTCCCCATTGCTTGTTTTTCTCGGGTTTGTCAAAGATCAGATAGTTGTAGATATGTGGCGTTATTTCTGAGGGCTCTGTTCTGTTCCATTGATCTGTATCTCTGTTTTGGTACCAGTACCATGCTGTTTTGGTTACTGTAGCCTTGTAGTATAGTTTGAAGTCAGGTAGTGTGATGCCTCCAGCTTTGTTCTTTTAGCTTAGGATTGACTTGGCCATGCGGGCTCTTTTTTGGTTCCATATGAACTTTAAAGTAGTTTTTTCCAATTCTGTGAAGAAAGTCATTGGTAGCTTGATGGGGATGGCATTGAATCTGTAAATTACCTTGGGCAGTATGGCCATTTTCACGATATTGATTCTTCCTACCCATGAGCATGGAATGTTCTTCCATTTGTTTGTATCCTCTTTTATTTCCTTGAGCAGTGGTTTGTAGTTCTCCTTGAAGAGGTCCTTCACATCCCTTGTAAGTTGGATTCCTAGGTATTTTATTCTCTTTGAAGCAATTGTGAATGGGAGTTCACTCATGATTTGGCTCTCTGTTTGTATGTTGCTGGTGTATAAGAATGCTTGTGATTTTTGTACATTGATTTTGTATCCTGAGACTTTGCTGAAGTTGCTTATCAGCTTAAGGAGATTTTGGGCTGAGACAATGGGGTTTTCTAGATATACAATCATGTCGTCTGCAAACAGGGACAATTTGACTTCCTCTTTTCCTAATTGAATACCCTTTATTTCCTTCTCCTGCCTGATTGCCCTGGCCAGAACTTCCAACACTATGTTGAATAGGAGTGGTGAGAGAGGGCATCCCTGTCTTGTGCCAGTTTTCAAAGGGAATGCTTCCAGTTTTTGCCCATTCAGTATGATATTGGCTGTGGGTTTGTCATAGATAGCTCTTATTATTTTGAAATACGTCCCATCAATACCCAATTTATTGAGAGTTTTTAGCATGAAGGGTTGTTGAATTTTGTCAAAGGCTTTTTCTGCATCTATTGAGATAATCATGTGGTTTTTGTCTTTGGCTCTGTTTATATGCTGGATTACATTTATTGATTTGCGTATATTGAACCAGCCTTGCATCCCAGGGATGAAGCCCACTTGATCATGGTGGATAAGCTTTTTGATGTGCTGCTGGATTCGGTTTGCCAGTATTTTATTGAGGATTTTTGCATCAATGTTCATCAAGGATATTGGTCTAAAATTCTCTTTTTTGGTTGTGTCTCTGCCCGGCTTTGGTATCAGAATGATGCTGGCCTCATAAAATGAGTTAGGGAGGATTCCCTCTTTTTCTATTGATTGGAATAGTTTCAGAAGGAATGGTACCAGTTCCTCCTTGTACCTCTGGTAGAATTCGGCTGTGAATCCATCTGGTCCTGGACTCTTTTTGGTTGGTAAACTATTGATTATTGCCACAATTTCAGCTCCTGTTATTGGTCTATTCAGAGATTCAACTTCTTCCTGGTTTAGTCTTGGGAGAGTGTATGTGTCGAGGAATGTATCCATTTCTTCTAGATTTTCTAGTTTATTTGTGTAGAGGTGTTTGTAGTATTCTCTGATGGTAGTTTGTATTTCTGTGGGATCGGTGGTGATATCCCCTTTATCATTTTTTATTGTGTCTATTTGATTCTTCTCTCTTTTTTTCTTTATTAGTCTTGCTAGCGGTCTATCAATTTTGTTGATCCTTTCAAAAAACCAGCTCCTGGATTCATTGATTTTTTGAAGGGTTTTTTGTGTCTCTATTTCCTTCAGTTCTGCTCTGATTTTAGTTATTTCTTGCCTTCTGCTAGCTTTTGAATGTGTTTGCTCTTGCTTTTCTAGTTCTTTTAATTGTGGTGTTAGGGTGTCAATTTTGGATCTTTCCTGCTTTCTCTTGTGGGCATTTAGTGCTATAAATTTCCCTCTACACACTGCTTTGAATGCGTCCCAGAGATTCTGGTATGTGGTGTCTTTGTTCTCGTTGGTTTCAAAGAACATCTTTATTTCTGCCTTCATTTCGTTATGTACCCAGTAGTCATTCAGGAGCAGGTTGTTCAGTTTCCACGTAGTTGAGCGGCTTTGAGTGAGATTCTTAATCCTGAGTTCTAGTTTGATTGCACTGTGGTCTGAGAGAGAGTTTGTTATAATTTCTGTTCTTTTACATTTGCTGAGGAGAGCTTTACTTCCAACTATGTGGTCAATTTTGGAATAGGTGTGGTGTGGTGCTGAAAAAAATGTATATTCTGTTGATTTGGGGTGGAGAGTTCTGTAGATGTCTATTAGGTCTGCTTGGTGCAGAGCTGAGTTCAATTCCTGGGTATCCTTGTTGACTTTCTGTCTCGTTGATCTGTCTAATGTTGACAGTGGGGTGTTAAAGTCTCCCATTATTAATGTGTGGGAGTCTAAGTCTCTTTGTAGGTCACTCAGGACTTGCTTTATGAATCTGGGTGCTCCTGTATTGGGTGCATATATATTTAGGATAGTTAGCGCCTCTTGTTGAATTGATCCCTTTACCATTATGTAATGGCCTTCTTTGTCTCTTTTGATCTTTGTTGGTTTAAAGTCTGTTTTATCAGAGACTAGGATTGCAACCCCTGCCTTTTTTTGTTTTCCATTTGCTTGGTAGATCTTCCTCCATCCTTTTATTTTGAGCCTGTGTGTGTCTCTGCACGTGAGATGGGTTTCCTGAATACAGCACACTGATGGGTCTTGACTCTTTATCCAATTTGCCAGTCTGTGTCTTTTAATTGGAGCATTTAGTCCATTTACATTTAAAGTTAATATTGTTATGTGTGAATTTGATCCTGTCATTATGATGTTAGCTGGTGATTTTGCTCGTTAGTTGATGCAGTTTCTTCCTAGTCTCGATGGTCTTTACATTTTGGCATGATTTTGCAGCGGCTGGTACCGGTTGTTCCTTTCCATGTTTAGCGCTTCCTTCAGGAGCTCTTTTAGGGCAGGCCTGGTGGTGACAAAATCTCTCAGCATTTGCTTGTCTGTAAAGGATTTTATTTCTCCTTCACTTATGAAGCTTAGTTTGGCTGGATATGAAATTCTGGGTGGAAAATTCTTTTCTTTAAGAATGTTGAATATTGGCCCCCACTCTCTTCTGGTTTGTAGGGTTTCTGCTGAGAGATCCGCTGTTAGTCTGATGGGCTTCCCTTTGTGGGTAACCCGACCTTTCTCTCTGGCTGCCCTTAACATTTTTTCCTTCATTTCAACTTTGGTGAATCTGACAATTATGTGTCTTGGAGTTGCTCTTCTCGAGGAGTATCTTTGTGGCGTTCTCTGTATTTCCTGAATCTGAACATTGGCCTGCCTTGCTAGATTGGGGAAGTTCTCCTGGATAATATCCTGCAGAGTGTTTTCCAACTTGGTTCCATTCTCCGCATCACTTTCAGGTACACCAATCAGACGTAGATTTGGTCTTTTCACATAGTCCCATATTTCTTGGAGGCTTTGCTCATTTCTTTTTATTCTTTTTTCTCTAAACTTCCCTTCACGCTTCATTTCATTCATTTCATCTTCCATTGCTGATACCCTTTCTTCCAGTTGATCGCATCGGCTCCTGAGGCTTCTGCATTCTTCACGTAGTTCTCAAGCCTTGGTTTTCAGCTCCATCAGCTCCTTTAAGCAGTTCTCTGTATTGGTTATTCTAGTTATACATCTTCTAATTTTTTTTCAAAGTTTTCAATTTCTTTGCCTTTGGTTTGAATGTCCTCCCGTAGCTCAGAGTAATTTGATCGTCTGAAGCCTTCTTCTCTCAGCTCGTCAAAGTCATTCTCCATCCAGCTTTGTTCCGTTGCTGGTGAGGAACTGCGTTCCTTTGGAGGAGGAGAGGCGCTCTGTGTTTTAGAGTTTCCAGTTTTTCTGTTCTGTTTTTTCCCCATCTTTGTGGTTTTATCTACTTTTGGTCTTTGATGATGGTGATGTACAGGTGGGTTTTCGGTGTGGATGTCCTTTCTGTTTGTTAGTTTTCCTTCTAACAGACAGCACCCTCAGCTGCAGGTCTGTTGGAATACCCTGCCGTGTGAGGTGTCAGTGTGCCCCTGCTGGGGGGTGCCTCTCAGTTAGGCTGCTCGGGGGTCAGGGGTCAGGGACCCACTTGAGGAGGCAGTCTGCCTGTTCTCAGATCTCCAGCTGCGTGCTGGGAGAACCACTGCTCTCTTCAAAGCTGTCAGACAGGGACATTTAAGTCTGCAGAGGTTACTGCTGTCTTTTTGTTTGTCTGTGCCCTGCCCCCAGAGGTGGAGCCTACAGAGGCAGGCAGGCCTCCTTGAGCTGTGGTGGGCTCCACCCAGTTCGAGCTTCCTGGCTGCTTTGTTTACCTAAGCAAGCCTGGGCAATGGTGGGCGCCCCTCCCCCAGCCTCGCTGCCGCCTTGCAGTTTGATCTCAGACTGCTGTGCTAGCAATCAGCGAGATTCCGTGGGCGTAGGACCCTCCGAGCCAGGTGTGGGATATAGTCTCGTGATGCGCCGTTTTTTAAGCCGGTCTGAAAAGCGCAATATTCGGGTGGGAGTGACCCGATTTTCCAGGTGCGTCCGTCACCCCTTTCTTTGACTCGGAAAGGGAACTCCCTGACCCCTTGCGCTTCCCAGGTGAGGCAATGCCTCGCCCTGCTTCGGCTCGCGCCCGGTGCGCGCACCCACTGGCCTGCGCCCACTGTCTGGCACTCCCTAGTGAGATGAACCCGGTACCTCAGATGGAAATGCAGAAATCACCCGTCTTCTGCGTCGCTCACGCTGGGAGCTGTAGACCGGGGCTGTTCCCATTCGGCCATCTTGGCTCCTCAAGAAGTCTTTAAAGGAAAGGCTAGTATGAGGACATGATGGCTAGGGCACAAATACCCATCTTGGATCATGAGACAGATGCTACATACAGAGGATATGGGAGGAAGAAGATCTAAGCAGCCTGGTTCCCTGATGTGTCCACTCTACCGTGTTGACCCTATCATGTAGATTTCCTACCTCTAATCTTTTTTTTTCACTTGAGAAGGAAATACTTTTTTTCTCTAGCTCTTACAGTCCACTCTCCACCCAGCAACCACAGTGATCCTTTTAAAATTTAAGTGAGATTATGTCTCTTCTCTGGTTAGAACCCAAAATGTTTTCTAACTTCATCCAGAATAAAATACAAAGTCTTCACGTCCTTCAGTTCTTCAAAGCCCTTCGTGATTGGCCTCATCTACTCTCTCCCTTTACCACCCTGTCACAACCCCACTGTCCCCCTTTCTATTCCTTAAACAAAAGCAGGCATGCTGAAGGTCTTTGCTTTTGCTGTTCCCTCTCTTGAAATACTATCCCCTCAGATAACCCTATGGCTAACACCCTCACTTAATTCACAACCCAGCTACATTTTTTAAAAGTCATAAGTGTACTCCATGATCACCCTAAATAAAACCATATCACACATGTCACTCTTTGCTATTAAATTTCCTCTTCTGCCTTATTTTCACCTATCACTCCACTGACATGTATTTATTTTCTTTCTTCTGCTATTAAATTATAAGTAACACGAAGACAAAGGTTTGTATATAGTTTTTCACTATATCCCCAGTCCTTAGAACAGTAACTAGAACAAAGAAATCAATACATAAATATCTGTTGACTATATGAATATATCTTTATAAAGTTCACTCTACTTCAGTATAGATTATGACTACTGCAATAGCAAGAACAAAAACTGATGTTTTCCCGTAACCTGCCCAGCTAAAACGACAGTCTGTCGTTCCAACTCCTTGTTAAAAAATAAAAATAAAAAATAAAAGAAATTCTTGGCAGTTTGATGTCCTCTTCAAGTCCACTGATACTATTTTTAAGCTACTTTATCAAACACACTCCATACCTCTATAACAAAACAACTCATTTACATTGTAGGAAACTTAGTAACTCCAGTTAGAAAAGGCAGAAATAGTGTGTCAGGAGAAAACATGGAGACATCAGAGTAAGAAACGGGTAAGAAGTGGAAGTAAATCCAGACCGTCCCCAACTTACAATGGTTTAACTTACAGTTTTTTTTTTTTACTTTACAATGGGTTATTGGGATGTTGCCCTATCATAAGTTAAGGAGCACCTGTAGAGAACAGATGGGTCCTAGAGGCTAGACAGAACCCCCAAGTGTTAGGTGTGCTTGTGAAAGATCCTAAGGCATCAGGGAATAGTAACCCAAATCTAAATGTATTACAAGTTAGGTATCCTCTGTCTTGTCTACTCCTTTGGGAACTCTTCATTCATTCAACAAATATGAACTGAGCTCAGGGCAGTGGGGATACAACAGTGAGCAAACACAGACAGAAAGGCTGCATACAACTTTTTGAAGGAAAGCCACACAGGTGAGAAATCACTACATCCTATGACTTATGATTGCATCATGTTTCATTTCTTTCGTATTTCTGTGGAAACTACCCTGACTTGATTTTAAAAGTTTATATAAAAACATATAATGAGGTCAATTTTTATAAACTGAATTTCTAAGATAAAAGGATAATATATTTTTCTTATTTAAATAAGGAAACTGAATTAGGATAAAGTGAGAGATTAATAAGAAGAGTTGGCAACGATGTGGAGCAACTGGACCCTTCAGATGCTGCTGGTGGAAATGTAAAATAGCACAGCCGCTTTGGAAAACAGTCTGGCAGTTCCTCAAAAAGTTAATCATAGAGTAACCATCAAACTCATCAATTCCACTCCTAGCTATATACTGAAGAGAAACGAAAACAGGTATCTGCACAAAAACTTGCACACAAATGTTCACAGCACAGTTATTCACAAACAGACAAAAAGTGGAAACAACCCAAATGTCCATCAACTGGTGAATGGATAAAGAGAATACGATATAGCCATACAATGGAATATTATTCAGCCATACATAAGAATTCTCATGCTACAACATGGATGAGCGTTAAAAGCATTATGCTATAGGAAAGAAGTCAGTTACGAGAGGCCACATATTATATTATTGAATTTATATGAAATGTCAGGCCAGTTGTGGTGGCTCATGCCTGTACTCCCAGCACTTTGGGAGACTGAGTCGGGTAGATCCCTTGAGCACAAGAGTTTGAGACCAGCCTGGGCAACATGGTGAAACCCCGTCTCTACAAAAAAAAAATACGAAAAATTAGCCGGGTGTGGTGGCAGGAGCCTGTGGTCCCAGCTGCTCGGGAGGCCGAGGTGGGAGAATCACCTGAGCCTCACGGAAGGTTGAGGCTGCAGTGAGCTGTGATTGTGCCTCTGTACTCCATCCTGGGTGACAGAGAGAGATCCTGTCTCAAAAAAAAAAAAAGAAAAGAAAAATGATTATATGAAATGTCAGGATTAGACAAATCCATAGATACAGAAAATAGAACAGTAGTTGCCAGGGACTAAGGGGGAAGGAGAAATGGGGCAGGGAGTGGCAGCTAATGGGTAGAGGGTTTACTTCTGGGGTGATGAAATGTTTCGGAATTAGATAGTAATGATGGTTGCATAAGTTTGTTAATATACTAAAAACTACTGAATTGTTTATTTTTGCAGGATGAATGTTAAGTAATGTCTCATTTTTAAAAACTCCTCATGGCTCCACTATGCCTCACCACCTATCCAATACAAATAAAATAATCCAACAGACCCAGCAAAAGACAGCTTGTAGGAACACATCCTTGCACACTACCACACTGTCCTCAAAGCTAGCATTCATAATACTTAATGCTGACCAGCTACTCTACCTTACACTCATCACTTTACTTAATCTTAACCACCACTGTGAGGTAAGTACAACTCTTATCCCTATTTTACAGATGAGGAAACAGAGACAAAATAATTTTCCCAAAGTCAGTCACATAGCTAGGAATCCAAGAGCCAGCCACTGAACTCAGGTCCAACTCCAGTGCTCAAGTTCTTAATCACGTCAAGGGGTAAAGATACATCCTAAAGCATCTTATGATCTTTAAAATATGCTGATTGTCTTAAATCTGTTTTTAAAATCCTGTTTCTTGGTACTGGGTTTCTTACACTTGTTGAGTCAAGAAAAGCATGATAGAGAGCTTGTGTCATTAAGGAGCACAGTCATGTCATGCATTAACCATATCATATTAGGAGACTGGAGACTTTCACCCAGCAAGGGACAACATTTTTACTCTTTCATTTTCAATTGTTTTATATACCTCAACACATCGTTTCACTATGTTTTAATTAGTTCTGAATTTATTGTCAGCATCAAGTCCATATATTCTGACCTAGTTAGCTACAGACTTGACTTAAAAGTCTTGTCAAATACATTATCTTAGCAATTTGATAGAAAAGATTATGGAAAAACAATTAGCACTGTCTCTTTGTATTCATACAGTCTCACTTTTTGGGAGATCCAAGTAGTATAAGAACTCAAGTGAACTGGAAATGTTGTCCTGTTCAATTATACCTCATAATCATATGGGGCCCCAGAGTTGCCGTGAGTTCCATCCACATGGTGTTCAGAACTAGAGATAAACTGGGGTTGATCTAGACTACTAAGAGCCCCTAAACAGAAGTATGAGGTTAAGAAAGAAAAATCTACTGAGGATCTATTTGCCATATATGACATAAGTACTTCACATGTGCCAACTCGTTTAATACTCATAACTGCCCCATAGCATAAATTGATTTTATCATCATTTTACAGATGAAGAGGCTCCAGAGACTAAGCAAATTTGTCCAAGATCGGTCAGCTTGTAAACTGAGAGAGATGAGATTCAAACTTAGGTCTCCTCTGCATTTTCTACTACACCTGCCTCAATTTCATGGACGACATCCAAAAATGTGGATTTTTTTCACTTTTTGTCAGTACAGTGATCCACAATTATCCAGTATAGACATCCACAAAGAGTCGCAAAAGATAACTGTACTGACTTCAGGAAATTTTCTACTATTCAAAGACTAACCCAGAATCTAAAGGGCAGAATGTATCAGAGTTTCAATCAGCTCAAGCTAAATAGTCTGTAAACTTGCTGGTCCTGCCTCCTGCTAATATTCTAAAAGTGGTAACACTCCTCATCAGAATTACGAAGACCTCAAATATTCACCTACCCCATAGTTTTTGTTGTTTAAATCAAACCGCATATGAGAATCACTGAATAACCTGGAAACATTTTAATAGATTTCACTTAAACATATAAGATGGATTTGAAGGAGCAAATCCCTATATTAAAATGAAAATTATCATCACACAAAAAATGTAAAAATATGGTAAAACCCAAAGCTCCCTGATAACAGGATGTTTGTCATCTACTGATTACCTCTCTGCAGCACTAGCTATGTGAAAAATGTGCTCATCTTCATTCTGTAACCGTTCTTTTCGCCTTCTTTCAATGTCATGTCGTAGGTCATTTGGATCTATTATTTTGATCAGAGTCTGAGGAATTTTGACAGAAGACAAACCATTCACATTACTTTTAGTTGCACAAAGACCATATCTAACAAGAACGTTAATTACAAGTCCTAGATAAGTTACCTTGTACTCATCCTGCTAATGGTATTGTAAACTAATACAAATATTTTGAGACACAATTGACAATAAACAGTCAGAAAAGTTCCTAATATTGAACCAGGATTCCCACTTGTGGGACTCTAACCCAAATAAAAGGTTATCTACCTAAATAGATTCAAAACATTATATTTAAAATAACAAAAAATAGAAGCAACTTAAATGTAAAAAAAAAAAATTAAGAGGAAGGGAAGAATGAGTAAATAAATCATGGTAAACTTAAGTCAAAAGAATAATGTACAATCATTTAATTTATGGTAATAAAGACTATGTGGAAGTCAACATAGAAAAGTGCTTATTGAAAAAAGTTAATTAGGCCGGGCGCAGTGGCTCATGCCTGTAATACCAGCACTTTGGGAGGCCAAGGTGGGCAGATCATTTGAACAGGAGTTCAAGACCAGCCTGGCCAACATAGTAAAACCCCATCTCCACCAAAAATACAAAAATTAGCCGGGCATGGTGATGGGCGCCTGTAATCCCAGCTACTTGGGAGGCTGAGGCAGGAGAATGGCTTGAACCTGGGAGGTGGAGGTTGCAGTGAGCTGAGATCGCACCACTGCACTCCAGCCAGGGTGACAGAGTGAGACTCTGTCGCAAAAAAAAAAAAAAAGAAACAAACAAAAAAGTTAATTAAAACTTAACAAGGGCCAGGTGCAGTGGCTCATGCCTATAATCCCAGCACTTTGGGAGGCCGAGGTGGGTGGATCCCTTGAGTCCAGAAGTTCAAGACCAGCCTGGGCAACATGGAAAAACCCTGTCTCCACAAAAAATACAAAAATTAGCCGGGCATGGTAGTGCATGTCTATAGTCCTAGCTACTCAGGAGGCTGAGGTGGGAGGATCACTTGAGCCCAGGAGGTCGAGGCTGCAGTGAGCCATAATTGCACCACTGTACTCCAGCCTGGGTGAGACCAGGACTCTGTCTCAAAACAAAACTTAAAAAGCCTCAGTCATAAAAGGTCATAGCGAATTCAGAGATTTTACATAAAAGGAATGTTATTATGGATCACGTGAAAAGAAAAAAGCATACAAAACTACATATACTATGATAGTGACTACGTTAAAATGCAAGCTATAAGACTGCCAGAAAAGACGATTAAATAATAGTTTGTGCTAAATGACTAAATTATAGGTGATTTTTTAAAAAACCACAGATTTCCTGTAAGTTGAGTATAGGACTTTGATGATTAGAAATTGTCTGAAAATATCATTTGTTCAACAAATTAACCTATCTCCATAAGTTCAGCAAAAATTATAATCATTTCACAAGTGAAAAAATTATTTATATATTCTATCAGAAATGTATTAAAATATCTCCTCTACAAAGACTCTTTATCCTCAATGAATAAATTAGCAGTTCTTTTAGAACTTGATATAATTCTTCTAAAACAAGAGCCAGTTTTCTTCCCTCCTGGCTAGTCAAGACAGTCTTTCTAATTAGCAAAGAAATGGGGGGTGGGAGGGGAGGTGTCGGGTGGGAACGACACACATGAATAAAGAAATTTAGTCCCTTATTTCCCTTATTTTGCTAGTTCATATTCCACAGAATGTTTCGTACATTCTGCAGTAAACAGAAGGGCAATATCAAATGAAATTTTTCGTTCCTGTGCATTCATTCCACGTACAATTTAAAAATATATTCCACGTGATTGCTTTGAAAAAAATAGGTACCTAACATACTTTCCATAAGCTTTACAGTGCGGATTTTGGGGATGAATATCAAATGCTGTAATTGCGTGTCAATTTTACAAAGCTGTTATCCTTAGGGATTGTCCCTCTTAGGGAATATTTTTGTCTTTTGTCAGTATTCTCACTCCAACCTGGCTGATAGTCAGAATCACCTGAAGACTTTTTTAATTTCAGATTCCTGGGTTTCAATCCTCCTTCTTCATGTACTTTAACTCCCTTTTCTCTCCCAACCACCAAGCCCCTTGCCGTTAATATACAAACAATAAGATAATTTCTCATCAAAAATTGTATTCACTAACCTGTTCCGATTCATAGATCACAGCTTGTTTACTCTGAAGCTCGGCCAAAGACATATCTATTCTCCTAAAATAATAAAGGCATAGTACAACTAAATAATTATGTTATACACTGATACCCTGATTCTACTATTACAGAACAGAATTTGAAATAAAGCTAGTATGTTTTGGAGCTAGCAAAAGAAACTTGCTACCAGATAGTTTTTCACCTATATGGCAGTCTCCCAGGATATACATATCCTGTGGAACACACTATAGGGAAGCTTTAGTGGTTCTCAAATCAGTAGTCTGTGTAATCTCAAACTTTGCTCTGGTGATATACTGCATTCTCACATGTATTCAAATCAGCTCACAAGACAGGGTACACCACCTGCTCCAACAAGTGCCAGCAGAAGACACGTGGTTTCATCTGGCTGCCCTCAGAACACCTATTTGTGACCACACGAAGCAACATATGATTTCGATGGCTTGAAAACTGTCTTTCATTCTTCTACTGAGGACCTCAGGAAGCAATTACTATTGACAGCAGAAGTGAAGTTAGGTATGTAAGCATCTTCAAAGTCCTACACATTTAAACAACGCTAGTCAATGTTTTCAGCGCATCCTATTCATTCCATCAAAGTGCAGTGGCCAGATAATGCTTGGATTATCCTATTATTTTTGTGCAGGAAATGCAATCCTACAGTCTACAGCAAGCCCAAGTGAGCAGGTTCGGAAAGCAGCCCCTTCCCAAATCTTTTCTGAGGTATATCCCCATTAGTTAAATGGGTATAATATGGTAATCAATCATTACCTGTGTATTTCTGGATCTGAATTCAATGGAATTTCATTTACATCTGCCTTGTGTATATCTTGCATTGTTGAGAAACGCTCATGTAAAGTAATGCCAGGTGATGGAAAATAATTTGCTGAAAAAGGAAATGAAGAGTTTTATCTCAATGTTAAGCTGATTTCACTTAAAAGATTACATATAAGCACAGAAAGAAGGGATTATTTTTTAAAATTCAACCTGTTTTCTCTTAAAAATATGTGGGACCCAAACTTATTTCACAGACTAATTTGTAGCGCTCACGTGCCTTCCCAAGCCCAAACAAGAGTAAAAACACCTGATTTATTAATCGAAGAATTTTCTTTCTATCTGACACGCCTGCTTACTTGTCCAGGGGAAAAGACAATGGCTCTCTCAAAGCAAGGACCTTTCTTCTCCAAGGTAAGACTTACTATATCTGGAAAGTAAAGATGGCATAGAGCTTCACAGTTGAATGAAAATAAAAAGTAACTTCAAAAACAAGCCTGAAACATCAAAACAATTTCAAACAAATACTAAATGTTATGTTTGCATATCACAGAAGGCCTTCTAATGCCACTTTACTTTAATTCACATTAAAGTTCATGAAAACATTTAGAAATCAGCTATGCTACACACTTTTAATAGGATACAGAGAAAGAGAATACACTTGGTCCATCAGAATGCTACTTAAGCAATCCTCTTCCCTAATTTACTGTTTCTGTTCTGGGACAATCTCCTGGATTTTTCTGCAAATCAGCTCCATTTCTGCCAAGAATCACATTTCCTTTGGGTGACAGGGACTGGAGCTGAGAGGATGAACTGTTTCAGACAAACTATGTGCTTTAAAGTAAATACATGCCTTAGTTTGAGGGACACAGAGGAAAAAAACTCATTTTCAAAACATATTTTATGAAGGTAAGAAAGATTAATGCAATTGTCTAGTAGGAAGCACAAAATAAAAAATTTTAAATTCTTGAAGGCCTCCAGTTTGTAATACCTACAACTGCCTTATTTGTGTAGCATCACTGGGGAAAGTTGTTCTATATCACTGAATTTTCCAATTAATGGAAACTCGCCAGAAGCAAAAACAAAACAATTTAATGCAAACCATTAAAAGTATTTATTACGCAACTCCCAGTTATAAAGAATGCCAAAGCAAACTAGAATCTTTCACTGATCACTCAGCATCATCCTTAAGATACAAAGTCCTAGTAATGCCCTCAGGGGGCTTTAAGAATCATAAAATGACCTAGGCTTCCTGATTTCTTGAGTTTCCTATCTGTTTTTTGTTGCTTTTTCCTCCCTGTTAGGTTACCAGTTATTGTTTCTTACTGCTCTCAGTATGCCTTTTCTTTCGCAGCAGCCAGCCTCTCCCTTTCTAACTTGAAAGTTCCAATCTACTAACAGTTGAAGCACAAGGTTATTGGAACTAGATATAAAGAACAACTAGGCTCGAATGAATGCCTGATACTCTCTTCAAAAGATTTCCTAATTCACAGTCTAGCTTACAATGAAATATTAATTACTATTAAACTATACTGCAGGTGTTTACCTGTATCTCGTGAATAGTATATTACTTTTGTGTTATCCCTAACGTATGTGCAAAATATACCAACCTTTAACTTGATGGATTATTGTTATGATTTCCTGAGCAAATTCTCCTGTAGGTTTGTTTTCAGTATTCTGAGTTGAGTCAAGATGTTCAAACACTGGATGAAAGTTCTCACTTTTCCTGCCAACAGCAACCAAATCATGTGACATCTGTCTCTCTGTGGAATAGCTAGAAGCAACCCTAGAATAATTTGCAAATGTTTAACTAAATTTGAAACTATTTTGTGGAGAAAAGAATTTATCAAAAATTAAGATAGCTACAAAACTAGAAAGATGTATATCTTTTCTTATAATTAAGGCACTAAATTCCATGCCATAAAACATGTACAATAACAAGTAGGAGAAAATAACTACAGATACATGGCTCTGAGTTCTTTCAAATCAGAGGTCATTAAATATTTGCCACTTTAATAATAAAATCCTTCAAATTCTAAGTGAAACAATTTTTACTTGAAAAATACAAGGTATTAAAGACACTTACTATGCAAAAAGTAATCGATTAGATTATTTTCTACTTCCAAATGGCCAAAACATTGTTAGTCCAGCAAAATTATTTTATCTTGAAATACTACCACACTTTAAAAGCTGATATCAAACATAAGAACCTCTCTAACTTAATAAAAATCCTTATATCTTTGTATCAATAATAAGAAGCTTAGAATAGTATTTTGAAATAAAATTCTGTTAAGAGATTAACTTAATTACAAAGTCTCACTAAATTCTCAGGAAATAGTCTTAGTTGTTAGGCAAAGTTATGATTGTTAACACCAGTTACAGTGTTCACCCTCAATGTACCCTTAAAGAAATACTACCATTTATTATATAACCCCGGCTATCTTACCACTTTAATGCCTTCTGAATCTTATAACTTTTGTTAAGAGCTCTCCTGACCTCTAAGTACTTTTACAAACTAATGGTTATGATACAGAGCTAACAATTATTCAGGGCTTACCACATGCCCTCATGTGGGGGGCTTAGAGCTTACCAACATGATCTCATTTCATCTTTACAATAACCCTATGGGGAAAGGTGCCACCACCCTGAGACAATGGATGTCTTGGTTGCTTTGTTTCACATCCCAGAGATTGAGCATTCAAATGAACATGTCTTCCAAGTGTTGTAATGGAAAACTATACCTTATTCCAAGAATGCTGCACTTGCTTAAAACTACTCAGAAATGCTTTGTCTGCAGGCACCTCATGCATCAATGAAAAAATTTTCTCATTATTTTATATTTATATCTCATTTTGGACCCAAAATGGCACTAATCAGCTTGTACCTATCTCATTCCTCTGTACTTAACTCTAAATTGCTTTTGGCTCTTCTCAAAAATCAAGTTCACTGTCTAAAGAATTGACATTTGCAACTGCTGGGGTTCTTAATGGCTACATTACAGGCTCAGAAGATAAATCTGAAAGAGAGCCCTGAAGTATGTTTTAAATAACAGGACACCACTGGAATAAATAGCTCATCATAAAGCAGAAAGCAAACAGACAGATGTGTCTGGGGGTATGAGTGCACGCATGCACATATGTACTTATTTATTTAAGTCATGTAACAGCCATATATCCAAACTGCTGCAGGGTTATGAGGGGCTTACAGATATTCTTTAAAAATTTTAGCTCCTCTAATAAAATGGTTTTGAGTGTCTATTTATAACTTATCAGAGGAAAGGCTTCCATCTAACTTTCCGTGCTCCCTGCTCTCAGACCAGCGTTGCCAGGGTCAACTCCCTGCCAAGGCAGAAACACAGAAAAGTAATCATGCAGCAGGTTGACCGCACTGCTGTGGTTTCGTTGATTCATTAGAAGGACTTTCATTAGAAAGAAGGCCCATTTCCCTTCTTTCCTCCTAATTTGCTCCAAGCTTCCCACTGTGTATGTGATAACTAGCTAAGAGACATTTGCTGGCAAATGTTAGAACACCCCGTAACGACCTCCACTAACAAAGAATTACAAATGCTCTCTGTTTAAGGGGGTCTAAAGTTACAAAATTCCTGTGCCATAGCAAAAGAAAAAATAGCCTTTAAAAACATTTTATAGTAGGAAAATAGTATATTTAAATAGAACTATACAAATGGTCCATCCACAAGAGGAAATCAGTTGATAAGGTTTTTTTCTGGCAGCCTCAGTTTATCCCAAGAGGAAATAAGCTGATAAAGATGTTCAGTTTTCCAATGAGTAATTATTAACATTTACTTATAATTTCTTACAAATTACTGCTGAAACTCTTGTCCCCACTCCATGCTCAATCCTCAATCCATAGGAGTTACATACTTTGAAGCTATTATATATTTAATTCCTAAAATCTTAGTGTTTAAACTTGTTATCCATTAAAATTTATCCTAGAGTTCCTCTACTACAAGATCTTTAATAAAAAATTTAAATTATCATTTTCTAGAAAATATACATTTAACATAGTATAACCTCCAAATTTTAGTCTTTTAAAAACAATTATGATACTTTTGGTACAAGAAAAACCCTCTTTAGACTTGAGAATGCAAAATGTTCTAAATATTTATATTTGTAAATGTAATCATCTTTTGGTTCACATTTTACTTTTTACTATTTCCTGTGGCATGGATTGATTAACAAGTTAATAATTTCAGGAAATACCCCCAAAGCAAGTAGTTAAGCTAAAAAGATCAAATGTTCTCATTTGAGATGCATTTTAGACAATTTAAAAAATTAAAATACAGCCAAAAACCTCTATTCTAATACTATTTCTGGTATCAGTTTCATTAAATCTTCCAAGATCCTTTGTTCCCTCGACTGCACTTTCCCCGTTTATTTTTCTGTTTAAGGATATTTCCACTGATGTTCTCCCTGAGCGTTGTGGGTAATAACCAAGAAAATGTAAAAAGCTACATTAAACCTTAATTTCCTGTTGCACACACTTAGGACTCATCAAAGAAATGAACTGCATGGCAAAACGGCAACAAAAAACCCAACAACAACCAAAACCAACAGATTCCCCTGCCCTCTGGAAGCTTCTATCAAAATCCGTACGACACATATAAAGTTTTCCTTTCTGTCTTCTTCCAACTAATAACTAACATTTCATACAGCATCCTACAGTTCATATAAAGCACTTTCCCAATTACAGTCACATGCAGCATAACGGCGTTTCCATTAATGACCACTTAAACGATGGTGGTACTGTATTTCTAGTGTACCTTTTCTATGTTTAGATATGTTTAGATACACGAATAGTTACTGATGTGTTACAATTGCCTACAGTATTCAGTACAGTAACATGCTGTGCAGGTTTGTAGCCTAGAAGCAATAGGCTCTACCATATAGCCTAGGTGTGTAGTAGGTTACATCATCTAGGTTTGTGTAAATACACTCTATGATCTTCAGACAGTGGCAAAACTGCCTAACAAGACATTTCTCAGAACGTATCCCCATCATTGCACAATGCATGACTGTATATAATTTGCTCCTGTCTTCCCAAGAACCAATTTAGAAACTGTGGAGTTGATGGAAAAAGTTCAGGGAGATTGCTCCTCCCCTAATTCCTCACTTTTTGCACAAAAGTCCTCTAGTGGGCCTCACCAGCCCCAACATGCATTCAGTCTACTTCATAGACAGCAATCCTCTGGCGGCCAGAACTGGGCTGCCAGCCCTCTCCTATCAGCTGATAATGTCAAATCAGGCTGGCAGTCGCAGCATTCTTACCTTTCAGTCTCCTTTCCCTCTATTCCTTTTCACTGACTGCTCAAAACCACACAGGTCAAAGTTCATGTGTATGTTTTTCTGCCATTGTTAACCTGTAAATATAAAATTTCTTTTGCCTCCATGTGTCTGCATACACCAGCCTTTGAAGCCTAGCTCACATGTCAACTACATGATGCCTCTCTTCAATCTCCCAGCTTGGTACCACCCATCTTCTGCTGAGTCACACATGCACTCCAATAAACCAAAGGAGGAGGAACCTAATCGTATGCAGCTCTACAGTCCCAGGGCACCCTAACAGACTGTCTCACACAGGGTAGGCCCTCAAAAAATACCCACTGAATGAATAAATAATGAATCAAAAATGACTTGGTCAATTTGAAATGAGTGTTTCAGCTAGAGAGATGATAAGGTCAAGTGCGGTGGCTCACGCCTGTAATCCCAGCTACTCAAGAGGCTGAACACTTTCGGAGGCAGAGGCAGGAGGATTGCTTGAGCTCAGGAGTTCAAGACCAGCCTGGGTAACACAGCAAGACCTCATCTCGACTAAAAATAAAAAAAAAAAAATAGCCAGGCATGGTGGCGTGTGCCTATAGTCCCAGCTACTCGAGAGGCTAAGGTGGGAGGATCGCTAGAGCCCAGGACGTCAAGGCTGCAGTGAGCCGTGATCACACCACTGCATCCAGCTTGGGTGACAGAGCAAGACTCTGCCGAGAGAGAGAAAAGACTTCAACATTTTATTTTTATTTTCTTTTTGAGACAGGGTCTGGCTCTGTCACCCAGGCTGGAGGGCAGTGGCGTGATCTCGGCTCACTGCAACCTCTGCCTCCTGAAGCCAACCTCCCACTTCGGCCTCCTGATTAGTTGGGACTATAAGTGTGCACCACTACACCTGGCTAATTTTTGTATTTTTTGTAAAGATGGAGTTTCACTATGTTTCCCAGGCTAGTCTCAAACTCCTGAGCTCAAGGGATCTGCCTGCCTCAGCCTCCCAAAGTGCTGGGATTACAGGCGTGGGCCACCATGCCCAGCCAGACTTCAACATTTTAATTGAGGCCAATTTAATTTTTTTTAACTTTCTTGGCTTTTATTTTTATTTTTTGCTTAACTTAGACCAATTTGAATTTAATATTTTAGTATAAAATTTCTAATATATACTAAAGTTCAGAGATGAACATTATGAGCCTCCATGTGTCTGTCAACTCAGCTTCAATGGTCACCAACACATGGCCAATCCAAGCAGACTCAAAGAGCCAGGAGGAACTGCAGGTTAATTTGGTCCCAAAAGGTTACAGCCAAGTGACCTGCCCAATGTCACAAAGCTGATCAGTGGTCCATAGGAAGACAAAAACATATGCACTCTAACTGCCAACAGAATCCCTACACAAGGCCCCCTAAGAGACACCAAGAGAAGCTAGGGTCAAAAATAGGAATGAAAGGGAACCTTCTCTCAATTAATTTTTGATTTTAAAATGCATATGAGAAATTAAAGTAGGGGAGAACTTTAGTTTTCTATGCTATATAACAGCAAGGTGGCAGGTTTGGGTATAAAAAATATCCCCACCTGCATCTTATTTTGCCTCCAGCGGAACAGTGTCCATCATAGGTACACTTATGTGACTAGGTTCCCTTCCTTCAATCTCAGTTATGGCTTTTCACATTGTTCCCTGCCTGCGTGATACCCATTTCCTCAGAGTGTCAGGGTCCCAATGTCCTCTGGGGCCCATCCCCCACCTCATCCCCTTTCAAACTAGGAAAAGAGCTGATAGGGGTAGAGACACCCCTCTATGTCTCTTCAGTGGGAAATAAAGGATTAGACACAAATGTGGCCAATGTACTCAGTCCACCATCAACTCTGATAGCCATGAATGCTGATGGACAACCTTCCCCATGTCCCAGGTGTCTCGTATCAGCTTCCCAGGAGATCAAAGGAGTCTCTGATCCATCAGCAGCAGCTTATTCTGCTCCAGATATTAGTACCACCTCCTCCCTCCTCCTCTTCCTTCCTGGCCTAGCCAAGGGTCAAGCCCTCACTCACTCAAGCCCAACATTAAACTAACACCTGCATTTGTCTGCCCCAAAACATCCAGATGCATATATACAACAGTTCATGTTTTGCATATGTAACAACCTTAGTAGAAATTTTCATACTGTGATTCCCTAACTTACATTCTGAAACATATAATTATGACTCAGATGTAATTTCTGATAATGAAGTTTCTGACAGAGTGGATCATTAGAATACAGTCTTTCTTAACAGAAGCATTAACTATGCAGTGAACATTCAAGCAAGTGTTTACCTACTGCTGTTCTAGATACAAACTAGAATCTAAAAAAATCACAGTGATAACCTTATGTTTTCAACCATACTGACAATTGGAAGAACAAATATCAATTCTCAACCAAAGCTAAGTAAATAAATGCACAAAATTAGCCATCTTAGCATTTCCAAAAAAAAGCAGATAAACTCTCTAGATGTTAACCAATAAATAAACTTCTCTCTGCACTCTATGATTATTTTACTCTTTTCTAGAAAAAAAAATCTAATTTATTTTAATAGTTGAAAACATAATTCTACTGAGGGCATTATCTTTGTTTTATGGATCAGTCCACATATAATTAAATCCAAACCACAAAATTCATCCACAACCCATTCACCAGGAAATAAAGATTTTGTTGACTATGACGCTTTATCATACTGCAAAGATGCATATATTTGCTCAGTTATTTATTTTTCAGGTCTTTGAACAGAGAGGATTTGCAGTGGAGGCTATTACACAAGCCATCCTGCAGGCCCTGGGCAGGTATTCAAATGGCCCTGGTATGCCACCAGATCCCATTGACAGATTATGAGATTTCACAAAATCATAGTTTATAAATTCAAAAGATGCAGCAGTCTCCATTTTAAGCCCATTTTTGTGACACATGATAAAGATCAAGCTTCCATTTCTCATATCAAATTATAAAATTAACTGTTCAGTATCTCTAATGAGGTCTATTAAAATAAAACTCTTCAAAACTGGTATTTCTAGCATTCTTTAAAAGTGTTACAATTTTTTAATTCTCTTTTAACTATAACACACTTCATTATTAAATATGGGGGTATCATTACTTTTATTTTTTTAGTTTTTATTTTTGAGACAGGGTCTCGCTTTGTCACCCAGGCTGGAGTGCAGTGGCACAAACATGGCTCACTGCAGTCTCGATCTCCCAGGCTCAAGCAATCCTCCCACCCCAGCCTCCCAAGTAGCTGGGACTATAGGCACATGTCAACACACCCAGCTAATTTTTGTATTTTTTGTAGAGATGGGGTTTCATCATGTTGCCTAGGCTGGTCTCGAACTGTTGAGCTCAAGCAATTAGCCTGCCCCGGCCTCCCACAAATGCTGGGATTACAGGCATGAGCCATTGCACCTGGCCACATCATTACTTTTATTAAAAAGTTAAAGATTTTTATGCATTTGATTGTATATAATTTTACCTCAAAAGAAAAAAGAGGAACTGTAAACAAAAATGTATAAGGTATCTAAATGGGAGTGTACTGACATCTGCAACTTACTCTGAAAAATATCCAAAAAATAAGGTGGAACAATAGATGAATAGATGTGTAATTATGAAAGTAAACTGTTAATTGTAGACTTTAGGTGGTGAGTATATAGGCGTTCACTGTAGAATTCTTTCAGCTTTTCTGTATGTTTGAACATTTTCAAAGTAGAATGTTGGATAGAAAAAAAGCTTAAGGCTGGGTATGGTGGCTCATGCCTGTAATCCTAGTGCTCTGGGAGGCCAAGGAGGGAGGATCACATGAGGTCATGAGTTTGAGACCAGCCTGGGCAACATAGCAAGATTTCTATCTCTACAAAATAATTTTTATTAGCTGGGTGTGGTGGTGCAGGCCTGTAGTCCCAGCTACTCAGGAGGCTGATGCAGGAGAATCACTTGAGCCCAGGAGTTCAAGGCTGCAGTGAGCCATAATCGCGCCACTGCACTCCAGCCTGGGTGACAGAGCGTGACCCTGTCTCAAAAAGAAAAAAAAGAAAGAAAGAAAAGTATGTATGTTATATGTTATATATGTATATCTTATAGCCATCAGAATGTAATCCAATAATCCAAGCTCCCTTTTTTTTTTTTTTTTGAGACAGAGTCTCACTCTATTGCCCAGGCTGGGGTGCAGTGGCATGATGATGGCTCACTGCAGCCTCAAACTCCTGAGCTCAAGCGATCCTTCCACCTCAGCCTCCCAAAGTGCTGGGATTACAGGCATGAGCTACTGTGCCCAGCCCTTAAGGTAACATTCTTAAACTTGGTACTTACAGAAGCTTTTATGCTTTTAAGATGAAGAACTAGTAGGAGATATAATAGCACAAAATTATTTAAGACATATGTAAAAAGATGCAAAATTATTAATATGATACCACAGCAGTCATGTGTAAATATACATAGAAAAATAACTAGACTAAAATGCAAATAAAATTGTTGTAGAGTAGTAGAACTATGGGTGATTCCCCCCCTTTATTTCTTGAACTTTCTGTAATATAATCATAAATGCTTTCTGAGCACATATATAAATGCACATATGTATATTTAAAAATATTTTCTACAAGTGCAATGAATGTAAAAGAACTATGAGGTGGGGTGTTGCCATGTCTAAATTTAAGAAAAGGAACAGGGCCAGGTACAGTGGCTCAGGCTGATAATGCCACTGCTCTGGGAGGCCGAGGCGAGAGGATCATTTGAGGCCAGGAGTTTGAGACCAGCCTGGGCAACAGAGCAAGATTCTGTCTCTACAAAAAAAGAAAAAAATTAGCTGGGCATGGTGGCATGCACCTATAGTCCTAGATACTCAGGAGGCCAACACAGGAGAGGCAGGAGGATCATCTGAGCCCAAGAGTTTGAGGTTACAGTGAGCTGTGATCATGCCACTGCACTCCAGCCTGGGCAGCAGAGCAAGACCTTGTCTCAAAAGAAAAGAAAAAGGAACAAAAAATATTTTGTTTTACAAAAAAGGACTTGTGGGTTTACCTCCCTCCCCATTCTACCATTTGGATTTTGTTTTCTCTCATTTTTGGTTCAAATACAAATGAGTCAAGCATGAATATAAACATACCAAATCAACATGGCCCCCCCCTTTTTCATTCACATACTGGTAGTGTATTAAGGTCATGAACAGTTTTAGCTGTTTAGTTTTAGGCCAACTGCAGTGCTTTATTATTCTCAGAATCCATAAATGGAAGTAATATTCGTTAAGGAACAAAGCACGTGAGTCTGCTTTTAAGAGAATATAACCTACAACAACAACAGTCTATTTTTTTAAAGAATCATTAAGGGCTAAAGTAAATGTCTTATAAATAGGTATCTTCCCAGATTATGGTATAATCTCCTCTACCTGGGAGAATCTAGTTGGTTGAGCCCCAGTCATTATGAGACGGCAGCAAAAACCACATTAAGTCACCTGCCTCGTTGAGTCATAAGGGAACACGTGGATTTGAGCCCGAGCCACTCTGACTTAGACAAGTCACTTCATCTCTCAGGGTCGCGCTTTCCTCCCGTATAAAACTAGGGCCTGCTAAGGTCCCTTTCAGCTCAAAAATTCTCTGAATTTCAGGCAACAGAGAGCACAGGCTCTGAGAAACTGAGCAAGGACTAGGTTTTCTTGAACTCTACCCAGCTAATCCTTGGATAAGGAAAACCTGGCAGCATAAAAACACGTGAATTCATGAAGAGGAACAACTCCACAGAATGCCCCGCATCCAAGAAGCATCTGGAGATAGGATGTGGAAACAAGGAGACATGAAATTGCTCCCATGTAACTAATCACAGGAAACAGCCTCACTACAGGGCTTTTTTTTTGGGGGGGAAAATTCTTGGCAATCCCTCCCACTTGATGGACTCTAAACACACTATTAATTCCATTTTTGAAGCTGCAAATAAAGATTGTAGAAACATTATTAAATATCATAAAGAAAAAACAAAGATAATACCTGAATGTATCTACTGTTTTCTTCACATCTACTTTAACTGTAAGTGATTTCTTCCTAAGATTGATAGGCGAGGGTTTCACATCAGGAAGTTTTTGACTTTTATCAAGTTGGTTACTGGAAGAATTGCTCTCTTTTCTACAATCCCCTTCTTTCTTTATTTTTTCCTTCCATTTGTCATTACTAGATCGCAAATCAACATCATTTTTATTTGAATAAGTACAGGCAATGCTGTCTTTCTTAGACGGTTTAAAAGGTTCTTTGACTTGTCCATCTTGAGTCTCTCTCCCTCTTCCAGTATTAAAACAATCTAACTCTCTATTTAGAGGGCCTTTTTGAAAACTATATTTTCTATCTTCTTCCTTACAGTACTTCTGAGTTCTCCCATCAGAAAAGTCCTGGTCCCCATCCAAGAGCTTAGGACGTTTGTGACGATAGTCATAGGATACTTTGGTTGCTGAACTGGTCTCTGGGTGTTCCCTCTCAGCATGTCGATAAGTTTGGGGCCCAAGGTTCCACTGGTCTGTGTCCTCTTGGTAAGGTGGGAGGGAATGCTCAGGCTTCCACTTTGGGTTCCTGGCAGGCTCTCTGCTTTCATACCTCTCCACGTCTTTAGGTCTTTTTGATGTGTGTCCATATTTTCTGAAATCACGATCCTCAGGATACCTGTGTTGACATAAAGCAGTTTACACTTGCAATAGAGAGAAGAAAGGGAGAATTTATATGTGTAGAATGTCGGGCAGCATGGCTTTAAATGCAGAATGCAGTGGCAAGTTAATCTATAACCCTTTAAGCCAATTCTATAGGCACAAGGCAGTTAAAGAGGAAAATACCATCTTTTAAAAGTATTCTAGCCATCAACATGATTTACTCTAAAAAGAAATACTTCACTACTACCAGTACCCCATAATTAAATTACAATGCTTTTTGTCTTTTTAGACAAAAGCTTTTCAAGGTGGTTATCTTCAACCATAAAGTAAACAGATCTTTTCACTTGAGGCTTTATACCAAATTACCCAGGTTTAATGTTTTCCTATACCTCTTCTGAAATGAGCTCCTTGTCTCAAAGTCTTCAGAGCCTCTTCTAGTTGACTGGGAGTATTTTTCTTCTTGTATCCTCTGGTGCCTCAACTCATCTTCATGCCACTTTCCTTCAAATCTAAAAGAATCTGCTATTGACCTCTGAGGTGGTTTCCCTCCTTTTCCACTTCCTCTAACTCTGTGGTCATCAGGACTATGCCCTCCTTGCACTTTCTGGGGATAAGAATTCCTTTCATGCTCTTTGTAGGGTATACCCTCTGAGTATTTGGGCATATACTGAGCTCTCCTGTTACTGTCCCCTCTTCCAGGCGAATATCCTCTGTGAGGCTTATACATATAAACATTTTCTAAAGAGTTTCTTATGTTAGGGGAAGGTGATCTATGTTCATAAGACTGGTAATATATATTTCCACGAGAGGGAATCCTTGGTTTACTCTGTCCATGTTTCTCACTGTCCATTCTCCACGCGACGGGTCTTTTTGGATCCTTCCTATATTCACAGCCATAATGCCCGTGTGAATGTCTTTGCTTGTAGTGTTCAGCATTTCTAGGTACTGGTGATAAAGACCTATGTAAACAAACACAGAAAAGTGTAAACCATTTAATCAACTAAGCGTGTCTCAATATGACCTACCAAAAACAGTTGCTTTTCCTAGGATCCCTCGGCTTCTTCCACTCAAACTAAATTCATCAATTTGCTACATCTGCATTCTAAATTGTACATCTGGGGGTCTGATTATGGTACTGCCCAACCAACAAGCATACTCTTTCCATCTGAACTAAGGTATTCCACGTGCTTATCCAAATGAGCTGAGCACACCTGTCCCATTGGAGGAGGGCCAGCTTAGGTGCACAGCAGGATCCATTTTGGAAGACTGCTGACAGCAAAGTTCTGGCAAAAGAAGATGCAGTGACTTCAAAGGGCCAGTCAACAAAAGCTTACATCCAGTTCAAAGGCCAGGTAAGAAACAAGCAGGAAGGCAAGACTCACACAAATCAATGTGTAGGAGGGTCTCCAGCAAACTGAACATTACCTCTGACAATAAATTAGAGTCTAAGATTTAATGATGCTACAATTCAAACTCAGACCCAAGCCAGGCCCAGAGTTTCTCCAGCTGATTGTCTACTTTCTCTACTAAGGCTGTATCAAGGAACAAAACATATGTACTTAACCGGGGGAAAAGGGGGAACAAGAGGCTCTTAAGACTTGAATCTCATGCTTAGTTCCTCCAGAAATACCTCTAACATAGGTAAGTTGCTTTTCTTTCCCAGATCTGTTCCTTTGCATATCTATGGAAAGATGTGCTGTTCGAACAGAGCTTGTAACTTCGGTGAAGTTATACTTTAAAGCAGCTACAATGCTCTCCAGGGACAGCACATCCTTTATGGAACTACCTTCTCCATACCTCAGCATTGCCAACATTGAGGCTTGTGTTTCCACTAAGGCGGAAGGCTTCTGTATCCAGGGAAACCAGTCTGGGTTGCCTAGACGTAAAGAGAGGTGTGCCACTATCTGGGACACAATAAAGTTCCATTTTGCACCTGGGGACCTTTCCACCATCTGAGCTGCCCAATTTCTCCATCTCCTCCCTGAGGGTTTAATGTCTTCTAATCAATGAGGAAGCGATCCTTGCAGCTTCTGTTATGGCTCTCTCTTAGAAGCTGCCATGGAGTTGGCGCAACCATGAGTGAAACCCTTTCCTTTCGATGATAAGTCTGTGCCCTCCCTACAAGAAAGGAGGCAGATCTACCTTCCTCATGTACCTACTAGGAGTTATATACTGAACTTGGCAATATTGCCCTCTGGAGTCACCAAGCTAGACATACTGGCAAGTGTTATTTAGCTAAAGCAGAAACTCTGCCATCCAGCTGGCTACACCTCATCACAGGAGGAAGCAAGTGGAGCCTCTGAGGACTTCCTGGAAGATTTCATCTCTTTCACAGCCAAGGAGAAAAGCTGGCAGCCAGAGTCAAAGGTCTTGCAGTCTGGATGGAATTCCCAATAACTTACTTTTAATCCTTACTTCACATTCAATATCGGTTTGATATGCTATTTTATATGTTTCATAGCACAGTGTCCCTTTCTTCCGAAGAAGTTTGCTGGAACAGTTGCTATTGTTTTTGGTTTTCCTAAAGGAACAAAAAAGACTCAAGGAGTCTGTTGGGAGATAATTCTCCACAGTCTCTTGAGTTCTGCACGCCTTGCGAGCGCCCTGTGAGCAGAGGCACTGACAACCTTTGTTCTAAGGCAGTGTTGCAAGATAGAGATAGGGTCTCACTCAGGGAAAAGGGCTGATGTGTTTGCTGTCCAGGATAATAAAATAAATGTCTCCTCCAAGGCAAAGGCTGCATGATGGGTTTATCTGCAGCCCCTGATAAGGGACTCATGTTCCTCAGTTGTACTATAACCCCACTGCCTGTATGGAAAGCTCGCTGCCTCACGGCATCCATCCAGTCAGTGGCTCTGCAGTCCCAGCCCTCACGGGACCCAGAGGGTGGGGGGAATGACAGGAACATGAAGCTCAAGCTGCTTGCTGTATTCTGAGTAATAAAGGCCTTTGTCTCTGACCCAAGAGTGCCCTGTGGCAGGCTAATAATGTGTTAGTTTGCAAGTAAGGTAAAATATCAGATCCTTTATAGTTCTTAACAAAGAAACCTGAGAAGGAACCTGGAACTCAGGCACTAAGCTTGGCAGGGTCTCTTGTGCCCCTCATCAGCGCCTTTTGTCTTATCAAGAAATGACCTCTGTGGGCCGGGCGCAGTGGCTCACGCCTGTAATCCCAGCACTTTGGGAGGCCGAGGCGGGCGGATCACGAGGACAGGAGATGGAGACCATCCTGGCTAACAGAGTGAAACCCTGTCTCTACTAAAAATACAAAAAATTAGCCGGGCGTGGTGGCGGGCACCTGTAGTCCCAGCTACTCAGGAGGCTGAGGCAGGAGAATGGCGTGAACCCGGGAGACGGAGCTTGCAGTGAGCTGAGATCACGCCATTGCACTCCAGCCTGGGCGACAGAGCGAGATTCCATCTCAAAACAAAATAAAAATAAAAAAAATAAAAATAAATGACCTCTGTGATACCCTGTTAAAATCATTCACTTCTATACATTCCCTTTTCTTTCTCAAGTTCCTTGCCATTGCAAGTGGCTCCTGTGAATTACAAAATGAAAACTGTTGACAAAATGATTGATTAGTTACTGCATAACTGAAATGCACAAGCAAAATGGGCAAGTTATCTTAACATGAAAAATCTTGGTCTGCCTTTTTTGTGTGAAATGATGGTCCTTTTTAAGTCCTAGAAAATACTAGTCACATTTACAGCTCGGTGCCTTTGCTCCTGCTCTCCCCCTTAACTAGAATATTTCTCTTCACTCTTTCTGCCTTTAGAAGTTCTACACATCCTGAAACGCCCAGATAAAATTGTTTTCATCTCTTCTTTGAAGACTTTCTTAGTACCCTCTTTTTCCTCCACAAAAACAGAATTATTTCCTCCCTAGAAATCCAGAATCCTTTGTCCCAATAAGTAGCACAGCATTTTCCCCACTGTATCATAGTTGGCCATGGTGTCAATCTCCCAGCCCAACCACGTGCTTGCTGAGGCCAAAGAAGATGGCATATTTGCCTTTGTAGCCCAAGAACCTGCCTGTAGCAGGTGTACAATAAAGACTGGTTAAATTGTTCCAATCTAATGATACATAATTTTGATACTACCAAGAAGGAAGGAGAAATGGACTATAATCGAACTATTCAAAACTCTATTATTCTGCCATGAAGAAGAAAGAGGAAACTCCCTATTTTCTAACTCGAAATTTCTTTAAACATATTAATTATGAAAAAATAAAATGAAATCCATACTGAGGAGTTCTAAACTGCTCACTAATTCAAAAAATGTAATACTCTCAAAGATATTTCTCACTCTCTCTTGCTGTGGCCACTGCACTGCTTTTCATTATTTAACTCTAGCCACCTGCTATGATTAAACAAAGCTGTCAGCTACTAGAATGTAGAAATACAACCTCCACTATGATAAAGTACCTACTGTGAATAACCAGGTCCCATGAGCTTAAGTGTTTACTAGTACTGGTGAAATTGAAAGTCACAGCACATCCCAAATCCAAGCTTACTCTGCTAAGAACTGCTCACCTGTGTTTCCACCTGGGGGATCTAGATCGTGACCGTGCCATCCTTTGACACGTGAGCCACTATCCACTTTTTACACTGCAAAGAAACACAGGATTAGCAGGTTTGTAGAAAGACCCTACAATTTGATCTAAAACATAGCGAATGCTGCCAATTGACTTAAACCCTTTGTGCCTCAGCTTCCTCATCTCTAACATGGAAATGATAATAATAGCACCCCTTCTTATTGGAATGTTGTCAGGATAAAATGAATTAAATCAGGGGTCAGTAAACTGTCTGCAAAGTGCCAAGTGGTAACTATTTTAGGCTTTGCAGGCCATGTAAGGTCTCTGTCACATCTGTTTCTTCTTTTTTTTAAAGCAACTCTTTAAAAATGTAAAAATGTGACAACATTGAGATGTGTCGTAAGTGTAAAATCCACATCAGATTTCAAAGAGTTCATATAAAAAATGTAAAATATTTTATTGATGTATTTCTAATATTAACTACATGTTGAAATATTTTGAATATACTAGGTTAAAGGCACTATGTTGGTCAAATTAAAAAAATAAAAGTACAAAAACTATTTAGCTCAAGTGGGTCATACAAAAATAGGCCCGGCAAGTCAAATGCATTGTAGTTTAATGACCCCTAAATTAAATCATAAAAAGAGCTTATTGGTGTCTGGCAACAGCAACTGCTAAATAAGTATTCCAAAAAGAGGAAAAATTACCCAGAATTCCTCTATCTGAATACAAGCACTACTACTTTCCTGTCTTTCACCATGTACAGAAACACTTCATATAATCACAGTTTAAATGTTTAGGAATACGTGATGGTATACTCTGCTTTTTAAATTGTTAGATTCTAAGAATTATAATTTCTTCTTTTAAAATTTCTTTTCTTTTGAGACAGGGTTTTGCTCTTTCTCCCAGGCTGGAGTGCAGTGGTGCGATCACAGTTCACTGCAGCCTCAACTTCCCAGGCTCCAGCGATGCTCGACCTCCCAGGTAGCTGGGACCACAAGCGTGCACATCCGCACCTGGCTAATTTTTGTATTTTTGGTAGACACGGGGTTTTGCCATGTTGCCCAGGTTGGTCTGGATCTCCTGAGTTCAAGCAATCCTCCGACCTTGGCCTCCCAAAGTGCTGGGATTACAGGCGTGAGCTACCACATCCGGTCAGAATTACAATTTCTAATACTCAACTGCTGCCTAACTTTCCACCAGACAAATATGCCCAAAATATAATTGAACATTATTAGACATTTAGTTTGCTTCTGGTTTTTTGCTAAAACAAATAATGTCAAATAAGTAAATTTTAAAAGGCACTTCTAAACTTGATTTTTCAAATATTCTTCAGTCTTTAAAAGAAACTGATAGCTTCGGAAACTGAATTTTAAAAACACATAAGTAGGTATAATCTCCTATACTAGCTATTATTTACAACTCAGTAGTCCTCCTCAGTTCTGATACGAATATTAAGTAGTTCCTAACTTAGTGGTCCCAAACCCCTGGTGGCTTCTAGAACGACTGCCATGGGCTCATGAATTATCATATAGCTACCGTGCACAGACCACAGAATAAATAAGTGTATGTCTCATATATTATGCACCTCGATTTTGCAAATTTCTGAAGACACTATGGTGAAACTAAAATATAAAGGCTTCTTGTCACTATGCAGTTTTTCCACCCACAGATACAAAAAGTACAATTATTATGTAGACATCAGTTTAAAAGGCGGTCCTCATACTCAAACATTTGCAAACTACTGTTATCCTGAATTTCAAAAGAAAGTAAAAGCATATCAAGTCAAAGAACTTGAACTAGATCACTCATTAAAGGAAGTACAATCAATTCAATTCATTTAGTTATACACAGCCTCTTTCTAAAAAGATTTTGAGGCTAAGAACAATTAGCTCACAAAGTATTATGAAATTAAAACACTAAAGGAAAAAATGTTTACTTAGTAACTAAAAGTATCAAAATGTATTCATTTAACAAATTTTGCTGTGTACCAATTATTTGCCAGACACTGTTCTAGGGCTACAGCAGTGAACAAAAACAGACAAAACTTCCTGCTCTGATAGAGATTACATTCAATAGGGAAGCTTATAATTTCACTAGATAAACTCTGGGTATCAGTTCATACCTATTAAATTTAATGAAAATAATAAACCCAAAGGTGGTAATTTTTTTGGGGGCGGGTGGGAACAAAAATATTGCTGATGATAATGAGAAAGGAAAATTTTTCTGGAGCATAATCTTTTTTCCATTTTTAAAAACAAAACATATTTATTGATATTGAATTCACATGCCATATAATTTACCCATTTAAAGTATACAATTCAATGTTTTTTAGTATATTCACAGTGATATACAACCATTATCACTGTCTAGTTGTAGAACATTTTCATCCTCCCAAAAGAGACCCCATTAGCAGTGAATCCCCACTTCTCCCCTCCCCTGCTTAGCCCGTTTCTATGGATCTGCCTATTTGAGACATCTCATACAAATGGAATCAAACAGTATGTAGTTTTTTTGTGACTGGCTTCTTTCACTTAGCATGTTTTCAAGGTTCACCTGTGTTGTAGTATGTATCAGTACGTCATCCCTTTTTATGGTAGAATAATAGACATTTCATTGTATGGGTACATTACATTTTGTTCATTCATTCACCTCTCCATGCACATTTGGGTTGTTTCTACCTTTCAGCTATTATAAATAACGCTCTTACGAACATTTGTGTACAAGTTTTTATGTGGACATATGTTTTCATTTCCTTGGGTATATACCTAGAAGTGGAATTACTGGGTCACTTGGTAACTCTATGTTTAACTTTTTGAGGATCTGCCAAACTTTTCCAAAGTAGCTGCACCATTTTACATTCCCACCAGCAGTGTATGAGGGTTCTAATTTTTCTACATCCTCACCAACACTTACTATATTTTTGACTATAGCCATCCTAGTGGGTATGAAGTGGTATCTCATTGTGTTTTTGATTTGCATTTCCCTAATGACTAATGGAGAGTAATCTTGAAACATACATGTTTCTTACAAGAAACTATGAAACTAATCATACCTCCTTTCCTTTAATCTAGTAATTTCAGTTTAAACTTGTTTTAAAAAATAATTCAAAAGAAAAAAATCAGCTGTGTACACTAAGATGTTTGTATCAGTTTTATTTATAATAGGAAAGAAAAAAAGCTCAAGAAAACTAATAACCCAAATGCTCAACAAAAAAGATTAAACAAATGTAAGATAGATACATCTAGTTGCTTCCTACCTTTCTCCCAGCCTTATGTGTGTCTTTTCCCCCACACACCCTACTAGTCCCCTACACCACACTACTTGCTTTCCCTGATCAGGCCATGCTCGTCCAGCACATGGATGGCCTTCCCTCGGTCAGCTTGACAAATCCCTATTCTTTCCCGATTGTGTAACTATCACATCCCCTAGGACTCTTTCCTGGACTTTCTGTTTTTTCCCTCTGGGCTTCTTTCTCCTTGGGAATTCTGGGTTTATTTTGCAATTATTTCAACACATCGTATTTATTTACATAACTGTATTTATTTCAATAGGCAAAAGACTCCATTATCACAGAACACAAAACTCAAATGACCTATGAACGTATGAGATGTTCAACTTAATTAGCAATTGGGAAAATACAAATTAAGATCATAGCCATTTGATATGCCAAAGGGCTATGATCACCCATCAGATAGGCCAAAAATGTTTAAGTTGCATATTCCAAAGTGTTGGCAAAGATGTGTGAAAATGGGAACTCTCAGTTACTGCTAGGTGAACTGTACATGGTACAGTATAACCAGTTTGAAAATACCATTGCCCCTTGGTACACTCAGGGGATTGGTTCCAGAATCCCCACATACGCCAAAATCCGTGCATATCCAAGTCCCTCTGTATAGGCAGCTTTCACATATCTCAAATGCCGTATTTTCTATACCCGTTTCATTGGGAAAAACTTCACATATAAGTGGACCCACACAGTTCAAACCCATGTTGTTCAAGTGTCACCTGTAGTTTGGAAATACCCAATAAAGTCGAACATGCCCATATCCCACAGCCCAGCAATTCCATGCAGGAATATACACTGGAGTAGTTCTCAAACTTTAGTGTGCATTAGAATCGCCTGGAGGGCTGGTTAAAATACAGATTGCTGGGCCCTACCCCTGGGGTGGGCCCCACTCTAGCAGGTTCCCAGGTGATGTGGATGCTGCTGGTCCAGGGGCTACAGAACCACTAGTTTTAAAGGAAAAGTGGACATCACTTGGGAGAAAATATTTACAAGCGACATTTATTGCATGTGATAAAAGAAGTATTATTAAGAACACTTTCCTTCACCCAATATTAAAATTAGTTTTATTAAAATTCAAATGGGCCAGGCACGGCAGCTCATTCACCCCTGTAATCCCAGCACTTTGGGAGGCTGAGGTGGGTGGATCACGAGGTCAGGAGATCGAGACCATCCTGGCTAAAATGGTGAAACCCCATCTCTACTAAAAATACAAAAAAATTAGCCAGGCATGGTGGCGCGTGGCTGTAGTCCCAGCTACTCGGGAGGTTGAGGCAGGAGAATCGCTTGAACCCGGGGGGCGGAGGTTACAGTGAGCCGAGATCGCACCACTGGACTCCAGCCTAGGTGACAGAGTGAGACTGCATCTCAAAAAAATAAATAAATAAATAAATTTCAAACTATTCATTCAAAGATGGTGAATTTTATTGCATATAAATTATACCTCAAAGCTGTAAAAACATTAGCTTTGGGGTGATGAAAATATTCTAAAATTAGATCAGATATTATGGAGATGGTTGCATAACTCTGCAAGCATACTAAAAACCACTGAAATGCACACTTTAAACCAGTAAACTATAAAGCTATTTTTTAAAGTTAACTTTGTTTGCAATTGCTTAGTGGGCATCAGCTGATAACGAGAAGTACTAGTTCAGCTGCTTGATAGATAAGAGAGGAGGTTTAAACATACAGCCTGAGCTGAGAATGCTTTTTACATTTTAAAGTGTTGTTAAAAAAAAAAAAAGAAGAAGAATATGTGACAGAGACTGTACGTGGCCCACAAAGCCTAAAATATTTACTATATGGTTCTTTTTTCTTTTTTTTTTCCCTTCCTTTTTTTTTCTTTTTTTGAGATGGAGTCTCACTCTGTCACCCAGGGTGGAGTGCAGTGCTGCGATCTCGGCTCACTGCAACCTCCACCTCCCGGGTTCAAGTGATTCTCATGCCTCAGCCTCCCAAGTAGCTGGGACTACAGGTGTGCGCCACCACACCCGACTAATCTTTGTACTTTCAGTAGAGACAGGGTTTCACCACGTTGGCCAGGCTGGTCCTGAACTTCTGGCCTCAAATGATCTGCCCGCCTCAGCCTCCCAAAGGGCTAGGATTACAGGCGTGAGCCACTGCGCCCGGCCCATGCCCAGCTAATTTTTAAAATTTTTTGTACAGATGGGACTCAATATGTTGCCAGGCTGGTCTCAAACTCTTAGGCTCAAGCGATCCTCCTGCCTCGGCCTTTCAAAGCATTGGGATTACAGGCGTGAACCACCACACATGGCTGCCAGGAGCATTTCACACACCTTCCTCCTGGAAACATTTTCTTCACTTGGATTCCAGAATACTACACTTTCTTGGTTTTCCTCCTACCTCTATAACAATTCCTTCTGTCTCTTTTGCCATTTCTCCTCATCTTCCCTGTCATCACCCTGACCCTTAAGAGTGAACCCAGTCTTCCTCTAAATAGTGACTTTGGTCTTTGGACTTGTGTCCATACTCTCATTCAGTCTCATGCCTTTAAATATCCTCTATAAACTAACAACCTCAAATTTATAACTCCAGCTCACACCCATCCCATGCACTCTAGCCTTGCATATCCAACAGCCCACTGGATTCTGTAAACATGTCCATGAGCAAACTCCTCATCTCCCTCCAACATTTTCTCCTCTTACAGTCTGTCCCATCTCAGTAAATGGCAGCTCCACCCTTCCAGTTTTCAACAAAGAGGAAATACAAATGTCCAATAAACACATGAAAAGATACTCCACCCTGCTAAGAATCCAGGAAATAACATGAAAATAATGAGATATTATTTCACACTCATGAGATTTGCAAAAATTTTAAAGTCTGATGGCACCCATGTGTTGACAAGAGAGTGGGAAAACAGAATTTCTTTTTTTTTTGAGATGGAGTCTCGCTCTGTCACCCAGGCTGGAGTGCAGTGGTGCAATCTCGGCTCCCTGCAGCCTCCGCCTCTCGGGTTCCAGCGATTCTCCTGCCTCAGCCTCCCAAGTAGCTGGGATTACAGGCATGCGCCACCACTCCTGGCTAATTTTTGTATTTTTAGTAGAGACGAGGTTTCACCACGTTGGCCAGGCTGGTCTCGAACTCCTGACCTCAGGTGATCCACCTGCCTCAGTCTCCCAAAGTGCTGAGATTACAGGCAAGAGCCACCATGCCCAGCCAGAAAACAGAATTTCCTACCTGCGAAAATTTTCTCCCCAAAAAACCATGAAGCAAAAGGAAACAGTAAGTCTGTAGAGGCACATCTCATTTTATTGTGCTCTGCCTTACTGCGCTTCACAGATACTGCATTTTTTACAAATGCAGAATTTTTTACTATGCAGGGTTTGTGGCAAACCTGCATTGAACGAGTCTATCAGTGCCATTTTTCCAACCTCATGTGTTTACTTCTTGTCTCTGTGTCATATCACATTTTGGGAATTATCAAAGTATTTCAAACTTCTTCCCTATTATTATATCTGTTATGGTGATCTGTGATCTTTGATGCTACTATTGTAATTGGGGGCACCATGAACCATGCCCTTATAAGATGCGAACATAATCAATAAATGTAGTATGTGTTCTGATGGGGCATTCTTCCTTCTCTCTCCCTTTCTTCAGGCCTCCCTACTCCCTGAGACACAATAATATTGAAATGAGGTCAACTAATAATCCTAAAATGGCCTCTAAATGTTCAAGTGAAAGGAAGAGTCACACATCTCACGTTAAATCAAAAGCTAGAAATGATTAAGCTTAGTGAGGAAGGCTCATCGAAAGCTGAGAAAGGCCAAAAACTAGGCTTCTTGGGTCAAACAGCCAAGTTGTGGATGCAAAGGGAAAGTTCTTGAAGGAAATTAAATGTGTTACTTCAATGAACACATGAATAAGAAAGTGAAACAGTCTTATTGCTGATATGGAGAAAGTTTGAGTGGTCCGGATAGAAGCTCAAACCAGCCACAACGTTCCCTTAAGCCAAAGCCCAATCCAGAGCAAGACTCTAACTCCATTCAATTCTGTGAAGCCTGAGAGAGGTAAGGAAGCTGCAGAAGCAAAGTTGGAAGTTAGCAGAGGTTGGCTTGTGACGTTTAAGGAAAGAAGCCATCGCCATAACATAAAAGGGCAAAGTGAGGCAGCAAGTGCTGACGGAGAAGCTGCAGCAAGTTATCCAGAAGATCGCTGATGAAGGTGGTTACATTAAACAACACGTTTTCAGTGTAGATGAAACAGCCTTCTCTTGGAAGATGGGACTTTCACAATTAGAGAGGTAAATGCCTGGCCTCAATGCTTTAAAGGACAGCCTGACTCTCTTGTTAGGGGCTAATGCAGCTATGACTTTCAGTTGAAGCCAATGTTCACTGACCATCCTAAAATTCCTGGGGCCCTTAAGAATTATACTAAATCTACTCTGCCTGTGCTCCATAAATGGGACAACAAAGCCTGAGTGACAGCACATCTGTTTACAGCATGGTTTACTGAATATTTTAAGCCCAATGTTGAGACCTACTGCTCAAAAAAAAAAAAGATTCCTTTCAAAATATTAATGCTCATTGACAATGCACCTGGTCACCCAAGAGCTCTGATGGAGATATACAAGGAGATTAATGCTGTTTTTGTGCCTGCTAACACAGCATTCATTCTGTAGCCCATAGATCAAGGAGTAATTTTGACTTTCAAGTCTTGTTATTTAAGAAATACGTTTTGTAAGACTATAGCTGCCATTGATAGTGATTCCTCTGATGGATCTGGGGAAAGTCAATTGAAAACCTTCTGGAAAGGATTCACCATTCTAGATGCCATTAAGAACATTCATGACTCATGGGAGGAGGTCAAAATATCAGTATTAACAGGGGTTTGGAAGAAGTTGATTCCAACTCTCACGGATGATTTTGAGGGGTTCAAGACTTCAGTGGAGGAAGTCAATGCAGATGTGGTAGAAACACCAAGAGAGCTAGAAGAGGAAGTAAAGCCTGAAGATGTGACTAAATTGCTGCAATCTCATGATCAAACTTGGATGTATGCAGAGTTGCTTCTTACAGATGAGCAAAGAAAGTGGTTTCTTGATTGGAATCTCCTCCTGGTGAAGATGCTATGAACATCGTTGAAATTATAAAAAAGGATTTAGAATATTACATATGTTTAGTTGATAAAGCAGTAGCAGGGTTTGACAGGTTTACTTTAATTTTGATGGAAGTGCTACTGTGAGTAAAATGCTATCAAACAGCATCTATGCTACAGAGAAATCTCTTATTTATTTTTTTTTTGTCTTATATTTTTTCAGAGATGGGGTTTCACTTTGTTGCCCAGGCTGGTCTTGATCTCCTATCCTCAAGAGATACTCCTGCCTTAGCCTCCCAAAGTGCTGGGATTACAGGGGTGAGCCACAGCATCCAGCCAGAGAAATCTTTTGTAAAGGAAGAGTTGATCGATGCAACAAACCTTATTGTTGCCTTATTTTAAGAAATTGCCCTAGGCTGGGCGTGGTAGCTCATGCCTGTAATCTCAGCCCTTTGGAAGGCCAATGCAGGTGAATCAGTTGAGGCCAGGAGTTCGAGACCAGCCTGGCCAACATGGTGAAACCCCGTCTCTACTAAAAATACAAAAATTAGCCAGGTGTGGTGGCATACACCTATAATCCCAGCTACTTGGAAGGCTGAGGCAGGAGAATCACTTGAACCCCCAGAAGGTGGAGGTTCCAGTGAGCCACGATTGTGCCACTGCACTCCAGCCTGGGTGACAGAGCAAGACTCCACCCCCTCCCAAAAAAAATTGCCTTAGCTACCCCAACCTTCAACAACCAACCCCTGATCAGTCACCAGCCCATAAAACTAAGGCAAGACCCTTCATCAGTAGAAAGATGATGCGTCACTGAAGGCTTAGAGGACCATCAGCATTTTTTTTTTAGCAATAATATATTTTTAAATTAAGGTATGTATTGTTTTAGACATAATGCTTTTGCACACCTAACAAACTGCAGTATAGCATAAACATAACTTTTATGTGCATCAGGAAACAAAAAAATTGTGTGACTCACTTTATTACAATATTCACTTTATTGTGGTGGTCTGGAACCAAACCCGCAATATCTCTGAGGTATGCCTGTACTACAAATAGAATTAAATATATTCAAAATCATTTGAGGATATTAAAAAACCTACCTTGAATCAGAAATTCACAAACTAAGAACAGAAATAGATGAAAAACAAATAAAAAATGAAAAAATGAAAGAATAAAAGTTAACTGAACTCAAGAAAAAAAAATGAGAGAAAAAGACTCAACTATCTCAAAAGTGAGGAATAAATTACAATGTGCCCAAGAGAGAATAAACTCAAATTAAAATTTAATAAGGAACATTGAAGGCTGGCATGAAAACAACCAAGAAAATAAAAATGACATTGAGGGAGAGGGAAAGGGAGAGAGAGAGAGAATAGTGGGGAGAGGGAAAGAAAGGGTCAGAGACAAAGTAGTGGAAATAGCAAATAGGTAGAGAAAAAAACTAATATTCATATAATTGCAGTCCCTGAAGAAGAAAAAACAAACAATAGAACTAAACTAATATTTAAAACTATAATTTGCTCAGAATGCAAGAAAACATTCCAGAAATTTTAAAATACCTAAAATACCTGAATCTATACATTTAAGGTCTCACAGGTACCTTGGAAAATTAATCTAGAACAAGTAAGTCTGAAATATAGCCTAATAAAAACTATGTGATTTCAAACATAAAGATAAAATTCTCAAGGCTCCCAGGCAAAAAGAATAAATAACTTAAAAGTCCAAAAGAACTGGATCAGTATCAGATTATGAGATTTTTCAAAAACAAAATACAAAGCAAGGTGAGAAACAGCAGCACTAAAAAATAAAACTCAATGAAAGTAATGTGAGCTGAGGATTTTACATCAGTCACGAAGTTCCTTAAACATCAAGGCAACAAGAAAAACAGTTTTCAACTTACAAGGGTATAGGGAATTCTGCACTCACTAACCCTTTCTGAGGAATATACTGGAGGATGAGCTTTATTCAACTAAATGGGGGAAATGTCAGCAAAAGGACTGATTGTGAGCATTTAAAAATATGTAAATGTACATATAAGACACTAAAAGAAAGATAAGGATGAAGGCGGAAGATTAGTGTAAAATTGCTACACATTGGCTGGGCGTGGTGGCTCACACCTGTAATCCCAGCACTTTGGGAGGCTGAGGTGGGCAGATCACCTGAGACCAGGAGTTGGAGACCAGCCTGGCCAACATGGTGAAACCCCATCTCTACTAAAAATACAAAAAATTAGACAGGCGTGGTGTTGCACACCTGTAGTCCCAGGTACTCGGGAGGCTGAGACACGAGAATCGCTTGAACCCAGGAGGCAGAGGTTGCAGTGAGCCAAGATTGCACCACTGCACTCCAGCCTGGGCGACAGAGTAAGACTCCGTCTCAAAAAAAAAAAAAAAAATTGCTACACATTGTGATAGAGTTAAAAAAAGAAAGTACAACTAGAAAACGGGAGAAGAAGAGAAAGCAAGAGAGAACAGTAGAAGCAGTTCCACTGCTATGTACACAATAGGTGGGTTTAAGGGATACTGGCAGGAAAAAATAGATACACCAGATATTAAGAGGTTAAACAAATCAACACCGGGTGCTGAGACAACTGGATATCGACAAGCAAAAGGTTAAAGTTTGACCCTACCTCATACCATATACAAAAATTAACTCAAAATGGATTAAGGACCTAAATATAAGAGTTAAATCTATAAAACTTAGAAGAAAACATAAAAATAATCTGTATGATCTTGGATCAGGAAATGATTTTTAAGTTAGGATATCAAAAACAAAGCAACGTTATTTCCAATTGCTGCTACAAAAAAAATCAAAACAAAACAAAAAACAAAGCAACAAAAGAAAAAATGGATAAATTGGGCATCATCAAAATAACAAGCATTTCAGGGATGTAGAAATATTGGAACCCTCACACATTCCTGGTAGAAATGTAAAATAGAGTAGCCACTTGGAAAAGTTTGGCAGTTCCCCCACAAGTTAAACATAGAGTTACTGTATGACCCAACTATTCCACTCCTAGATAGATACCCAGGAGAAATGAAAACATATGTCTACACAAAACTTGTATACAAATATCCATAGGAGCATATTAATACTACACTATACAATGGAATATGTATCATTTGACCATAAAAGGGAATGAAGTACCAATACATGCTACAACACAGACAAACCTGGAAAACATCATGCTAAGCGAAAGAAGCCAGTCACAAAAGACCACTATTATATGATTCCCTTTATATGAAATGTCCAGAATAAGCAAATCCATAGAAATAAAAAGTAGACTGGTGGTTGCCTGGGTGGGAGAAGGGGTGGGGGGATGAGAAATGATGGCTAATGGGCACAGAGTTTCTTTTTGGGGGTGAAGAAAATGTTCTAAAATTAGACTGTGGTGATGGTTGCACAACTCTATGAATATACTAAAAAACACTGAATTGTACACTTTAAATGGGTAAATTGTGTTATGTTAATTCTATCTCAACAAAGCTGTTACAGAAAAAAAATCAACTGACAGAGATTCCACACTAAATGTGAATTCAGCATTTACAAATGCAAAGAATAAAAATTCCCCAGGAAAGCCTTTGCAACAAAGAAGCCTCAGGCTGGGCGTGGTGGCTCATGCCTGTAATCCCAACACTTTGGAAGGCAGAGGCAGGCAGATCCTTTGAGCCCAGAAGTTAGAGACCAGCCTGGGCAACACAGTGAAACCCCCTCTCTCCAACAACAACAACAAACAAACAAACAAACAAAAAAGCCACACTCCCATCACAGAAACGCACCAAGTCAGAGCCCACAGAAAAAGAGCACAATCAGTAGAATAGTGAGAAGGGGAAGGTAGACCTGAAGAGACCATCATGGATTATTATCTTGGCCACGGTGGGTAGCTGTTATCTGTTATTGCCAGTTCTTCAGTAAGGAGGAGCACGAAGTAGATACAGAATTCCACAGTTGTCTATCATTATCCTACTTTGATTACATAGATGCAATTTCACACACACACACACACACACACACACACACACACGCACACACACACACATGCACAGAAAAATAAGCAAACAAAGGAGTGAGGGTATTTTAAAAGGTGTAAGTACAAAGGTAAACGATTAGAACAAAAATGCAAACCTTCCTAAATACACCCCCACACACACCCTAATTTTTGTAATAAAAGAGCAAAATATCTACCTCGCATAGAGAAATGGCAAAGATAACAAATACACATAATTATAAAATATTATGATGGATTTGAGGTCAAATTTTTCAGTCCTAACAATAAATGTGGGTGGGCTTAATCCACCTATTACAATAAAAATTTTCAATTTGACTAACAGAAGAAACCTCAACAACTTTTACAATACAAAAGACATATCTAAACCAAAGTGATTCCTTTTTTTTTTCTTTTTTTTTTTTTTTTTTGAGACGGAGGCTCTGTTGCCCAGGCTGGACTGCAGCGGCACCATCTCCACTCACTGCAACCTCCACCTCCCAAGTTCAAGCGATTCCCGTGCTTCAGCCTCCCAAGTAGCTGGTACTATAGGTGTGCAGCACCACGCCCAGCTAAATTTTTTTGTATTTTTAGTGGAGATGGGGTTTCGCCATGTTGGCCAAGCTGGTCTCAAACTCCTGACCTCAGGTGATCCACCTGCCTTGGCCTCCCAAAGTGCCGGGATTACAGGCGTGAGCCACAACACCCAGCCCCAAAGTGATTCTGAATGGTTAAAAATAAAAGGTTAGGCCGGGCATAGTGGCTCACACCTGTAACCCCAGCACTTTGGGAGGCCGAGGCAGGCGGGCAGATCACCAGAAGTCAGGAGTTCGAGACCAGCTTGGCCAACATGGCGAAACCCCGTCTCTACTAAAAATACAAAAAAATTAGCTGGGCATGGTGGCTCATGCCTGTAATCCCAGCACTTTGGGAGGCCAAGGCGGGTGGATCACCTGAGGTCAGAAGACAAGGCCGGCAAACACGGCAAAACCCCGTCTCCACTAAAAATATAAAAAAAATGTAGCTGGGCATGGTGGCATGCGCCTACGGTCCCAGCTACTCAGGAGGCTGAGGCAGGAGAATCACTTGAACCCGGGAGGCGGAGCTTACAGTAAGCCAAGATCACACCACTGCACTCCAGCCTGGGAAAGAGAGTGAGACACAGTCTCTAAATAAATAAGTAAATACATAAATAGCTGGAAAAGGTATACGAGGCAAATGGAAACAAAAGGAGAGTAGGCAGCTGGGCAAGGTGGCTTATGCTTGTAATCCCAGCACTTTGGGAGGCTAAGGCGGGTGGATCACCTCAGGTCAGGAGTTCGAGACCAGCCTGGCAAACACCGTGAAACCCCGTCTCCGCTAAAAATATAAAAAAATGTAGCTGGGCGTGGCGGCACGCGCCTATAGTCCCAGCTACTCAGGAGGCTGAGGCAGGAGAATCGCTTGAACCCGGGAGGCGGAAGTTGCAGTGAGCCGAGATCGTGCTACTGCACTCCAGCCTGGGCAACAAGAGCAAGACTCCATCTCAAAAAAAAAAAAAAAAAAAAAAAAAGACTAGGAATGGCAACCCTGGTCTCAGGCAAAGCAGAATCCATGTCCTAAAGCATTAACTGTGACACAAAAAGACACTTTTTAATCCCAAAAGCCACACCCCACAATGAAGATATAACATATAAATATATGTATTTATATAAACATAACACAGCAATCACCTTCATGAGACAAAAACTACAAGAGATGCGAGGAGACACTGGAAACACACTAATAATAGGAGACTTTAATACATCATTCTTTGTACAAGACATATTAGGTGAACCAAAAATAAGGAGACCTAAAATCTAAACAACATACTCAATAGAGTAACTCTTACTAATGTTTATCAAACTCTACACTCTGATACTAATGAATACAGTTTCTTCTCAACTGCTCACACCACATTCATCAAAATAATCATATATTAGGTCACAAAGAAAAAATATTTCCACTTCAATAAAGTGGAAATATTACAAACAATATGTCTGATTATAATGCAATGAAACTAGAATTTATTAACAATAATTTAAAAAACAGAAAGCCTCTTCCATGTAGAAATTTAATAGCCTACTATTAAGCAACTCCTGGGTATTTTAGAACTAAAATTATACTTTTTTTTTTTTTGAGACGGAGTTTCACTCTTGTTGCCCAGGCTGGAGTGCAATGGCACAATCTCGGCTCACTGCAACCTCCGCCTCCCAGGTTCAAGTGATTCTCCTGCCTCAGCCTCCCGAGTAGCTGGGATTATAGGCATGCACCACCACGCCCGGCTAATTTTGTATTTTTTTAGTAGAGACGGGGTTTCTCCATGTTGGTCAGGCTGGTCTTAAACTCCCGACCTCAGGTGATCTGCCTGCATCGGCCTCCCAAAGTGCTGGGATTACAGGCGTGAGCCCGGCCAAAATTATACATTTTTAAAGAAATAACGACACTGAAAACATTACATATCAGATTCTTTTTTATTTACTTTTTTATGTTTTTAAGGCTAGTCAAGTGAAGTAGCGGGAGTGAAGAAGGAACAAAGAAATCTGTAACTGGTTGCCATCGATTAGTTGTAAATACCACTGCACTCGAACCAGCCTACAAATCCAATTTTATAGCATGCATTTAAAGCAGTAATCAGAGGAAAATTCATTGCACTAAACACAATTATTAGTAAAAATGAAAGAATAAAAATAAGTAAATTTTATTCCAAGGTCAAAAAACACTTAAAAATAGGCTAGGCACCGTGCACTCACACCTGTAATCCCACTGCTTTGGGAGGCTAAGGTGGGAGTACCACTTGATGCCAGGAGTTTGGGAATAGCCTGGGAAACATAACAAGACCCTGTCTCTACAAAAAAATAATTAAAAAAAAATTAGCTAGGCGTGGTGGCACACGCCTGTAGTCCTAGCTTCTCGGGAGGTTGAGGCAGGGGGATTGCTAAAGCCCAGGAATTCAAGGCTACAGTGAGCTATGATAGACCACTGCACCCCAGCCTGGGTGACAGAGTGAGACCCTGCCTCAAAAAAAAAGAAACTTAAAAAATAACAAAATAAACCAAAAGAAAGGACATGGAAGTAAATAATAAAGATTAAAGTAGGCCAGGCACAGTGGCTCATGCCTGTAATTCCGGCACTTTGGGAGACTGAGGCAGGAGGATTATTTGAGGCCAAGAGTTCAAGGCCAGCCCGGGCAACATGGGCAGACCTTGTCTCTACAAAAAAAAATTATCAAAATTAGCCAAGTGTGGTGGTGCACCACTGTAGTCCCAGCTACTTGGGAGGCTGAGGTGGGAGGATTGCTTGAGCCCAGGAGGTAGAGGCTACAGTGAGCTGAGACAATGCCACTGACTGCACGTCAGTCTGAGTGACAGAGAGAGACCTTGTCTCAGGAAAAAACAAGCAAAAAAAGATGAAAGTAGAAGAAAAGAATGAGGGGAAAAAAACAGAAAAACAGATCTAATTAATAATTCAAAATTCTGTAGTTTTTGAAAAAAATAACAAAATAAAATAGATAAACCATTAGATAACTTAAGGAAAAAAGGGGAAAAGCACAGAAACACAAAATGAGGGCATGGAGGAAATAAGATGAAAAAATTTAAAAATAATAAAGGATGTCTTTGTAGACCTCTACCAAATAAATTTGAAAACCCAGATGAAAGGGATAATTTGCTAGAAAAGTACAGATCACTAAAATTTTCTCCATTAGAGTTAGAAAGCTTAAATAGACCAATTTCCACAGAAAAAAAAATTGAGAAAGTTATAAAGGAAATATCACATGAAAAAGCGTCAGGCCCAGATGGTTTCACAGGGAATTCTACCAAATCTTCAAACACGAGATAGCCTCAATGCTCTATAAATTGTTCCAGAGACAGTACGGCACAAGAAGGATCAAGCCTGCGGAAAATCAACCTTTGGAGGAAGATGAACCAGCAAAGGAGAAACTGAGAAGGAACTTCCCAGGAGGAAGAAGGGAACCTTGGAACACAGAATCTCAGAAACAAAAGAAGGATGTTTCAAAAAGGGAGACTTTCATGGTAAATACTGCAGAGAGATCAAATAAAAGGAATGAAAACTGTTAACACATGTCTTGAGGGCTAAACTGAGAAAGCCAATTATTAACAACTCTTTCAAACAGTCCAGCTGGGAAGGGAAGGGGGAAGAGAGAAACTAGGTAGCAGCAGGGTGATTAGAGGTCTAGGAATGAGGTTTTAAAATGGGAGAAACTTGAGTCGGTTTTTTTTTTTTTTTTTTTCCCCTTGAGTCCAGGTCTCACCCCCTCACCCAGGCTGGTGTGCGGTAGTGCAATCATAGCTCACTGCAGCCTTGAACTCCTGGGCTCAAGTGATCCTCTCGCTTCAGTCTTTGAGTAGCTGGGACTATAGGTGCATACCCCATACCCAGCTAATTTTTTAAAAATTTTTTTGTAGAGACAGGGTCTTGCTATGTTGCCAGGGCTAGTCTCAAACTCCTGGCCTCAGGTGATCCTCCCAGTTCAGCCTCCCAAAGTGCTGGGATTATAAGTATGAACCACCATGCCCAGCCAGTACATTTATTCTTAATAAGGAGGGACTATTTGCCTGGCATTAGGGATCTAAAGTAGAATGATAGTCATAGCAGAGATGAGTCTAAGTCCAATTAGTTCAATGTTTCCTTTGATTCCTTAACATTAACTCCAAATAACGTGGTCAATTTTTCCCAATATTCCATATTTACATATTACCTTCTTCATTGGTCCAAACTGAATTTACTTATTTATTTAGAGACAGAGTCTTGCTCTGTCACCCAGGCTGGAGTGCAGTGGCACGATCTCGACTCACTGCAACCTCCGCCTCCTGGGTTCAAGCAATTCTCATGCCTCAACCTCCTGAGTAGCTGGGATTACAGGCATGCACCACCACGCCTGGCTACTTTTTGTATTTTTAGCAGAGATGGGGTTTCACCATGTTGGCCAGGCTGGTCTCAAACTCCTGACCTCAGGTGATCCGTCCACCTTGGCTTCCCAAAGTGCTGGGATTACAGGCGTGAGCCACTGTGCCCGGCACCCCCAAACTGAATTTTTATCAGTGGTCACATTCTATGTTAATTTATCAAACGTGACTAAGTACCAGTGACTGCTAGGGGGTAGGAATACAAAGTTAGAAGAGACCTACTTTCTTTCCTGGGGAAGCTAAGTCTCTAGTGGGTAAGAATGATGACATGAGTACCAGCAGTTCCTGGTTTACTAAGTGTTGTACACGTACTATGTCATGTAATCCTCACAACAAACACATGAGGAAGCTGGAATTACCTCCATTTCACGAGTGAATAAAGCCAGCCTCAAAAAAGTTAACTGATCTGCCCCAGGTGGAGGACCTGAAAGTAGAACCCAGGTTCTTGGACTATAATACTACCACTTCCTCACCTTGCGAATCCTACCTTCAGAAAGATGACCCTGTGGAGGCTGCCCGGTCACTTGCTCAGGTGCTTGGTCAGCAGAAATGGGCTTTAGCATACTTGAGAATAGTTGACATCAGGCATCACATCTAAAATTGCCATCTAAATTTGGAAAGCAGCTTTTATGCCCTCTGCTGCCTGGATAATGTAGCCTGCAGGGCACAAAGACCATGTTTTATTTATCATGAGCCCAAGTACTGTGTTTTATTTAGCGTTATACCTGTCCCTCTCAGCTTTATATAGCGCTTTTAAATATTTGCTCCTTCAACATTTGTGCAGATTCATTCACTCATCTAATTTCATAACCCTGATAAAGTTTTGAATATAATCTAGGGCAGCAGTAAAACAAAAAACTTCAAATTTAAGGAGTGAAAGAGTATGGGGGCAAAGGGTATCAGAGAATAGCCTTTTGAATTAAGGTATTTACTTTAAAAAATGTATGAACCTCAAGATGCTTCTGTGCTCTGAAATTTCTACCAGATGGTAATAACATGGCCGGGTGCAGTGGCTCATGCCTGTAATCCCAGCACTCTGCAAGGCCAAGGCAGGAGAATCGCTCGAGCTCAGGAGTTTGAGACCAGCCTAGGCAACATAGTGAGACACTGTCTCTATTTAAAAATAATAAATTAAAAATAATTTTTAAAAATACCAACAAGACAAAGTGTGTCTAAATGTACTTTCCAGGAATGTTTCAACTGACCCTTAAAATAATCCTTAAGAAAAGTAAGGCAACTGTATTATAACCCCTAATGCATCACTGAGGAAAGAGTACCTTAGAAAAGTTAAGTGACTTGTTCAAGATAATCAGATATACTGGATTTCAAGGGGATCCTAACTTTAAATCTCTTGTTTGTTCTATTACGCCTTTGCCTCACCTAGATAAGCTTTCTTTACCAAAATAGTAAAGGCGCAATAAAAGATGAGAAGCTGAAGTGCTATCAACAAATAAGAAAAAAGTGATGACTAGAGAGGGGTAGTTGTACTTGGTTGGAGAGTACAAGTATGGCTCAAAAGTATTCCTATAGAAATCCCTTTAAATGTTGCCTTTTGCTAGGGTGTGGGTAAGGACACTCACAGATTGTTGGTAGGAGTGCAAAACAGCATATCCTTTCCAGAGGGAAATTGAGCAATTCACATTAAAAAAAAAAAAACCCTTATGTGCATACTCTGCCCAATAATTCTATCATCTAGGAATGTACACTTAGAAAGTAATCATGGGCCGGGCGCGGTGGCTCACACCTGTAATCCCAGCACTTTGCGAGGCCGAGGCGGGCAGATCGCTGGAGGTCAGGAGTTTGAGACCAGCCTGGCAAATATGGTGAAACCCCATCTCTACTAAAAATACAAAAATTAGCCGGGCATGGTGGCACACGCCTGTAGTCCCAGCTACTCGGGAGGCTGACACAGGGGAATCACTTGAACCCAGGAGGTGGAGGTTGCAGTGAGCCGAGATCGTGCCACTACACTCCAGCCTGGGCGACAGAGTGAGATTCGAAAGTAATCATAGATATGCGGACTTTTACATTTACCCAACAATGTATTTTAATAGGGAAGAACTGAGAATGACCAATGAAATAAATTATAATATTACAGCCATATAATGGCATGCTATCTAGTCAGAAAAAGATAATTACAAAAGAGAATTCACTTTAGAAAAACTCATGTATTAAGCTCTGCATAGAAAAAGACTGGAGGTGTATAACCACATTCACAATGGTTACTTGGAATGGGGAAACCATATTCACCATGGTTACTTGGAACTTGGAATAGTGAAACAACGTATCTTCATTGTGATTTCTATCTTAGAAATGTGTATAAATGGCTAAATGTTCCTATATATAAAAATGTTTCTAATAAGACGTTTTAAAGGTTTCTTGGGGGTGACTGAAACAGCTGTGATTTCAAAATAAAATTTTAGTAGCCATTTAAAAAAAACATTAAAAATAAAACATTGCTATACCATTACCATTAAAATACCAATGAAAAATAAAGTCCTCGTTATGAATCTGCAGCAAAACCTTTCTTTTCAAATTCTGCTCTGTCGTTTGGACCTGTTCACATTCAGAAAAATGCTAAAAAGGCTGCCTGGCGAGGAGCCTAAAGAGGCCTTCCTGATTTCTACCTGCAGTTTGTAATTTGTTCCAGGAAAAAAAAAAAAAAAAAAAAAGGCAATCACCTAATAGGTAGTTCGAAAAGCACCTGAGTAGGAAAATATTTACGGGGTAGGTTTCTCTCCCATTTCTTTCCCTCGAGACCTACCAACAGGACAGTCCTGACAGCGACTGGCCCAGTTTCCCAATACAACCCAGAGAAGCACAGGAGATGCGCCAATTTTCAGGAGACGCTTCTAAAAAGACAAGTTTTACTTTACAATGCAGGATAATGAGCAGCCTTCACTACTCATTCTCGACGTTAACAGAGGAAGATGCCGCTGCGCGGCAGGAGCGCCTCACCAGGACAAAGCGGGGTACGGGGGGGTCCTCGGTTCAGGCCCCGCAGGCGACGCGTCCAGGGCCGCCTCGAGGACAAGGGCACCGTCCCCGGACACCGCCTTCCCGGCCCCCGCCCTCTTAACAGATGCAGGGAACCGCGGGGACCGCAACCTGCCCGACGACGGCGGAGGATCAGGGTCGCGGCAGCAGGTGCCCGGGTCGCCGTGCCTGTCGAGGGACCTCAGGGGCGCCGGGCAGCTGTCCCCTGGAAACCCGCGCCGGGTCGCCGCGCCCAAGGGAAGGCGCTGACCGAGGGACCTACGGGGCGCAGAGGAGCTGTCCCAACAGAACCCGAGTCGGACCGCCGCATCCTCCCCGCTGCCCCATCCGCCACCCCGAGAACCGCCCCTCCTGGGTGGCGGACACGCCCTCCCTGCGGGCCCAGGCCTCCTCGCCCCGCCTCCCCCCGAGCCGCTCACCCGGCCGGGAAGCCCCCGCCGCCGCCGCCGCCGCCGCCGCCGCCGCCGCCGCCGCCGCCGCCGCCGGCCCCTCGGGCCTCGCCCCTCACTCTGCCGCCGCCTCCCACAGCAGCGACACCCCAGCCACCTCTGCCGGGCCGCGGGACCCGGAACCACTTCCTTCCGGAACCGCCTCGCCCCGCCCCCACCCCGGCCCCGCCCACTGCTCGCGGCCTCGCACTGGGCCCGTTCTCCAGCCGACCCCTATCCTCTACTCTCCCGGCGAGGGTGCCCCGCCCGGGCTTCTCGGACCAGAGCGCTGCGCCCCCTGCCGGCCGTTCCCACTGCGGCCGCTCTGTCCAGGGCGCCTGCGCCCTCTGCCACCCGCCCGCCGGGTCCGGCTAGAGCGCCTGCGCCCTCTGCCGCCCTCTCGCCGGAAAGGAGGGGACCTAATGGGCGTTCCAGGTCCAGGGATCCTGGGGGTTAAGGCCCAGGGATTGGAGGTCACCCCTCAGTCATGGGCAGAACTTGATCCCGTGGGCCTTCCAGCTTTGTGCAGATCTCTAACCATTCACCTACCCTCTATCCATTTCCCACTCCTCAAATTAAGCATATTCCCGGAAAACAAAGCCTCCCCTCTGGACTTCCCAAATGGTCGGATGGTACCAACATCTATCCGTCATCCAATTCAAAAGATTGCCTCATCTCTGTCTACTCGCTTGGTTTCTCCCCTCCCACACTCCATGCACCAGCCTCAAAGGTAGTGTGTCTTCTTCACTCTTGAAGCTTTCCGCTTGACACTGATATTCTTTCTTCCCCTTGTGAAATAGCTCTTTCAGGCTCTGTGCCATCTGGTAGTAACACCTTTTGCCCTCCCTTGTCACTGTCACCTACTGACTGTCTGGCATTAGTTTTCCTCTCCATCTGATTTACTGCCATCCTCCCAATGAATCCAACATCCACAACCCAGCCTGGTTTCCTTCAGTTCCTCAATCCGAATGACCTTTACTTCTACTTTGTTCACCCGTAGTCTAGAAAATCTAGATATTCATCACTTGATACTGCTCCATCTCTAAAACCTTAAATGTTGAAATCCCACTACCCAACTTAAACCCATAGCCTTTGACTACAACCACTTTTTTATTTTTACTTATTTATTTATTTTGAGACAGAATCTCTGTCACCCATGCTGGAGTGCAGTGGTGTGATCTCGGTTCACTGCAACCTCTGCCTCCCGGGTTCAAGTGATTCTCCTGCCTCAGCCTCCTGAGTAGCTGGGATTACAGGCTGCGCCACCATGCCCGGCTAATTTTTTTTTTTTTTTTAGTAGAGACAGGGTTTCCCCATGTCGGCCAGGCTGGTCTCGAACTCCTGACCTCAGGTGATCCTCCCGCCTCAGCCTCCCAGAGTGCTGAGATTACAGGCGTGAGCCACAGCGCACGGCCTATTTATTTATTTAGAGATAGAGTCTGGCTCTTGTCACCCAGGCTGGAGTGCAGTGGTGCGATCTCGGCTCACTGCAACCTCTGCCTCCCAGGTTCAAGTGATCCTCCTGCCTCAGCCTCCTGAGTAGCTGGGATTACAGGTGTGCGCCACCATGCCCGGCTAATTTTTGTATTTTTAGTAGAGACGGGGTTTCACCATGTTGGCCAGGCTGGTCTCAAACTCCTGATCTCAAGTGATCCGCCTGTCTCAGCCTCTCAAAGTGCTGGGATGACAGGCATGAGCCACCGCGTCCCGGCCTTTTTTTGTTGTTTTTTTTTTTAAGAGTCAGGGGTCTCACTTGGTCGTGGTCCTGGCTGGAGTACAGTGGCATAATCATAGCTCACTGTAACCTCAAACTCCTGGGCTCAAGTGACACTCCTGCCTCAGCCTCTAGAGTAGCTGTTGCAACAGACGTGCACCACCATGCCCAGCTAATTAAAAAAAAAATTTTTTTTTGTAGAGACAGGGTTTCGCCATGTTGCCCAGGCTGTTCTGGAACTTCTAGGCTCAAGTGATCCTGCTGCCTCGGCCTCCCTAAGTGTTGGGATTACAGGCAGGAGCCACTGTGCCCAGCCTTCAACCACTCTTGTAAGCAGAGCCCCCTGCTTTGCCCTTTGACTTGTCCTAACATTAAACTACCACTTAAAACTCCAGTCTGCATTTTCCATTCCTACGTCTACATTTCCAAACACTGCTTGGGCGGGGAGAAAGCCACACAACTATCAAAGAATGATGCCACTACAAATGTGTGGATGCCCACCACAGTGGAGAGCCTGATAGCACTTTGTAATCATTTTATGTGACCCTTTTATGTGATCTTTTTTCCAATAATTGCTGTTACAAACCCTTTTACCACTCTTTTTAAGCCTTATGCAAATGATCATTTTCCTTTCTTCATATATGACTTTGCTTCCTGTTTGGCAGGGAACATGCTTTCAAACAGCATACAAACTCTAGCCTCTCTTCCCCTTGTACACAATGCTCTGGTCATACTAAAGTTTTTGTAATGTAAGAATAAATAATGCTTTTTCTTTCTGGTTAAGAGGTGTGAGTCCTTTTTCACCTGCATATATATGGCCTCAATTCAGAAACATTTTCTTCCATTCTATCTTCAAGAATTGTTTCTGCTCCATTAGCTCTAATCTCTCTTTTAGGAAGAGCAATTAGCTGTATTAGTTCTCTGTTTTATTTTTTTATTTTTATTTATTTATTTATTTTTTTGAGACGGAGTCTCTCTCTTGTCACCCAGGCTGGAGTGCAATGATGCAATCTTGGCTCACTGCAACCTCCGCCTCCCAGGTTCAAGCAATTCTTCTGCCTCAGCCACCTGAGTAGCTGGGATTACAGGCACCCACCACCATGCCCGGCTACTTTTTGTATTTTTAGTGAAGACGTGGTTTCACCATGTTGGCCAGGCTGGTCTCGAACTTGTGACCTCAAGTGATCTACCCGCCTTGGCCTCCCAAAGTGTTGGGGTTACAGGCAGGAGCCACCGCACCGGCCTGTTTTATCATTTTCGTCTTTCATCCATTTCCAGCATTTCCAGTAGACCTCAAGTTTGCTTTATTGATACTGATATGGCTTTCTAAAGCATTATTTCTGTCTCTATTTTGACTCAAACTTTATTATTGAGATTTTTGTTTCTTTGTATTCTCTCCCGCCCGGTTCTCTCCCGTTACTGTAGTAATCTCCATCTCACCCTTTCATTTCCTTACGAATTTCTGTTCTGATTTTATAGAAAGCCTATCATATTCCAAAAGGATGCTAAACCGGTTGTGAAATTTTTCTTTCAGATTCTGCAGATAATCCTTTTCAGAAGTATGCTCCTTTGGGACAGGTGCAGTGGCTCACGCCTGTAATCCCAGCACTTTGGGAGGTCAAGGAGGGTGGATCACTTGAAGTCAGGAGTTCGAGACCAGCCTGGCCAACATGGGGAAACCCCCGTCTCTACTAAAAGTACAAAAATTAACTGGGCGTGGTGGCGCACGTCTGTAGTCCCAGCTACTCAGGAGGCTGAGGCAGGAGAATCGCTTGAACCCAGGAGGTGGAGGTTGCAGTCAGCCAAGATTGCGCCACTGCACTCCAGCCTGGGTGACAGAGCGATGCTCCATCTCAAAAAAAAAAAAAAGAAATGTGCTGTTTTTTTCTCTTCCATTCCCATGGTTTCTGTGTCTTCATTATATGTAAATATAAATATATGTACACACAAATATAAATTTATATACACACATATTTATATTTATAAATAAAAAATATATACACACATATATACATACATATACATATATGCACACAGATATATATGTATATGTGTATATATATTTGTGTATGTGTATATATATGTGTGTGTGTATGTATGTATGTATATATATATATATATATATATATATATATTTCTTTTGACTCCTCTTTGAACAAGGTGGTCTTTTTCCAGACTCACAATTGTCAACAGACAGCACAAGTAGATGGTCCTTGGCCCTATTTGCTGTCTACTTGTGTGGAAAGAGAGGTTAAACAGTTTGCACATAGTCCTTGGTGTCTATATGAATAGCATACATGCACATGTACGCAGAGCAAGCCTAAGAGAAACGGAGTATCATCTCCCTTGCCTTTCCTTTCCTTTGGGTTTCATGTGAAGCCAAATCTGCTGCAGAATGCCAGCTCTGCTTCAAACAAGGAATTTGTATTGGTAAGAATAAGCTATGCTACAATAACAATCCCAAAACCTCAGTGGCTTGGAGAAAGAAAGAACAGCAAATGTTTATTTCTCACTTACATTTCACATCCATCGTGGGGCAACTTTGACTCTTCTGTCTGGGATCCAGACTGAAAGAATAGACCCTGCCGGAGAGCTTACCACTGTCATATCAGAAGAAAACAAGCAAGGGTGGGACCATACACTACATAGTGAAGCTCCTGCTTCAAGCCACCAAATCAGAAACTCTAGGGCTGGGCATGGTGGCTCACTGTAATCCAAGCACTTTGGGAGGCTGAGGTGGGTGGATCTTCCGAGGTCAGGAGTTCAAGACCAGCCTGGCCAACATGGGGAAACCCTGTCTCTACTAAAAACACAAAAATTAGCCAGGCGTGGTGGTTCACACCTATAATCCCAGCTACTCGGGAGGCTGAGGCAGGAGAATTACTTGAACCTGGGGGGCAGAGGTTGCAGTGAGCCGAGATTGCACCATTGCACTCCAGCCTGTGTGACAGAGCAAGACTCTGAAAGAAAGAAAGAAAGAAAGAAAGAAAGAAAGAAAGAAAGAAAGAAAGAAAGAAAGAAAGAAAGAAAGAAAGGAGGGAGGGAGGGAGGGAGGGAGGGAGGGAGGGAGGGAGGGAGGGAAGGAAGGAAGGAAGGAAGGAGGGAGGGAAGGAGGGAGGGAAGGAGGGAGGGAAGGAGGGAGGGAAGGAAGGAAGGAGGAAGGAAGGAAGGAAGGAAAGAAAGAAAGAGAAAGAAAGAAAGAAAGAAAAAGAAAGAAACTAACTCTAGGAGTAGGGCCCAGCAAACTTCATTTCAGCAAGTCTCCAGGTGACTCTGACGCACCCTCAAACGAGAACCACTGCTGCATCGCTTGTACTCCCTGCAAACCAGAACATGGACATAGAGGCTTGCTGTAATTCAGGGTAGTTTTAAAATCCTTAAACCAGAGAAAAATGTAAACAGTTTTAAAAGGAGCAATTCAGGCTGCAATGCAGACTTAGACAAAGTACATACTGCCATCGTCATTTTTTGGAGAGCATCAGCTTCTGGGGAGACCTATCAGCTGCCTTGGCACGTTCTCCCGCCACCCTTCTGTGTGGCTTTCTTTTTTAAATGCTGACGTGAGAAAAAGAAAATTGTGAAGCAGTAGGACAAATAGCTTTCTCAACCCTTGAAAACACTGTTGTCCAGATTGACCCTAGTTTGTATGGTGATGGTGTGACTTCAGCATCTCCATTAGCGCTTAGAACCCAGGACTGGCAGAACCAGGTGCATTTTCCCTTGCCTTAACGATCTGACTTTGGTTGTGTGGCTTAACGCTATTAATGAAATTTAATGTATAATGCTTAGCTGGCCCTGTTCCCTCCTCCTTGTCTTCCATCCCATGATATAGGCATTTTTTTGTGGACGCTGTCCTTTCTTTACCTTTGCTTTTTAAATGGCTTTGTCAACAGCAGAGTGCAGACAGAACTGATTTATATTGTTTGGATGAAAATGTTTTTAGACAGGCTTATGCTGCAGGTTTCTTTTTGCTCATTCTAGTCACTGCCTGTATGTCTGTTTTCCTACTGAGATGGAGGACAAATTCCTAAACAAAATTTGGTAGTTGCTACCAGTCAGTCCTCTGGTCCTATAAATTATTTCTGATGAACTCTTTTGTAATGTAATAGGTGTAGTGGCTTGGCTCTGGTTCTGAAAGACATATAATATCTGTGGTTTTAAAGCAGTGTCTTACAACTCAGCAATTATTTTGAAAAACATTTTGAGATAGTCTACCTACATTAACGCAAGGCAAAAAGGAGGAGTTTGAGACCAGCCCACACAACATGGCAAAACACCGTCTCTACAAAAAAACACAAAGAATTAGCCAGGCATGGTGGTAGGAACCTGTTGTCCCAGCTACTTGGGAGACTGAGATGGGAGAATCATCTGAGCCCGGGAGGCAGAACTTGTAGTGATCTGAGATTGCGCCACTGCACTCCGGCCTGGGCAACAGAGCAAGACCCTGTCTCAAAGAAATAAACAAATAAGAGCAGCCTGGCTAACATGGTGAAATCCCGTCCGTAACAAAAATACAAAAATTAGCCGAGTGTGGTGGCGCATGTCTGTAATCCCAGCTACTCTGGAGGCTGAGGCAGGAGAATCGCTTGAACCCGGGAGGGTGAGGTTACAGTGAGCCGAGATTATGCCACTGCACTCCAGCCTGGGCAACAGAGTGAGGCTCTGACTCAGAAAAAAAGAAAAGAAAAGAAAAGAAAAAGTCCAGTGCCTTCCCACTGTAGAAACTCTATACCCAAATCCCTTCCTACCATAAATGGTCTCTTTTGTGTCCACGCACAACCCCAAAACCAATTCAAAAGTCATTCATCTCTCCAAAACTTCATTTGCCTGACGAATTTACTTTGTTCAACCCCATATTTATTAGGTACCCCACAGTCTCGTCTTAACTTTTCACTCCAATTCCCACTCTCCCTTGGACTGGTAGGGAAAGAGAACATAATGGACTCTGTGGTAGATTTTACAATAATATATTCAAAACATTTACCACCCTTCCCTCCCCAGGCCCCTTACTAGAAAATGGAAAAATGACACAAGTGACTCACATGATACTCCTACTGAACAGCTCTGGTCTAAGTCAATCATGGCATGGCAGAGACGACTAACTATCCACCAAATTATGTGTGTTCTCTCTTCCATAGAATAGCAATATCTCTGGTAAGAAGCAAACTAGCCAGGGAATATACTTCCCAGCATCCCTTGCATCTAAGTAGGGCCACATGACTAGTTGTACTAACGGAATGTGAGAGGAAGTAGTACATGTCCCTTAGGGGCCCAGGTGGTTAAGAAGTCATGTGTCTTCTCCATACTCTTTCCCTGTTCTGTCAGCTTGATGCAGAAAAACGTGATACAATTGGAAGATGAGGGGGCCACAAGATGGAGAGAGTCTGGTCTCTGACTTAGGACTCAGAGGAGCGTTGTAATCAGGCACATCTGTTTGGGACTTCACATAAGGAAGAAAAAAACTTGTATTTGAGCCATTCTGCATTTTAGGTGTGCTGTGGTTGTTACAGAAGCGAGCATTACCTCAACTAATAACATGGGATAATCTCACTCCCTTTGGCAGGTGATGAGCTGAGGGGTAGGTGGAAGACCTAGTACTGGCCAATGAGAAGTAGAAATCTGCTGCTGGGGGCTTCTGGGAGAGGGTTTCCTCCCTGGCTAAAGGAAGGTGCAGTAACAAGGAGCAGCCTGCCACTGACTTCTTGCCTTTGACCATGATGGTGTGCAGTTGGGATGCTGGTGCTGCAGCGACCTTCTTCAGAGCCAAGACACTCAAAGAGATGCTGCCTTAGAATCCTGACGCCATTGAGCTGCCTTTGGAGCTTGTTATATATTAGGTGTGATAAATACCCTTAATATTGAAATCGCTTTCTGCTATATGTACTGGGACCATTCAAACTGGTATATTTATTCTCAATAGAGAAATCATTCATTCAACAAAGATTTATCGTGTGTCCACTGTGTGGCAGGTGCTGTTCTCGGTGCTGGGGATTCAATAGCAAATATGAAAAGTAGGGTCCCTGGGACCTTTATCTTTATCAGACTGTGGGTCTGGCAGAAACACATGCAGATCCAAGGCCACAATTTTATTATATTATATTTTTATGAATATATTAGAGATAAGGCCTCTGTTACCCAGGCTGGAGTACATTGGCACCATCACAGCTCACTGCAGCCTTCAACTAACTTCCTGCCTTAGCCTCCCAAGTATCTTGGGCTCAAGCTATCCTCCCACCTTAGCTTCCCAAGTATCTGGGACTATAGGCATGCACCATCATGCCTGGCTGTTATTTTAATTTTTGTAGAGAAAAGGTCCCACTATGCTGCCCAGGCTGGTCTTGAACTCCTGGGCTTAAGTGATCCACCTGCCTTGGCTTCCCAAAGTCCTGGGGTTACAGGTGTGAGCCACTGTGCCTGGCAGAGGCCATAATTTTAATTCAAAGAGTTTCTCAGTAACAACTGTGTTTATTCACTCACAAATATTTACTCAATATCTATGTTGGGTGATAGGAATATGACAGTCTTGCTGTCATGACACTTACAGTGAGGGAGATAGACCTTAATCAAAGAATCTCACAAATCAATGTATCATCACAAACTGTAATGATATGAAAATGTGGGCTGGGCGTGGTGACTCACTCCTGTAATCCCAGCACTTTGGGAGGCCAAGGCAGGTGGATCACCTGAGATCAGGAGTTTGAGACCAGCCTGGCCAACATGGTAAAACCCGTCTCTACTAAAAATACAAAAATTAGCTGGATGTGGTGGCGCACGCCTGTAATCCCAGCTACTCGGGAGGCTGAGGCTGGAGAATTGCTTGAACCTCGGGGGCAGAGGCTGCAGTGAGCTGAGATTGTGCCACTGCACTCCAGCCTGGGCAGCAGAGCACGACTCCATCTCAAAAAAAAAAAAAAAAAAAGAAATAAAAGAAAAAGAATATGTATAACAGCAGGCTTGACCTTCACATCCATCACAATTGCAAATAATGACTTTTAAAATTGTCTACTGTCTCTCTTCACTGCTAGACTACAAGCTCCAGGAGGATGGGGACACTTTCTAGTCTTGTTCTCTGCTCCATCCCCATCCCTAGCAAAATGCTTAGAATGGAGTAGATATTCATTCGTAGTTGCTTCATAAATGAGCAGTTATGAAATGGGTTGCCTTCTGGATGAGGGAAAAAAAATCTCATAGCAACTGTGCTCCCAGGTGGAAGGTGCACATATTCTGCTTGCGTGAGCGATACAAAGATGGATGAAACGCCCTCAGCAGAAGATTCTCAAGGATTTTCAAAGTCAGCAACAATTTCTGGTGAGGGAAGCTGGTTGAGGAGATTGATTGGGAAAATGAAGCTAGAAGGTGTGTAGACTAGCAAGAGCCTCTAGGGGCTGGGTCAGTCTGATTTGTCTGGGCAGGCACTTTGGGCTGTGGTGAACTAGGCCAAGTGCAGGCTCCAAAACACACCTTGGGGTTGGAAGCCCAGCTCTGTACTTCCTGGTTGCATGTGACCTCGGACCAGTGGCTTAGCCTGAGTCTCGGGTCCCTCATGGTGAAAAGAGCATGGTAACATCCATGCCTCTCTCGGAATGTTGTCTGGAAGGTTAGGAGAGCTAGCACATGAAAAGCCTTAGCACAACGCCCAGCTGGCTCTGGATGGGTTCTTTGGGAAACTCTCAGACCAACTGGCATGCGGGGCATGTATGCAGAGTGGCTGGGGTGGGGAGGCGTGAAGGAAGCAGGAGGGAGAACTTAGACTGCAATGCAGTCTCTGCAGAGCCCTCAGGTGACCCCACAGGGAGCTCTGAAGCTAGGATGGCTAACTCAGAGTTGTCCTACCTCCAGGCAAGGGGCTTTGTACACTGAACTGATCCAGTCATCAGATACAGGCTGCCCCAGGAGGAGGTTTAACCTTGGCGAGGCAACCTCCTTCAGCCAAGGGCAATTCCCAGACAGGAAGTCCACCGACAGGCTTCAGGGGCTGTACCTCCAGCATCTGGAAGGAGACACCTGGAAGGACGAACACCTCAGCCCTAAAAGGGAGGTCCATCTGGGTGGCGCACCATGACGTCCACTCCACTAGCATTTAATATGAACCTTTGAAGCCATTAGTATAGCTATTTCAGATTTCCCAAATCCTGCTGAGGATATAAGGACCCTCACTTGTCAAAGTATAACTTCCCAAAGGTTAAAAACATGATTCTGATGTTAATATACAGCGAGCGTGTGTCAAAAAATGTATTGAACTCTTTAAGGAGCAGGATGAGAAAGCAAGTCAAAGGCGGAGATGAGGACTATTATGCACACATGTATGTACGTAACATACACACACACGTGTATTTAGTAGGAAAAAAAGAATGCTGGAATAAGATGGCACAGTTAGAGACAAAGTTTTTTAGTGTCTTACAGGAACAAACAGACATAACCTCTAACTCCAGAGGCTGAGTCCTAACCCATAGCACATGGTGAGCCGCTCGAACTAACATCTTCCGAGACCCAGCTGGCCCAGAGGCTGCCTTGTGAAGACAACGCTCTATCAGGGCTTGGAAAGGGTACACGGTTATCTTTTTGCCTTTCACATTCTGAATAATTTCTTACCATTATGAACCTTGTACCAGCTACCAGGGCTGTGACCCACAGAGTAGGCCCCTGAGAATCCTTTAGAAGGCCAGGTCCACTGAACAAATGGAATTTATTCTGTCCTCCCAGTGGGCCTAGGAAGATTCGGTTTGTCCTAGAATAACCTACAGGTCCCACAGTGATGACTGAATTCAATCCAACAAGCTTTACGCACGTCTACTGTGTGTGGCACAGCCCTGTCCTAGTTGTTAGTTCTGCGTGGATGACTTTCCTGTTGTTTCAAGATGACCCTACACACGCTATTAGGAAAATTTAACTAAAATATAAGTACAGCCAACAAATTGCTGCTAGCTCTAATTCTAAAAAGAAGTTACTTTCCGCAAAGGTTCAATTGCTTGGAACTCTATTCCTTGCATTTCCTGAGATGAGGTGAGATGGGGAAAGCCTGCCTTCACCATTTCTTGGAAGTCCCGAAGGCTGGCAGCTTTCGACACTCCCCAGGCCCCAGTCCCTTGTTGCCAGTTGAATGGCTGCATTATTTCACTGCAGCATAGAAGCCTCGGCAGGAGGTTCTTGTTGATTTACTGCAGAGCATGGAGGGAGGGGAAGGGGGTGAATTCTCCACGGGCAACACCTGCAGCATTTTAGCTCCCTCTGCCTTTTGCAAGGGGACCCTCAGGCTCTGGGCAGTAGGTGATTTCTTTCCACAGTGCCATGAGTGCCCATTGCCATGGACCCTGGCTTGGACCTTAGAGGGGAAAAAGAGGGCACTGAAACACTCCCTCCCTGGTGGTTAACGTGGGGGATCGGTCCCAGAAACATAAGGGCAAGTAGAGTCACAGTGTAAGTCACCCCATGCCCGAATCCGTGGTCATTGTTAAAGGCATGCCTCCAAAGGTTCAGAATTTTCAAAGTGTCTTAAATTACAGCTTCCCCCAATCCATGTCTCTCATCAACCTAGGAGCCCATGCTGGGCATCTGAGAGGTGAGCCTGTGTTTGGCATTTGATCCCATGTTTATGAAGTGAATGTGGAACAACACAAAACAGCCCACACTCATTGTGACATAAACATTGTCCTAGTTTGTCCTATTGAAGGGGTAAGATGGGGAAGTGACTGCTTCAAAGAAGAATGCTATCTTCGAACCCCATGTTCTTGCTTTTAGGTACAATGAGAACTTGAACTAATGGCTGATAAAGCCAAGCTTTGCTGCTTTGAGTAGATGAATGGATGACAAACCCTTGAAAAAGCACTCCGGTAAAAATGTTCTAGAATTAGTAGTGATGGTTGCACAACTCTGTGACTAAAGACCACTGTATTCTATACTTAAGATAAATTTTAATAATGTCACTATATTTAATAATATATCTATATCTATCTATCTAATCTATATCTAATTTTGAGACGGAGTCTCATCCAGCCTGGAGTGCTGGAGTGCAGTGGCACGATCTTGACTCACTGCAACCTCCACCTCCCAGGTTCAAGCAATTCTCCTGTCTTAGCCTCCCGAGTAGCTGGGACTACAGGCGCCCACCACCACGCCCAGCTAATTTTTGTCTTTTTAGTAGAGATGGGCTTTCACCATATTGGTCAGGCTGGTCTTGAACTCCTGACCTCAGATGATCCACCCGCCTCGGCCTCCCAAAGTGCTGGGATTACAGGCGTGAGCCACCGCGCCCGGCCTCAATATGTATTTTAAAGCACCTTCAGAACTAGGAGTTTCCATGAGGGTCCTGGTCCTTTGCTACTCCTTTTATAAGTGCTTGCTCTAGCAAGACTTTTTTTTTTTTTTTTTTTTGCCCTGCTTACCCCCTAGCAAAACAGTGTTGCTGCTCTGTGGGGCAGAAAAGCCTGTCAACTTCCCCTGGGGGTACTAAAGCTGGGGTCCTGGAAGTCGGGCGCAGTGGTTTGTGCCTGTAACCCCAGCACTTTGGGAGGCCAAGGCGGGAGAATCACCTGAGCTCAGGAGTTCGAGACTAGTCTGGGCAACATAGGGAGAATGTGTCTCTATTAAAAAATACGTATCTTTAAATACATATAAAAAATAAAGCTGGGGCCCTAGAGTCACAGCCAGCTTTGCCAAGTTCCAGCTGTGTGTGTCCTTGGGGAAGTAACCGTCCCATACCTACCTCAAAGCATGAAATTTTTTTTTTTTTTTTTTTTTTTTTTTTTTTTTTTTGAGACGGAGTCTCGTTCTGTCGCCCAGGCTGGAGTGCAGTGGCCCGATCTCGGCTCACTGCAAGCTCCGCCTCCCTGGTTCACGCCATTCTCCTGCCTCAGCCTCCCGAGTAGCTGGGACTACAGGCACCCGCCACCGCGCCCGGCTAATTTTTTGTATTTTTAGTAGAGACGGGGTTTCACCGTGTTAGCCGGGATGGTCTCGATCTCCTGACCTCGTGATCCGCCCGCCTCGGCCTCCCAAAGTGCTGGGATTACAGGCGTGAGCCACTGCGCCCGGCCAAAGCATGAAATTTTTGAAGCAACTCAGTACATGCTGTCTGTCATGGCCCACTGCCGCAGAAGCCTAAAGCAAGGTAAGCAGAGGCCTGCTGCTCCCCACTTCCTGAGAGCCTGGCACATCGCGGGGGTGCCTGGCAGCTCAGGATCTTTACAGGATGCTCCCAAGCCTTGCATCTAAATTTCATCCCTGACTTAAACATTGATCCATGAGTGGTACCCTCACCTTGGATACCTTGGATCTCTTTGCTGTCTTTATCATTTCCTCACTGTGACTTCTGGGCCCCTGTCCCTACCACATCAGAGATTCTAAACTCAATTGACAGCCAAGCGCAGTGGTTCACGCCTGTAATCCCAGCACTTTGGGAGGCCAAGGCGGGCAGATCACTTGAGGTCAGGGGTTCGAGACCAGCCTGGCCAACATGGTGAAACCCCCATCTCTAGTAAAAATACAAAAATTAGCCGGGCATGGTGGTGGGCGCCTGTAATCCCAGCTACCTGGGAGGCTGAAGCAGGAGAATCGCTTGAACCTGTGGAGGAGGTTGCATTGAGCTAAGAGCATGCCACTGCACCCCAGCCTCAGGGACAGAGTGAGACACTCAGAAAAAAAACCCCAAAAAACAAAAAACCCTCAAAGTTGACACTCAGGATACCTGCTACCTCTCTACAAGTACAATGGCCCACGCCCAGCCCCACCATGCATTCAATTCTTACCGATCTTGGGTATTTCTGATCTCTATAGCTATTCCAAATTCTATTTCTCTATCAGAATACCATTTCAGTTATGGAAGTTTTATCATGTATTTTACTATTTGTTGGGGGAAATTCTTCTTTAAAAATTCCTAGGTTTCTTAGCTTTGTGTTCAGCTTTTAAAATGAACTGTACAATTCTATTATTATTTTTGAGATGGAGTCTCGCTCTGTCACCCCGGCTGGAGGGCAGTGGCGCTATCTCGGTTCACTGCCAGCTCCGCCTCCCGGGTTCATGCCATTCTCCTGCCTCGGCTGCCTGAGTAGCTGGGACTACAGGCGCCCGCCACCACGCCCAGCTAATTTTTTGTATTTTTAGTAGAGACGGGTTTTCACCATGTTAGCCAGTATGGGCTTGATCTCCTGACTTCGTGATCCACCTGCCTCGGCCTCCCAAAGTGCTGGGATTACAGGCGTGAGCCACCGCGCCCGGTCCCTGCAATTCTCTTTTCAAGTTGCTGAAATGAAATCTCATTGACTGGAACCAATGTGAGTGCTGCCTATAGGATGAGCCTTCTTCATATGCATAGGATTTCCCATTCAGGGGCATGGCGTGTCTTTCCATTCACTTCAATTCTAACATTCCTCTCGTTTTAGCTGGTTTTTATTTCTATGAAATTTATGGTTTTTGTTGGAACCTATTTCCAGTTTATTGCTGATATGTAAGAAAAAGACTCGTCTGGCCAGGCATAGTGGTGCACACCTGTAATCTCAGCACTTCGGGAGGCCAAGGTGGGAGGATTGCTTGAGCCTGGTTGAAGACCAGCCTGGGCAACATAGTGAGACCTCGTCTCTACATAAAAATTTAAAAGAAATTAACTGGGCATGGTGGTGCACGCCTATATTCCTAGTTACTCAGGAGGCTGGTGCAGGAGAATCACTTGAGCCCAGGAGTTCAAGGCTGCAGTGAGCTATAATCGTGCCACTGTGCTCCAGCCTGGTCCTGTGCCCCTATGCGCCCCCAAAAAAACTATTAATTTTTCTTTGATAGTTGGCCTCCTTGTGAAATCATTCTAAGAGATTTTCATGGGTTTCCAGAAAAAAGACCATTTGTGAAGCTTCTCGTTTCTGAGAGTTCTTGCTTCATTTTCTTACATAATTGTGCTTTTTAAAAAGAGACAGGGTCTTGCTCCATTGTCCAGGCTGGAGTGCAGTGGTGTGATCATAGCTCACTGCAACCTTGAGCTCCTAGGCTCAAGTGATCCTCCTGCCTTCGACTCTCAAGTAGCTGGGATTACAGGTGTGTGCCACCATGCCCAGCTGAGTTTTTGAAATTTATTTTGTAGAGAACAGAGGTCTTGCTTTGTTGCCCAGGCTGGTCTCGAACTCCTGGCCTCAAGTGATCCTCCTGCCTCGGCCTCCCAAAGCACTGGTAGTACAGGTGTGAGCCACTGCACCCGGCCCATAATTGTGCTTTCTGAACAATGCTGAGGAATGGGTATGGAGGTCACCCTGTGCTGTGCCCCATTGTAATGGGTATACTTCTTGAGATGAATTAGTTCTTTACATTTGCTTTCTAAATTAACAAAAGCATCTAATAGGAAACCTGTACACACTAAGAAAAAATTTGCGATGTTCACAAACAAGAAACTGTTCTTAGGAATGACTGGCCACCAATGTAGGCCCTATGGCCAGAGCTCATGATGACATAAGCTACTTCTAATGCCCCTCCCAGAGGTCTGCATATGGAAATAGTGTCTGCTCCTGTGCCCTGACCAGAGGCTTTGTCAACAGAACTGGGGAAGGCAGCAATGACCGGGCCCTCAGCTTCAGAGATGGCAGCCCAGAAGTTACCACAGGGGTCTCTAATTCCAGTCCTGCCCACCTGGCTTCTGGTCTGGCCTGGTACTGTCTCCAGGCAGTGGAAAGCCTGTGAGTTAGACATTAAAAAACAAACAAGCAAACAAAAAAAACTGGTCTGGGTTTCAACTTACCTGAAAATAAGGGTCAACATTCCCATTATAACTTTATTTAAATGCCAAATTGCTATGTGCAATGTTATCATAGATTATGGTAAGGTTAACTGTATCTTAGCTAGAAAGCCCTCACACCAGTGGTATGAAAGTACAGGAACTTGGCTGGGCGTCGTGGCTCATGCCTATAATTCCAGAACTTTGGGAGGCTGAGGCAGGAGGATTGATCACTTGAGCCTAGGAGACCAGCTTCAGCAACATGGTGAGACCTTGTCTCTCCAAAAAAAAAAAAAAAGGAAAGAACAGCAACTTTTTTTTTACTATACTCAGAAGTCCATTGTGTTCTAGTGACAGTCATCACTTAAGAAGCTTTATGCAGTTGACTCCACTTGGCACTGGCAACAAAGGAATTTTTAATGAGTTTGACAGGGAAAGGACACCCACACAGGATTTTTTGGTTTTCTTCTACACAGGTTTTTAAAAGCCTGGTTTGGTTTCAGCACATTGAGCTTACAGAAAAAATAAAACGCTAGCAAGTCATCAGACTCTTCAATGAAAATGTATTTCACATTAAACACAAGGTACATATCATGCAAATGAGGCATCACCATGGTCACAATGGTGCTGTGAGGTACAACAAATCACAAGAAAACAGACATTTAGCAAAATAAGGTTCCAGGAAAGATGAGAGGCATTTTCTGAAAGCCAGACCATGCTATGGTTTCTGTGTGCCTGTCATAAAGGGACTTGGCCAGTATTTGCCGAGATGGACAGCACCGCATTATGTGGAGGCATGTACTTTATTGAGTAGAGACACATACACAGACATATAATTTCTGTAACTAATACATTCTTAAATGTAGCTGGCTGTAAAAGCACATGAACAAGATTACTACTGAGACTTCTTTGTATCTCCTGGTTGCAAACCTCTCTCAGAATTATGAATCTTTCCAAACCCTTAATTATACAAGTCAAAACAAAAAGTTTCAAAGAAGAAAAGGTCATTTTAATTTGAAAGCCACATTTCGCCACAAGAAACAAAATTAAGAAAACACACCATTATATGGCATAAAATGTGTGGAGTATACATTCTAGTGTCATTTTTCCCATTCAGATTTTTTCTTGAAGTCCATTAAAGTGACATACTGGGTCCAATGTGGGCCCCCTATTGTTTCAGAATGCTATGGTTTTTGTTTGCGCCTGGTTTTATTAAAGCTGGGCAAACACAGGAGCAAACAAAGAAAACTCCCAAGATCCAATAGAAAAAAAATTAGCAAGAACATTGAAAACCAACCACCTGCACGCGAGACATAGGATTCATTCAGCTGGAAAGCCACTCCATGGTCTGGAGTGACTACAGCATGAAGATTTTAAGGTGTGACACGAAAGAGTCCTTGCTAGATTCAGTTGCCCATGTATACACGAATATGCATAAGAGAACAGAAATCATTACTGACTGTTTTGACTTCCTTCCTCAACCAAACTTACTACTTTAACCCCAGAAGAATAATGTGGGGCAATGCATTTCTGCAGGTGGCAAAGCTTAACAACAATTTTTTAAAGGCTTCTTGATACTGCTTTCCAACAGAGAAACTCTGGAGATGGGGAACCTCCTGAATTTCTTCTCTGTCTCAAAAAAGACAGGGAGATATACAGTGCAAGTTGAGTATATGTTGAACTAGAGTTTGGGTAAATGTCTAGAATATTTTACAGGAAAAGACATCTAAATGTTTATGTGCTCCAACTTTGGGAATAAGAATGGTTATAAAGCGAATTGCCGAGCCAGTCACTCAGGTTATTCAGAGGGTCACTATGATAATAGAGAAGTTCAGGAAGTGCTTTATCAGTAGCTGAAGCTCATAAACAGAACTGTAAAAGGAAACTTTGCTAAAGCCCAGCAAGGTGAAAGTTTCAAGGTTTCTACCAAGAGTGGCCAGTGTTTGACATACTACCTAGGAATACAGTTACATTCCGAGCTAATAATTTGGGATCCAGCGGTAAGGGTGACAGAAGCTTCTTCAAGCAGCTAGTAGCTCGGATTTGACTATCAGCAGCTTTACGGGTTCTCCAAACACCTGTGTCAATTCAGAAACAAAACCAGATGAGATCAAAGGGAAAACCAAGTATTGTGCAGTTTGTAGCACTATTCTCTCACTAAAACGATCACAACACACTGTGGCACTTTCTACCTTCTTGGCAATTATATTTTCCTCCTGGGCTTATACAGTATTTCTCAACAGAAGTGATAGAGTATTTTACATAGGACTATTCTTTTAGATGGGTCAAATTTTCCTTGTATGGAACTTTTCTAAAACCTGCAGATATTTAATGTCTCAAGCTTTGTCTTTCAAATGCCCCCAGCCACTCTGGCAACAAAAACCATCAACGTATGTCCAAACGTCTCCTGGTGGGGGTGGTACCACTTTTGGTAGAGAAGAATTTGAGAACTAGACCCAATCATAATTAAAAATATACAAGCAGTGTGAATAAAATAATTTGAGATTTTTCTTTTTGGACAGGGGTTTTGCATTTCTTTTAGAGATGTAAGAAATAAATTTGAGGACCTATGAATACTCTAATAAATTTTGTGGATTCTCTGTTCCTTACTGTATAGTGAGGTAAGTGAACTGAAGGGAAACTAATTTTAAAGTCAAAGTATGTTAAAAACACAAAAAACCTCTTAATAAATATTAAGCCACGTAACTGTCAGGGAAATAGAATGCTCAGGTGATTTAGTGTTTTAAGTGTCCAAGAAGGCAGCTGCTTTTCCAAACCAGTGATACAGTTTACTCTAAAAGTGACCCACCACACACCAAGAACCAAGAGAAATGGGCTCTCAAACTTGTCTTATAGGCAAGAGCTGAGGTCAGGTAGAAACAAGTATACAAAAAACACAGTGACCTCAGCTCTGTAGCCTCTCCCACCTGTTTCCTCATTTGAAAAATAAAAACACTGGACTGTTATTTTGGCCAGTGAATTTGTTATGGGAGTGAAGTATAAAAAATAAAGTGACTGAGAAAATGCCGAGAATATAAAAATGCTTTTAAGAATCTAAAATGGCCGGGCGCGGTGGCTCACGCCTGTAATCCTAGCACTTTGGGAAGCCAAGGCAGGCAGATTACCTGAGCTCAGGAGTTCGAGACCAGCTTGGGCAACACAGTGAAACCCTGTCTCTACTAAAATACAAAAAATTAGCCAGGCATGGCGGCGTGCACCTGTAGTCCCAGCTACTCGGGAGGCTGAGGCAGGAGAATGGCTTGAACCTGGGAGGTAGAAGTGGCTGTGAGTGGAGATCATGCCACTGCACTCCAGCCTGGGTGACAGAGTGAGATTCCATCTCAAAAAAAAAAAAAAAAAAAAAAAAAGAATCTAAAATGGATAAATGGATGCAAGGCATGGTAGCTCATGGCTGTAATCCCAGTAAGTACTTGGGAGGCCAAGGAGAGAGGATCACTTGAGGCCAGGGGTTCAAGACCAGCCGGGCAACATAGCAAGACCCAACCTCTACAAAAACTAAAAAAAATTAGCTGGGCCTGGTGGCATGTGCCTATGATCCAACTACTCAGGAGGCTGAGGCAAGGGGATCTCCTGAGCCCAGGAGTTTGAAGTCTCAGTGAGCTGTGATTGCGCCACTGCACACCAGCCTGGACAACAGAGTGAGATCACTTCTCTTGAAAACAAAAACAGAATCTGAAGTGGGAGGAGCAATTGGAATTATTAAATTATTAAAGGATTTGGTGACAGACTCTAATTATGTTTTCCTTATTCAAAAACAAGCCCCAAACTGAAGTAAATAAAATGTGAGGTATATGTAACTAAGTATACCTTACTACAGAGTGTATATAACTCATAGACATTCTTGCTCAAATGAGAATAGCTTCTGGAAGCACTTTGGCAAAAATAAAAAAAGGCCAAAGGTGGGGAAAAAACCTTCAAGACACAAAAACTGCAGTTCTCTCTCCCTCAGGTATGATCCAAGAATAGCTGTCTGCTTTGGAAGAATCCAGAATGGGTCAAGAGAATAGCAAATCCTGTGGCCCTGTATATGAATGATTCTAGATAGAATGTGGGATGTCACTGAGCAAAACTAGAGGTGGGGAAATTCATCTTATTCATATCACCTTGCAACACTACTAGAGTATTCTTTCCTTGCCCCCTAAAAAAGCTACTCAGGCTGGACTGGTAGTCAAACCTTTAGCCAGTGTTCTCAACTTTCCCATCTACACACCCTAAATAGCAGGGTTAGGACAAGGCGGCTCGGCGCTGAAGGCTCGCAGATGAATTAATTGAAATCTGTCTCAATTCTTGTGTGTGTTGTAGTATACCATAATATATTCATGTTTGCGTTTTTCAAATAAAATTTGACCATCCAAGAGGCTGAGTGATATACATCCTATCTTCACAAACCCCAGTTAAAGGGTTATGAAGTTAGAATATAATCAAAAGACTGTACCTTTTATTAAAGGGATGCTGTATTTGTCAACAGAAGGTGTTGAGAGGAGTTTCTTGGCCAGGACTGTTAAATCCTTCGATAAGGTTTTTGTTACAGTCGTCCAGGCTGAGATTTTCACTGGATCTCTTGGGGAATGTCGGGGGACCAGTGAAATCTAAGAGATCTTGAAGTGCTCGGGCATTACCAGTTCCATTTTGGTCCAGAGACACCCCAGGAATCATTTCACTCACTGGTGAAAATTCCGGGATAGAGATAAGCTCTTCTTTTGAAACAGGACTAGAAGAGATGAACGAGAGGGAGAGAGGCAGAAAGAGACAGACAGACAACATGGCACAATATATTAATTCTATTTGCAATATTTTGTTTTACTACTCTTCTAAAGAAGAAGGATTTAGAGTCAGAGTTTTTGTGTAACACACTGTAAAAAATACAAGTGGGCTCAAATCTGAGGAGGACAGATGGTGGACACGAGGCCCCATGTATGAGAACAGGGAAGCAGATTGAGCAGGGCTGTGATGGCCAAGGTCACATTGCCCAAAGGGTGAAAGGACAAAAACCCACAGGCACCAGCATTCTACCACAAAGAAGCAAGGCATTCCAGAACTTTCTAAATGGGACATTCAGACAGAAAGCCAATGCCAAAAGTTCAAAGCAAGTTGAAGAAGAACCCTAATTAACAGTGGGGCTCCCAGTGCTGCCTTTCTAGTAGTGCCACCTTGGGCGAATTGCTTTTCCTTCCTGCAGCCTCAGTTTCTTCGCCAGTAAAATGGGAACAATTGTTTCTCTCTGCCAGGGCTCCTGTGAGTGTGAATCTGATCGTGCTGAGAAGAGTTCATGTGGAAACGCCTGAAGTGCTCAGTTAAGGTTGGGGGGCCCATAATGAAAGGATCCCACCACAGCCCACGTCATCACTGGCAAAGCCAATCTCACGCTCTGCTTCCTCTCTAAAGTGAGGCTTCCAATCCACTCTGACTTATCCAGCTCCAGCCCAGCCAAGGCTGGTTTTCTTTCTCTCTCTCTCTTCCTCTCCCTAGAGATGGAAGGAGGAGTTTCATAATTGCGCCAGCTGTAAGGCCTAGCAAAGGAACAAATCCAGGCTCTGAAGAGTGGTGGGCTGAGGGCCTGTCACCAGGAATCTCTTAACAGCCAGAGTAAAGCTGCTGCCAGGTTCTTCTTTTTCTTCCTTGTGAGATCTTAGAGAAGAATCTAGAAAAACCAGAACTGCAGAAGCTCAGAGGAACTGTCTCTGGTGGAAATTCATCCTCCAGAGCTCCCATGGGGTCAGCTGAGAAGGCATCCTTGCTTAGCGAATTCCCTCCTTCCCCTTTCTCCTGAAAAACTCCCAAGAGCTTTCCTCTAACAAATCACATGCCCTAGAAACTCTGTTCCAGGCTCTGCTTCTAGGGAACCTGACGCAAGACACTAGAATGTTATACCACTGAGAGCTTTCCTGTAATGTCAATCAAACCTGCTTTAGGTGATTTGGTTGTATAAAAGACGAAGAAACCAACTAAAAGAAAGGGTAGTGTTTCGAGAAGTGATGAGGCTTAAATGCAAAAGAAATGAATATACCTCACATCCATAGACTGAACTTCTTCAGTTGAATCATCCAGGCTATTTGATTTCCCATCAAGGGCATCCAGATGAATGAGTCCCCCAGCTGGCTTAAGCCCATTAGAGAAAATGTCTTGGGGATAAGTTTCTGGGGCAGCGTGATCCACACCATTAACTTCCTGGCAGGTGTTCAATCCATTGATTTCTGATCGAGAACACAAAGTCCCTTGTGTTAATCATAAAATGTCTAAATAAAGTAACAGAGAAATATAGATCAAGGCAATTAATTTAATGCTCTGCTTCACTGATACTGCAGCATCTTTTGTGGAAAGAGCCACAAATAAACCCATATAATCACCTTCACACAGGAGAAGAGAAGACAAATCACATTATCAGTGTCTGTGCAGAACCTCTGGAGAAGAGCAGAGTCAGGTCCTAACAGTAATAAAACCTGACCAGCAGTTAAGCTCCCTGGAAAGCACTGTGAGCCAGCAGCCAGAGTGCCTCCTATGCTGGGATTATGGGAGTAACCAAGGAACCCAGTGGGTTCCCAAGTGGAGCTGACAGTCCCTGTGCTGGAGACACATTCCCAGGGAAGGGAAACTGCACAGGCCCCTGCCAGCAGTCACCCTCTTGGGATCCATGGGTCTGTTTACCCTACACCAAGTCTTACGAGCTTTTGCTACTAAAAGGAAGAACCCAAGAACCAGATGTCACACTCACCCATTTTGTTGGGGACAACCAGTTTTGTCTTCTTTTCCACACACACAGCAGGCTGGACCCCCACTTTGGGGTCTTCTTTCTGAAAACAAATGGAAGGTGAATGAAATGAGGGAAGGCTGACATCACACAGAAAAAAAGTACTTTTTAAAAGCATCCGATGATATTTTGAGCCTGGACCATCTGCCTGTTCTGTGGTAATTCTTTAAATCTTCAGCTGTGTTTCCCTTATTCTTACGTATTTTTATGTCAGGATTCTCTTTTTTATTCATGGACTACTATGCCTCTCTCTTCATCCCACCTCCCATGACTCTAAGGAAATCTCTTACCCATCCCACCTCTGAAGCCCCTCTTTCTTTTCAGGTACCTAACCCTCCTTAACCTAGCCAGGAACAAAGCAGGAAAACTGCATTTTTTTCTGGCTAATCGTCGCCAAGACCTACAATTTCACTGAGTGTATTCTGCTGTTCTTTTCTACTTAGTACATAAACTATTAAAATGGTCATTTGAATTCCTACCTTCACTTGTGGAGACACATCACTTTTCCTTGTTCTCTTCATGATTTCATCTATTCTCTAAAAACAAAAAACAAAAAACAAAATCAAGTAAGAGGACAATAAGACCAAAAACATAAAAGTAGCTTGGTTTACATGCAATGTCACATTTCTCAGAAAACTTGTAAAAGGCAAAAGTCAGAAGAGGATAACAAGTATAGAAAGGTTTTCCACTAGTTTTGGAGATGTACACCTCCGGCCCCATGGACAAGGTCAAATGCTTGAGAAGTTAACTAGTACGTATCTAGAATCAATATTCGATTTATATCCCATATTTCTCCTTCTTCTCCTTAGGCTCTGTATAAATCAACAAATTACCACCTGCCATTAAAGAGCACCACCCTACAGAAAGTGAGGCTGAGGCTGAGGTGCATCTCAGGAGAGAAGGCCACAGGCTGGTCTCCTGGATCCCAGGCCTACAGCAATACAAAGCCCAGGTTGGGCCTAGGACACCATGAGAATACTCCTTTATAATCAGTCTGCTTAAACCCAATTTTACCCATAAGTATAGTTAGTGTAAATGGACTAAACACTCCAATTAAAAGACAAAGACTGTCAAACAGAATTAAAATAACAATTCCTGGCTATATGCTCTTTACTTATAAAAACACACAGAAGAAGTTTTAAGTAGAAGGGTGAAAAAGATTTGACATACAGACACTAATCATAAAAGGGCTGTCAGGCCAAGCACAGTGGCTCACGTCTATAATCCCAGCACTTTGGAAGGCCGAGGCAGGAGGATCCCTTGAGTCCAGGAGTTCGAGACCAGCCTGGCCAACATGGTGAAATCCCATCTCTACTAAAAATACAAAAATTAGCCAGGTGTGGTGGTGTGCGCCTGTAATCCCAGCTAGTTGGGAGGCTGAGGCAGGAGAATCGCTTGAACCTGGGAGGTGGAGGTTGTGGTGAGCCGAGATCACACCACTGCACTCCAGCATGGGCAATAGAGTGAGACTGTCTCAAAAAAATAAAAGGCAGGGGGCTGTCAAAGTAGACTTTAAGACAAGAAATATCACTAGAGACAAAGGCATATCACGATAAATATATATAAAACAAAACCTGACAGAACTGAAAGGAAAAATGGACAAATCCATAATCACAGATGGAGTTATTCTTTTTTCTATTATTTGGGACAGGGTCTCACTCCTGTTCCCCAGGCTGGACTGCAGTGGCATGATCTCGGCTCACTGCAGGCTTAACTTCCCGAGTTCAGGTCATCTTCCCACCTCAACCTCCTACGTAGCTGGGACTACAGACACATGCCATCACACCCAGCTATTTTTTGTATTTTTAGTAGAGACAGGGTTTCACTGTATTACTCAAGCTGGTCTGGAACTTCTGGGCTCAAGTGATCCTCCCGCCTCTGCCTCCCTAAATGCTGGGATTACAGGTGTGAGCCACCATGCCTCGCTACAGATGGAGTTTTTAACAATCTTTCTCAATCACTGATGGAACGAGATGGCAAAAAACTAATAAAGACATAAAAGATTTGAACAGTGGTATCAATGAACTTGACCTAACTGACAATCCTAGGATCATTCTATCCAATCACTGCAGAAGAGAACTGGATTTACTTCCTGTTCACTTACCCTAGGTCTTCCTGACCCTCAGCCCTTACCTTCTTTCTCTCCAGTCTCTCCTGCTCAATCTGCAGCATAATCTGTTCTCTCTCGAGACGCATCTGTTCAGCTACCTCCCGGGCCTTTGTTTCTGCTGCTTCTTTCTAACAGAAACAGGTAAATCAAGGCAAAGCTTTAATAAGCTAAGAAAACAGTGTGGTAATTCCCTGGCTTTGCACATGTTCCTTCATCTCATCATCTGCCCTAAAGTGGATGCTGCTCCAATATTCAATGTGGATTTATACAAACCACTGCATGACACAGCAAACATGGTTGGACCTCATTCATATACCCCTGGCTCACCATGCAAATCACCTGCAGACAGTTCTCACACATGGCCAAGGCTTTTCTGTGTCTGTGGGCAGGCTTGGGCCATGAAGTGTGCATGTGGCCAGATCAGAGAGTTAATTCCCCAGGGAGTGACCTTCTACTACCGTGAAGGGCAGGATGTGGTAGATAAGTAGTTCAGTTTCCTCATCCCTCAGCTGGACAATTCTAAAGCATGATCCACAGTCTGTCAGAGGTTCCCAATGGGACTGTGTTCCAGTCACCCACAGTAACACATGCATCAATGCACTTACATTGGCTTTTCTCCTATTCCTCTACCAGCTTCCTGGGATTCGCTTGCAAAAAAAACTGCTGGCACTCAAATTCTTAGCCCAGGGTTTGCCTTTGGGGAAACCCTAACTCACAGATGGCAAACATTACCAACTTCACTGCAACTGCCCCAACTTATATTTAATAACCAGCCCAGACAGTTTAAGAAGAAACTTCAAGTAAACATTATGAGTCATTGAAATTTAACTAATTGTACCTACTATCAAGGTCCTTAAAAAACAAGTAAAGTCCATCTGAGGACTCATACAGTACCTGCTTTTCAATCATGGCTTTCTCTTGTTTTTCTTGTTCTTGCTTTTCTTTCAACAACAGCTCCTCCTCAGCCTTCCGCTTGGCCTCCTCGCCTGCCTTTCTTTTCTCTTCCCCTTCCTGTTTTTTCTTTTCCTCTTCCTGCCGCTTCCTTTCTTCTTCCTGCTTTCGGGCTTCCTCTTCTA